>NC_000006.12:122646547-122949577 GCF_000001405.40 Homo sapiens
AAAAATCTAAGTTACTATGAAGTTTCAAAGTGCTATCATTGTTTTTCCAAGTACTACTTTCGATAGAGGAAAAAATCCGTGTTTCTTTTTATTAGATTCTTTACAATGGTGAACCTTGTCTAGAGAAACAATGCATTCATTTATTAAATAGAAGTTAATTTATGTAATTAAAATAAAATTTTTCTGTCATAAAATATAGCTTCAAATTATCACCTCTGTGACTTTGGGGCAAGTAGTTTATTATATTGGGTTTTAGTTTCATATCTCAATTTACACCTTCTTCATAGAAATACTATATTTCTAGTACACCCTTGGGAATCATGATGGATGACAAAGCTTTCCTTTTTTAATGGAATTTTTCTTACTGGAAGTCATTTTAATATTTTCCACTTTTACATGCCCTCACAATCTATATGCAATTTTATTTTAATATTTTCCACTTTTACATGCCCTCACAATCTATATGCAATTTTATCAGTCAGGCTTCCACCAGAGAAACAGATGAAAAACAGAGAAACAGAACCAGTAGGAGATATACATTAAGAAACTTATTGTGAGGAATGGGCTTAAGGAATCCACACACTCGCAGAAGAGTAGGGTGGAAACTCTGGGGCAAGAGTTCGAGCTTCAGTCCACAGGTAGAATTTCTTTTTCCTCAGGAAAAACCTCAGTTCTGCTGTTAAGCCCTTTCAGATGATTGAATCTGGACCACTAAGATATTGAGGATAATCTTCTTCACTTAAAGTCAATTGATTGCAGATATTAGTCACATTTATAAAATTCCTTCACACAAACACCTAGGTGAGTGTCCGATTGATTAACTGGGGACTATAGACTAGTCAGGTTGACGCATGAAGCTGATCACCACATCACAGTCCACACTTTGCAACTTTAGACTCATGCACATTTCCTGAAACCATATTTAATCTCAAAATAAAGAACATAGCAAAGTCATTCTTCCACCTAATGCAATACAGCTATCTTGAAGCATGTTTTCCAGCCCAAAACATGGTAACCCTTTCCCTAGAAGAGGATGCAATGTCATTCACTGTTCTCCTTGACATTCTGTAGCTTAAACACTGTGATGTAAAGTTAGCTATTATGAATATATCTTACGTTAGATAATAATGACAAAAGAGGAAAGAAAGCAAAAATCTTAAATACATGTGCACACACATTTCTAACAAAATAAGGGATGCTTAAAATTTACAGAATTGCTTCTAGAACTGGCCATGTGGTCAATGCTGGTATTTATGATTCCCTTCTTCCATTACCCATTTCATAATTCTCTGCTCTTAAGCAGGCACCTCAGCTGCTCATGGTTCTTAGCCTGGCGGCGTGACCCAAACCTTCATTCCTGAAGGGACTGGGCCATTAGCAGTCCTGTCTGAATTGAATTATTGTGGTTTTCTTCACAGAATGTGGTAGTAATAAGAGATGCCCTCAGGGATCTCCTGTGTTTCAGACAGGCTCATCCTTACCTCCACTGCGTGGTATAGCCCAATTTCCCCTTGGTAATCAGGATTCACCACCCCAACCAATATAGTAACTTCCTTCTTTGCCTGTTGATTCAGAGGTCTGGGGAGCCCAAAGTGACTGGTGGCAGCCTTAACTCCTAGTTCAGTGGAACCCTTTCGTCTCCTAGTGGAAGAACACCTCCCTTTGAAACTAAGACCTCTCCACCAGCACAGCATAAGGTTGTGGGGACATGAAGCAAAATTTCTCTGGTGGATTGCTAAGTGTAATAATTAGTGATGCCACTCTCATTTTCACCCCTTGATTGTTGGATTCACGAATTCTGGCAATAGGAGATCAAGCACCACATATTGAGCACATACATATTTAGATTTAGAACATATACAGCCTCCTAGAGGATATTTCTAGAGCCCAGCAAAATACTGCCACCTACTAGGCACTATAACTGAGTTTTCAAAGGCCATTCCACTGTTTTCTATTATGCCATCTAACTCAGGATGATGGAGAACATGGTAAGATCAGTGAATTAGAGTTTCTTTGCTTCATTTGCTGTGAAGTAAGCTCCTTGATCAGAAGCAATGCTGTGTGGATTACTGTAAGCATGGATGAATTATTCTGTAAATTTGAGGAGGTAGTTTTGACAGAAACTTTACATGAGGGAGAGTAAATTTATATCCATAGTAAGTATATAATTCCAGTAATAACAAAGCAGCACTTTTTCCAAGATAGAAGAAGTCTCATACAATCAACCTGTGACCACGTAGCTTGGTTAATCACCCAGGGAATGATACCATATTGGGGACTCAGTGTTGGTCTCTGCTGCTGGCAGATTGGCCACTCAGCAGTGGCTGAAGTCAGGTTGGCCCATCTCCAACTTCCTTGTTGAGTGGAAGTCCATGTTGCTGAGCCCACGCATAACCTTCATGCCTCCCCATGGCCATTGTTCACAAGCCCTCTGGTCAAAGACAGCAGTGGCTGGGGAAAGAAGTGCAGTATCCACAGAATGGGTCATTCTACCCACTTGATTATTAAAATTCTCCTCTGCTGAGGTCATCTTTTGGTGAACATTTACATGGGACATGAATGTTATGTTCTATGTCCATTTAGAGAGGTCTATCTGCATACCTCTTCTCAGCTATCCTTGTCACCAATTTTTCAGTCATGTTCCTTTTAAGTTGATGGCCATCTCCAAACTGTTGACCACAGCCCATCAGTCAATATAGTCTTGTACGTCTGGCCATTTCTCCTTCCAAGTAGAATGAACACCCAGCTTCACTGCTCAAAGTTGTGTCCACTAGGAAGACTTCTCTTTAGCACTGTCCTTCAGATATGTACTAGAAAGGGGTTGTAGTGCAATCACTCTCTACATTCAGTAGAGCATTGGCATTGGCATATCATGCAAGACCATCTGTAAACCACTCTGAAATCTTGTTTCCTCAGTCAATTGGTTGCTGGGAACTCCCCAGGAGACCCTAGGTACTGACTGGTAGAGAGAAGATAAAGGCAGGAGTGGGGACCATGGGATTTGGGCCACTTCCTTATGTAGATTACTTGAGCCTGTTTCAGCTCAATCTTATATATACCACTTCCATTTGATATTGGGGTGTGGCTGTACATACCCAACGTTAAAATGCTTGGTGGGTCAGACAACAACCATTTAATGATGGGCAGCTTAGATTTCATAGTAACTTGGTGGCCCATGGTGAGGTGTTCAGTTTCTATATAGGCCCAGTAGCAGGCAAAAAGCTGTTTCTCAAAAGAAGAGTAGCTGTCTTCAGAAGATGGCAGGGTTTTGGAACAAAGCCTCAGAGTTTGCACTGTGATTCACCTTCAGGGATCTGCCAAAGGCTGCAGTCAACATCTCTATCTGCTACTGGCACTTCAAGCACCATCACCGGATCTGATGAATCATATGTTCCAAATGACAAAGAAGCTTACATGGCAGCTTGGACTTGTTATAGAGCCTTCTCTTATTTGGGTACCCACCTAAAACTAGCAGCTTTTTGGGTCACTCGATAAATTGGCCAAAGTAGTACACCGAAATAAAGAATAAGTTGCTTCTAAAATCCAAAGAGGCCCACTTGGCATTGTGCTTCATTTTTGGTTGTATGAGAAGCCAAATGCAACAACTTAATGTTTACTTTAGAAAGGATATGTCTAACATGCCCCATACTACTAGATCCCTGGGAATTTCATCGAGGTGGCAGGCCCTACACAGACCAAGTAGACGAGTAAATGAGATGTGATGGGAATCATCACCCCTGCATCCTTCAAGCCCTTAATGGTGGCATTGAGCTCTGCAATCCCTCTAGGAATATAGATTTGCTTATGATTTACACTTTTTCTAAGTGGAGACAGCTCTGGTGATTTCTACTTGGCCTCACTCCATAGTTCAGTAGTGTTATAACCCTTGTTTATATACAGATTAAGAATTTAGTAGATTACCTATTTCTTTTCTAGAAACACCATGATCAACTAGCCAATTCCAAAGGTCTCCACAAGTTAGACTATTCTGATTACTGCATTGTCTTTGCTGTTCACTGTGTAACCACATCAATCTTGTCTTTGATGATTAAGGCTGCCTGGGAGCCAATTATCCTTATTGCATTTAGGTATCCCACCCAGTTCAGTGGCAGCAATTCCCACTGTAATGTCTGACCTGTAAGAAGGATGACCACAGAGCTCTTTAAGGGTGCTGGGGCCCCCCTCACAAATTTATTTCTCACCATCATGATGAAATGTGTGTCCTAAGGACTCTCCTGGGGTATGTGAGCAGGTCTTACATGATAAATTTATTCTACTATTTCGATCTCCCTCTCTAGCCTTTGGATAACTTCCTCTTCAGTGTAGCAAGGCAGTTAATTCTGGCATTTGATTTCATTTAATGTAGACCGCCTTGTAGTCCATGTTTCAGCCAACGAACCAAACTGTTAGAGCCTTTTCTAACCCTTTGAGCTAAAATACTGAATCCAGAATCTCTGCTTAGTGGGATGATATCAATAAATTCATCCTAATTCAACTTTATGGGAATTTTACTATGGTGGAAGGCCCTACACAAGCCAAATAGACGAGTGAAACAAGATGTGGTGGGAATCATTACCCCTGCATCCTTCAAGTCCTTGATGGTGGCACTAATCCCTATAATCCCTCTAGGAATGCACTTGATAGGAAATGATTTATGTGATTCAAGTTTATGTTCCTTCCACAATTATCCCACATACTTAATATTCATTTACGTATTCCCCAGATTGTATAAATTGGAAAACTCATGCAATTCGTTTGGTATGTAGCACACTTCCTTGTGGACTACACTTTGTACCTTAATCTTTAGGGCCTGCTGGTACTTGAGTCTTGTTATAAGTCTAGAAGCAAAGAGGGGTGTCAGGGATAAGTTCTGAGGAGAATCAACAGGGTCTTGCAAGACACCTACCTCAGGAGCAGCCATTACTGGTTCTTTAGGCAACGCAGAGTTAACCTCAGACAGGGGTGAAAAGATTTTTCTATTGGCAAATAAACTCATCAGAATTTAGAGATTTGATGTCACAAGTTTGAGTGGGATTTCCCATATGTCCCCATTCTAATTTTCAAGATCCCATTTGTTCTCAATCAATCCTCCTACTTTAACAGGAGAAATTCATTTTGTGTTGTAATTCAGCAACACACAGTGTGAGAGTCTGGTTTTGAAATCTTAGCCCTGTGGTTATAGGAGATAAGGATTTGCTTTTGGGCAGACACAGAAGTATTCAGGTTATTTATACAGAGCTTGAACAGGAAATTTCAAGCCCTGAGTTTATCTTTTTCTTTCCATTTTCCATAGTACAGTTGGCAGCAACCTGCCAATTTCATCATACTCTTTAGTTTGGCTAAAATGCTCTAAGGCATGAAATATATGGTCACCTAAAACCTTGCCTTTTACAAATATTTGATTATGAGTACTCAGTGGTGATATTTGTGTTTCTCCATTGCCACATCATGCCATAGACTACCAGTACCCTCTTCACAACTGAGAATTGTCTTTAATACCTTTAAATTTAATCACATTAGAGAACATATTCCAAGAATAACAGAACCAAACCAATTCATAAAGCTTATCCTTAAAAATTCTATTCTTATGGAACCACTCTTAGGGCAGAAATCTGTATGGGTCAGTCAGGGCTCCACCAGAAAAACAGAAATTGCTCTGACATAACTTTAGGTGCAATTTATGGAGAATGTACATGTATGTATATACATACCTATATATATATGTTGTGTGCATATATGTTGGTTTGTGTGTGTGTGTGTGTGTGTGTGTGTGTGTGTGTGTGTGTGGAGAGAGAGAGATTTATTGAAAAGAATTGATTTATGTGATTATGGAGGCTGGCTGGGCAAGTCCAAAATCTTTAGGGCAATCTGCAAGCTGGGAATTCCTTGGAGGAAACTTAAGCTGCATGTTTTCTTCATCAGGGAAAGCACTCATCTGTTCTTTTGATGATTGAGTCAAACCCACCCAGATTATTGATGATAATCTCCTTTACTTAAATCAACTGATTATAGATGTTACATATATCTACAAAATTCCTTTACCACACCACCTAGATTAATGTTTGATTGAACAACTGGGGCCTATGGCCTAACTAAACAGTAGTTTAACTTTGCTCTGGATGACTCAGAGTCATCCCACATGTAGGCAGATGTAGGTGCTGTGTCCACAAAGATTGAAGCTAATTATCCGCACAGGCTCTAGAACTTGGTTTCTTGAAGAAGTTGTAGGTAATAATCTCTTTTTCTTTAAAACATAGAATGAAATATTGCGGCCACAAAATGCTCCTTGGTAGCATGATTTGGCTCTTCCCCCGGTTCCCCATCCCCCACTAAGATTTAATTGAGGTGGTCTTTTCTCAACAGATTTTTGTTCATTCTTCAGAAAATTGCCTGTGGTCTATTGTTATTAACCTCTTTGAATTGACACATCCATAACAGAGTGGGGTCATCCTGATCTTTGGGTCCAGGACCCTTTTCAATTGTACTCATGTATTGCTGCCTGTGCAGGGGCTAATTCTGCTAATAGGTTTGGAGTTTGGTTTTGTTTGGCTAGTCAGGAAGAATTCTAGGATTGGAAAGTTCCAGAAAACTGGTCCCTGGATAGCTGAGCTTTCTCAGTCTATTACTTAAAATGTTTAAAATGTACTAAAAAGAAAATAATGAGGTTGATACATGACTAGAGTGATCTCTTGGCTGAGTGAAAGGAGCACATTCCTGGGTGAACATTTGATTAGTCATCATCAAGCAAGGTGAAAGGGCTTCCTGGATTGTTTTTCCAGGTGACTAGCATCTCCACCCAAGCTCTTGTGATTTGCTTATGTGGAATAATGGTGTGTGTTGGGCTGTTCTCCTCTCTTGCATGTGTTCTGGCGACCAAGAGGAAAGACATAAATTGCTCCGACAGGATTGCAGGTGCCAATCTACAGCTGTGAGAGAGATTTTTATGAAGAACCTCTAGAGCAGGTTTTCTGATGTTTTATCATTCAAACCTGGTGGGGCGGGATGAGGTGGGGGGAATTTGACTCCGAAACATGTACTTTATTCTCTCTATTAAACTCAATGCATTTTCTTTAATGTAACTTGAAGGGATTATTTGAAAAAAAAAAAAAAATTGGAGTTAAGGGGCTTCCTGGCCAGGCGCAGTGGCTCCCGCCTGTAATCCCAGCACTTTGGGAGGTCGAGGCGGGCGGATCATTTGAGGTCAGGAGTTCCAGACCAGCCTGGCCAACATGGTGAAACCCTGTCTCTACTAAAAGTACAAAAATTAGCTGGGCATGGTGACGCACTGTAGTCCCAACTACTCGGAAGGCTGAGGCAGGAGAATGGCTTGAACCTGAGAGGCGGAGGTTGCAGTTAGCGGAGATCGCGCCATTACACTCCAGCCTGAGCAACAGAGAGAGACTCTGTCTCAAAACGAACAAACAAAAAAGGCAGGGTGGGGGCATCCTAACAATCAACAGTTCCCTCTTTCACTGGCTGCCTTTCCCCGTCTCCAATTATGGTCAGCAAGATATGCACCTCTATTTTATTTTAGGCCAGATAATGTTAGTGCTTGAAGCCAACCTGATAGTTTCCATTGCCTCGTCTAGTCTTTCTTAAGCCCTATCTTTATGTTCTGCTCTGTCAATAAGATGAAGTGTGAAGAATTTAGGGTTTGGAGTCAGACCAGGGTTTGGATTCTTCTTAGGAGGTTAGCTGATTTCCTCATAAAGACAATGTAGATAATTCAGAGCATTCTGTTGGAATAAGATCATGTTTGTGTAAAGTGCATAGTACAGGATAGATGCAAAGTGTATTTTCCTTGCTGCCAACCCTCCATTTCCTGAACACAAAAATATGGGAACAAATAGGATTTTGAGTGGAGATGAGAGTTGTCCTTCCTGCCATTTCTTCCAGTCCTTTAACTGTGACTCCATATCTTACATGCTAAAGGTAAACTCACACAAGTTGCTATTTACCTCTAGAATATTGTTTGTATTAATAATGGGCATTTATTGAAGGTCTGCTATGTACAGGGTTCTTAACCAAGGCTAAGTAGGACCATAAATATCGGTCAATATTATTATGCGATTGCAGATTTTAAGAATGTAAACCTACATTTTGGTGTTCTATCCTCAACTTTCAAAAACAGAGGTAAGCCTTATTCCCAGTCATCAGTTGTTATATTTTTCTGTACTGATTTACTCATAACCTGTCTGAATATATTACACTAGATTTCTATTTTTTTAACTTCATACTATTTCACAATTTTAGTGTTAGAAAGAGAAATGTATCTTAATACTTCAGATTTTTTTCTTGTAGGAGAAAAATATGACTCATGTTAGGTCACTTTTTGGTTCATTCTCCTAATATAATTAGAAACTTAAATTACTTTTGGCCTTCATGTTTTCTCTCCTGCATTTCAGTTAATATTCAGAGATTTTTTGTTTGTTTGTTCATTTGTTTTTGAGACAGAATTTAACTCTTTTGCCCAGGCTTTGCCCAGGCTGGAGTGAAGTGGCATGATCTCAGCCCATTGCAACCTCCACCCCCAGGGTTCAAAAGATTCTCCTGCCACAGCCTCCCAAGTAGATTAGATCCAGGGACTTTTAATTCCTATGTATAAGTACCATATAGTCTGCTTATCATTATAAAAATTCATTGTTTCAATAAAAACATATTGAGGGCCTAAAAATGTGGCACAAAAAATGGAAATGGTACCTGACTGCTAGAGACAGAATATTTGTGTTCTCCTCTCCACCTAAAAATGTTTATATGTTGAAATCATAAATACCAAGGTGATGGTTTTAGGAGGTGTGGAACCTTTGTTAGGTGACTAGGCCATGCAAGTGGAGCCCTCATGAATGGAATTAGTGCCTTTTGAAAAGAGATCCAGGAGAACTCCCTCTCTTTTCCTCATGTGAGGATACAGCAAGAATGTAGCCATTTATGAACCAGAAAGCAGGCCCTCACCAGAGACTGAATCTGCTGGTGCCTCCATCTTGGACTTCTCAGCCTCCAGAACTGTGAGAAATAAATTTTTGTTGTTTATAAGCTGCCCACTCTATGGGATTCTGTTGTAGCAGCCCAGACAGATGAAGACACTGCCTTCATGGAGGTAACAGTCTAGTAGAGAAGACAGACATAAATAAATAAAAGTACACATATATAGAATTATGGGAAAAATATATATTTCTAAAGAGAATAACCTTAATATTGATAATGCTCATAAAAACAACTTACTTTTTAAAAAATTGGATAGCCTTTATAAGGCTCTCTAATTATTGACTATTATACTAGCCTATATAAGGAAAAAAAGTCATTTTAGGTTTATTCTTCTATGTATAAAATACTGAGAAAGAAGTAGCTATTTATGTTCTGTCCAGCTCTAGAGCTTTGAAACAAAAACTTAAAAAGGTGCTTGAAATTGTAAAAATTGAGCTCAACGGTAACCATATTATATTTTTGTATTTTTTTCTCCCCTTGATAATAATTTATCTTTTATGGTATTGTGAGTTTTGTTTGTCTGGGTGTGATATAATATTCTTAAGAGATTCTTTTTCTTTCTTTCTAGGAAATCTTCAGGCTTAGCACTTACAAATATTTATATATAAAAACAATTGACTATGCAACTATTGTATGCACCAGTATAATCTGACCAGATGACTTTTTGTCTCCATTAAATAAAAGATCTGATAAGTCTGTTACATAAAAGAATAGTGTGTTGTAGACATATCGTGAAAGTTCAAATCCTCTTTCAGAGAATAGTAACAATTCTATAAATCTCATTTTTTATTTTAGGTAAACTGCACACTAAGACTTTAAGCATATTGCTATACAGTTGAAAAGAATCAGTTCATGGAGAATTAAATAAAATTTTTTACTTAAGTATATTTTAAATATAGTATTTGAATTTGAGAGAAATTAAAATTTGCCTATTGTGCTAAGAAATTGTTCCCATAACATCAAGCAAAGCTTTTTAGCCAAACTGATGTATCACTACTGAGATTTGTCCCCATTCATGCCACATATCTGGCTGTCACTGCCCCTGACCCACAGTGAGGCAGGGCCATGGAGTTGCAGCTTTAGCTCTTCAGCCAGAAACCCAGGCGGGAGAAGTGAGGGGGCAAGAAAGTTGATGGGGGTGTCAGGTGTCCAGGGAGTGGAACATGAGAGAAACAAGGGAATTCTGAAATTATGGATGTAGTACTGAGGATGTCAAAGCAGAACTGGCTTATGGATAAAAGCCAGTAAAGGCAAGACCACCAATGATCCATATGTTTGCTCTATGCACACTAGCTATATTTGCCACGTACATCTCCAGGTTGTTCACCTCCTCAAAGAGGCTGTCTCTGTCTCCTCATCTAATTTAAATACTCCTTAAGTTCTCATTATTATCTAATGACTTATTTTTCCCTTTCAGAATTGTAAATTGTAAATTATATATTTGATTACTTATATATGTTCTATATTCTCTTTTAGTCTTCAATTAAAATAAATTTTATTGTGCATATTTGAGGTTTATAACATGATGCTATGGAATATATACAGATAGTAAAATAGTTAAAGTAGTGAAGCAGATTAACATATCTGTCATCTCACGTAGCTACTTCTTATTTTGTCTTTAAGGCTTTTTTACACCAACTATCTTCCAGTTGTTCAATAAACATTTGTTAAACGAATGAATGATGACCAAAGCTTTCAACCGGTTGCTGTTGGTGTTTCCCTTTATCCAATAGGACTTGAGTCTAAAATTGCTACTCATGGCTACATATTCATTAGGGGCACACATGAACATCACCAAAATGCTTGGAAATGTGCACATTTTTTCAAAGTGGTTATTCCGTTGGCTTGCAATAGATGTTAGTGATCACCTACCCCCAAAATGCAGCTATTTATCCGAACATAATATCACAATTATGTTAGTGTAATAAATTGTTTTTTATTGGTGTCAATGATAGATGTAGATGATATTTTGGAGCTAACTTGGCTTTCATTTTTAGTGAAGTATGTAGAATTTCATACTGAGGGGAATTTATGAGTGAATGATTGCAGAAGTATTGGGATTGTCTCTAGTTTTGGGCATATCTGCAATGCTACTTCCTTTTTCATCATGGTTTAGCAGGAATTGCTTGGAATCTTTCTTACATTGATATTTCCAGAAAACTCTGTTGATATTTGTTGCTCTTTTTTTAGCTGTATGTTTCTAATCTTTGAAAGATATGGAAGCAATCCAATTTAAACACTGGCTTTCAGCCACATCTCAATATACTCATAAAACCAATAAAAATTCTTTCAGTCCAGCTTCACAGATACAGGAATCATGCAGCTCTTTCTTGAGCCATTAAGGGACATAACTAAAGATAAGGGTTTTGTCATATATCAGATATGTGTGGTGTGTACGCTAGCCTTAAAGATAAACTCACAAATTCTAATTTTCTGCTATTGTCCTGAATCACTGGATTAAGCTCTTTATATCATGTTGATTAAGATATACACTAAAATTAAATTTACTAATCTTTTATGCAAATTCAAAGAAAAAGCTTCCTGAAACCTTAGCTTATTAATTTAAAATAATTTAAAATATTATGTACTTTTAATCTGGGAGTCTAAAATATTTTTGTAATAGATTGGTTTTGTGCTGGTTCTGGAATAATTAATTGAAAATATTAGACATAACTTATATTTGCAGAACTAGTTTGGGCCAAGTCATGTATATTATTCCTTGACAACATCAGGCACACATGACCACTAAATTAGTTACTGTATAATTATAATAATTAAATGATTTTTACTAAGTGATGAATCAGATTTGATTTACAAATTCATAAAAGTAATGATACAATTATTGGCTACATCTTACTCTACCACAGAGTAGGAAATGTATTGGCTTAGTTTGCTGAGTGCTTTAAGATTATAATTTAAATACTGTCCCTTGAGATGTTAATAAATCCAATTCCTTGATATTTCACTTTCACTAATTGCCTTCATTCATTTATACTCTTATTTTTTGTATTCTAAAGCTTGAAATTGTTGTTTTCATAATGATGTGATGCACAGATCACTATGGAAGTGTAACATAAACTTGGAGTTCAAGCTTGATTTTTCCTTATTAGTGGGGACCCTCTCTGGGCAGAGGTCTTTCTGAATTAAGGCCAGGGGAAAGCCTTGTTTGTTGGCAAAAGCAGACCTATCTCAGGACCACTACTGGCTGCAACATCCTCTTACCTTAAATCTGAACTAGGAATCACTGAAGATAAGGGATCTTGGTAATGTTAAATGTTTATGTTAACAGTAGCATTTATTCATTTGTTAAGCATTCATTTGACAAATTTTTTATTGAGTACCTACTTACCATCTGCCAGGCACTCCTCTAGATACTGGGAATATAGGGTTGAACAAAAAAGAATCATAGCCTAATGGAACACCCATTTTTAAAATAATATTAAACAGTAAGCTTGAATTATATAATATTATTAATCAAAGCAACTTTTCATAAGGAATGAAAACTACACTTTACCAAATAGAAGTCATATGAACTTTTAAAATGAATAGACATTTCTATTTGCATATTTTTACATGGAAATGAATGCTTCTAAACACTTTAAAATAATTTGTTTCCTGACAAAGTTTAAAGATCTCTAGCTCTCATTAGAATTTCATTTAGTCTGTAATTGACTTAGCAAGTTAATGAGGCTTTATATACATATAAAATAAACTTGAATGTATTTTTAAATGTCTACATATAGAGTTCTACGTACATGTGGATACTCTTTAGAAAGATATTTTCAAAATTGTTGACATCTGAAAGATTCATTCCTTACTGTGCTGTTTCCCTCAGAGATTATGCAAAATTTAATTATGCTTTTAAAGACATTGTGCATAATCGATCTATGGATAAATCAAACTGAATATGAAATCATTTTGTAAGACCATTTGGTTCTTATATGATCTAGTTATAGGTACTTGATTGTTTTCCCCACAAAAGTACTGAGTAAACTTAACTTAGTGAAAGGAATATGATTTTCCTTTCAAACAGTGAAACGGCAAGAGTGAAACATGGTGAGAGTTCCACTGTTTGAAAGGAAAGACATCTTCTTAACTAGTATTTATTTTTATTTTTAACTATTATTTTAATTTCAGGGGTACAAGTGCAGGTTGAAACTGTAATTTAATAACTCTCAGTCTTGAGCTATTTTTCGGTAAAGTTGCCTATGTGTATCACTAGCATTGATTTAATGAAGTAGTGAGAGGAGAATCTGTAAATGCAGAAGTGAAGTAATTGAAAATCTATTAGCTGAGAGGTTCCTGCTCATGCTATATTTAGAGAACACAATTAAAAGAAAAAAATGGAAAAAAAACAAGGAACTTTTATGTGAAAAGACACAGAGAATGACAGTGCACAATAGAAAGAGCTGCATTAAATAAAAATAAAAATGGAAACATTTATCCAGTGCAGCATGATATTAAAATATTCTGAAAGAGCACGAAAATTAATTATCTACTTTAGTTTTCCTTTACAAATGAGTTAGAAATGTCAAACAAATTTCTGGATAAATGAGAAGGCTAAGCACTGAATCATTTGCAGGTGTTTTCTGAACACAGCAGAGCCTGGTGGATTCTGACATACATGAGAAAAGCCCCCACCAATTAAGGTGGGTTTCTCATAGTCATATGCACTTCCACTATTGTGGACAATATGGTCAAGAGTAAAGAAGCCCATGTTGCCCTTTACTTTGAAAGACAAGATGATATGTTGGAAGAAACACTAGGCTGAATCCAGAGACCTAATTACACTTTCACTCTTCATCTCAGCAACTCAGAGACCAAGGCATGTAGGATTTCAGCTATGGAACTAGAGGACTGAGATGAAAGAGTTAAACGTATTCTCCTCTAAGGTCCCTTCCAAACTGATCATGCTGTAGCCTTGGGATATGTTGTTCTCTTACAGACTAAACCACAGATACGGTCACGTTCTCCATGCTTGGATCTCAGGGCTGAGAAGGCTTTGTATATGTTTACAATTGTAATCACTGGAAAGTTTACAGGGCATGGATATCTTGGAATTAAATAAGCACATGGCTACTTACACTAAAAAGTTTCTGTTTCATTAAGTACAAATTTTTGATTAGAATACAAGGAGGTAGTTCCCCCAACCTTTGCAATTCTATAGCCTAAAGGATTAAGCTAAAATGATCATGTTTATTATTAAGCAACCAAAGGAAAATGTTCCCATATGGAAATGTGTGATTTCTTCAAGATAACATACTTGCAACAGGATTGTAAATGAGAGAGAAAACCCACTGATTGATATATCTCTGCAATAAATATTACCATTCATCTCAAGACCCACTCATTTAATAAACCTTTTATGTATAAGACACTTACATTTATAGATTAAATATTTATACTTAGACTTTTTTAGTGTTTTAGAAGAATAATCAAAAGGTAGAAAATATACATGATTTGTTAAATATAACAAGCTGGCATCCTAGTTCTACATTTGAAAAAATAAAATAACCTCAATTTGGGATCTGTAATCAATGTGTTCATCAAAATGCTACAAGAATAAATTATATGGATAAAGATGATTGGCATATCGCACACCGTAATCCTCCCTCAGAGATTCACACCCAGCACTAACATCCTCTGAGTCAATTTATTTAACTTAAAAAAAACTTTATTGACATAATTTGCTACCATAAAAGCCACCCATTTAAATAGTTTCTAGTATATTCACGCACTGTCATGTCACCACAATCCATTTTAGGTCATTTTCATCACCCCAGAGAGAAACCCTATAAACATTAGTTGTGACTCCCTATTTCCCCCAAAGCCTAGGGACTCCCTCTCCATCCTTAGGCCACCACAAATTTTTCTTGTTTTGTAAATTTGCATATTTTGGACATTTTATATAAATTGAATCATACAACATGTGGTTCCTCTCATTTAGCATAATGTTTTCCAGGATCATCAATGTTGTGGCATGTATCAATCCTTCATTCCTTTTTATTGACAAGTAATATTACATTGTAAGAATATACTACATTTTATTTACACATTTATCAGTGATGATGGACATTTGTGTTTTTTCCACTTTTTGGCTATTATGAGTAACATTGCTATGAATATTCCTGTAGAAGTTCTCTGTGGACATATGCTTTCATTACTTTTGGTTATATATCTAGGAGTGGAATGGCTGGATCATATGGTAACTCTATGTTTAACAGTTTGAGGAAATGCTAGGCTATTTTCCAAAGAGACTGCACCATTTTACATTTCAGCCAGCAGTGACGAAGCCTTCCATTTCTTTATATCCTTCTCAACACTTGTCATTGTCTTTTTTTATTATAGTCATCATAGTGAGTGTAAAGTGGTATTTCAACATGGTTTTAACTTGCAGTTCCCTAATAGGGGATAATGATGCTCTGTATCATTTAATGTGCTTATTGGCCATTTACATACCTTCTTTGTAGAAATGTCTATTCATGTTCACTGGCCATATTCTAAATTGGGTTATTTATCTTTTTATTATTTAGTTGTAGTTCTATATATACTTAACTTACAAATCTCTTATCAGACATATGATTGGCAAGTGTTTTTTTCCAATTCTTTAGGTAGTCTTTCACTTTTGATGGTGTCATTTGGTGCACAAAGGCTTTTTATTTTGATGAAGTTCAATTTATCAATTTTTTTTGTCACTTGTGCTTTGGTGTCATATCTAAGAAATGATTGCCTAAACCAAGGTCTCTTTCTCTCTCCTTCTTTCTTTCCTTGTCTCCTTTTTTTTTTTTTTTTTTTTTTTTTTTTTGGAGATTCATTCTTGTTGTCCAGGCTGGAGTGCAATGGCACAATCTGGGCTCACTGCAACCTCCGCCTCCCGGGTTCAAGCAATTCTTCTGTCTCAGCCTCCCAAGTAGCTGCGATTATAGGCATGCACCACCGTGCCCAGCTATTTTTTTTTTGTATTTTTAGTAGAGACAGGGTTTCCCCATGTTGGACAGGCTGGTCTCGAACTCCTGACATCAGGCGATCCACTTGCTTTGGCCTCCCAAAGTGCTGGGATTACAGGCATCAGCCACCGTGCTCGGCCTCTTTCTGATTTAAAAACATAAAGATGAGGCATGGAGTAATATCTTTTCCATGAGTGAGGTTGCAACTTAAGCTAACACTGAATTTAGTAATAACATTTCTAACAACTACTGAAAGCTTCCCTTATGAGGTTGGTAAAATTATTACTGTCACTTTACTAATGAGTAAACTGAAGTTTAGAGAGGGTATATAACTTGTCCAAAGACACAGAGCTAGTCAGTAGCGGAGCTAGCAAGACTCAGGGGTGTCTGATTCTAGCTGCTGTTTGTCTGCCTTCCAAGAGAGAAGCTTGAGCAATAAATTATGTAGGTTTAGTTTAGTGGCTCAATTCCTTAGGTCTATTTCTGTTGTTTCCCTTATCCTGATTGTATTATTTCTTCTTCGTTTCCTTGCTTTGAAAAACTTCATGGAAATTGGACTCTGGTGATTCTGTTACATCTCTGTTCTTTTCAGTGTGTTGAAACTTCTGGGCATGGGTAATTGTGGTGATAGCTTGATATCTGTTAATACCCACAGATCATGAGATGACACCTAAAAGCACTAGAAACACAAGCTATTCTAGAATACCTGGCTCATTTCAAACCATTTTAATGTATTCTTTAATCTAAGATCTATTAGTCTGATCCTGGTTTTGCTTATCTTAGGAATTGGCTACACATTTAGGGATGCTCTAATTTAAAAAAGATGAATCCGAGAAAATGTAACCTGAAAGAAGAGCCTGTTAAATTACTATGTTTCCTGGATTAACATAGTTTATACCTGTGCCCTCCAGGAGCTGCTAAGAGTCTACCATCATCCCTACGTGGATGTCCCAAAATGGCTGCCACAAGAAAGTACCACAAACTGGGCGGCTTAAAACAAAGGAAATTTATTTGCTCATAGTTCTGGAGGCCAGAAGCCTAAACTCAAAGTGTTGCCAGGGCCATGCTCCCTCTGATGCCTAGAGGGGAGGATCCTTCTTGCCTCTTTCAGTTCTGGTAGCTCCAGGTATCCCTCAGCTGGTAGATGTGTCCCTCCTATTTCTTCACAGGACATTCTCTGTGTGTCTGTCTTTACGTTGTCTTCCCTCCTTTTATAAGGACACCAGTCATATTGGATCAAGGGACTGCCCTACTCCAGTGTGACCTCATCTTAACTTGGTTACATTTGCCAAGACCTTATTTCCAAATAACATCATATTCACATGTACTGGGGGTTAGGAGTTTAATATATTTTCGGGGGAAACGATGCAACCCATAACACCATATCTGTATTTGTTTTGGGGCTGAAGTGTGATTGTTTCAGACCAATGCCTCAGAGAAATATGGAGGTGGGTGGAATCATTCTACTGAAAATTAGTATTTTAGCATTTAGAACATATGTTCTTTGTACCACTTCCTTCAAAAAATTTATTTACATATTCATGAGGATGTGGATATTCTCATATTGAAGGTCTCTACAAGATGATGTTATGTCAACTAGTGCAGTATGATATGACAACAGTAATACTGCAATGTGGTGAAAGTACCAACAACTGACAAAATCCACAGACTAGCTGCAACAGTCAGAGATTGATTGATGTTTGAAGCCCAGCTTTCAGCAGCAGCTGCTTCATTGAGAATTGGTTTTAGTGACTCAGCACTGCAGCTGCCATTTTTCTCTGAGCCAGACAAATCCTGACATGGACAATGTACTGTTATAGGAAGTATAAATTCAGCTAGTTATGAATGTCATTGGCCTAAACATGAGACTTCTAGTCATTCTCAGATTAAAGGAAGGAGATAATTTTGACACTTAATGTAAATATTAAATTTACTTATTTATTTATTTTAGAGACGGGTTTTTCTCTATCACCAGGCTGGAGAGAAGTGATGCGTGATCATAGCTCACTGTAACCTCAAACTCCTGGGCTCAAGCAATGCTTCTGCTTCATCCTCCCAAGTAGCTGGGACTACAGGTGTGTGCCACCATGTCCAGCTAATTTTTCTATTTTTTGTAGAGGTAAAGTCTCACTATGTTGCAGGATGGACTCAAGCAATCCTCCTACCTCAGCCTCCCAAGTGCTGGGATTACGGATATGAGCCACTGTTCCTGGTGTGACATTAAATATATTTTTGTCAATTTTTTTTGTTGTTGTTTATTTTTGTTTTGTTTATAGCCTTCTTGCCTTTAAATTTAATTTAATGTAATGCCTTAAAGTGAAGCATATCTAAATAATTCATCTTCTAAA
Organism: Homo sapiens; assembly: GCF_000001405.40. Taxonomy (NCBI): domain Eukaryota; kingdom Metazoa; phylum Chordata; class Mammalia; order Primates; family Hominidae; genus Homo; species Homo sapiens. Next base: position 122,664,828 of record NC_000006.12, read on the forward strand.
GGCAAATATATAATTGTAATGTTTAGAATTTAGAATGCCTAGTAAACGCCCCTTTAGGGAAAAATAAACCTTTGTAAAAAGAATATTAATACATTTTAAAATTCAAATTTGGACTTTAGTGACATCAACAGTGTTTACATTTAGCTATTAGTCTTCCTTGGACTAGAGTGAATGGCAGCCATGAAGTATACAGCCTGTACAGCCTAATACAGTGAACTTATATAAATGCTTCTCCAGTTCTAGAAAGATCATGAATTAGTAAAATTAAGCTTGTTTTTGTTCTTGTTGACTCATATACCTGGGTTAAAAAAAGTTTCAAAATGACAGCAATGACAAAAAAAATAAGGTTAGGCTGCATTGCTTAGTAAAGATAAGTAGGAAAACCAGAAGTGAACATTTCAACCTTTGTCTATTGTTGAGCAAAATACGAAACCTTAATTTGGCCAGTTTATTTTGAGAGATTGTTCTTGCAGATAATGCTTAAGAGTCACTCTTCAAAGGGCCCTTTAAAATGGATTTATTGCAAAATTTTATTTCAAATTATTTTCTTAGTCTAAAATTCAAAACTAACAATCTGCATCTTATTTAGATAAAAGCATCTAAATCTGCAGCATGTTAAATAGTTAGCAAAGAAATATTCTTCTGAATAAGATCCTTCTAATGCATTTCTCTGCTGTGTGTGCTTTTTCTAGGATATAGAAGAATGAAATAGCAATGACAATGTTAGGACAAAGTAGACTCGGGAGAGAGACCTTCAGCTCAAAAAATAATGAGATCAAAATCACACAGGAATTCACACAGTGTTAGTTTTGAAAGGAAACAGACGTTAGGGAAAGGAAAAAAGAAAGTTGGTTGTAAAGTCAGTTTTTAATGAAAAAAAAACTGAAAATGCATTTGAAATTTTCATAGATATTTTCTGGTCCTATGCATATAACTGGTTATTTAGAGGTAATTGTTTTTTGATGAAGCTGAGTTTATCCTCCACCCCCTAACCTGACACCTCAGTAAAGGAATGGCCTGTGACCTTGTGCTAGTCTTTTAACCTTCTAAAGCACAGTTTTTCCTTCGGTATAAAGAATAGTCATAATAGCAACTTCTGTTTATTAAGCACTTACTATGTGTTAGGAATTACACTAAGTACTTTTCGGACATTGTCTCATTTAATCTTCACAACATCCTGTGAAGTGGAAGTTTTATTTCCACAGTACAAATAAGGAAATGTGAGCCGAGTTTCCCCAAGTCATATAGCTATTATGTTCTAGAGCCAGTCTGTCTCCAAAGCTCGTGTGCATAGCATTATACTGTCTTTAATGTTAGTCTTTTCCAGCCTTAGCCTTCCATGACCAAACCTTTATGACCATCTGACTTCCTTTGCCCAGTGCACTCACCATCGACACTGCCTCTCAGCCAGATTCAAACAGGTTAACCTTGCAAAAGCCCTTAAATTTCCAACAGGTTACCTATGCAGAAGAAGAAACTGAAGTTCAAAGGGCTTATTGCTTTGTAAGGGCTCATTTAGCTAACCAAAATCATGTCCGTTTAATAGCAGTATCTTGACTGACTCAAAAGGGCACAAAAATATAATATCTACTTCAAAAACATTTTTTAAAACTGGGGATATGTGCTAGTTGTGTTTTGTTTTTGTTTTTGTTTTTGTTTTTGTTTTACTTCTCTTCCACCTCTAGGAGTCTATCAAGTCACTTTCTGGTGGATACGCAATATGACAACACATCTCTTAGTAGTCTTGAGCTGCCCTCATGGGCGCATTTCTGTGTGCTTTTTGAAACAGACCAGACTCCTTTGAGCAGGTTACTGATCTTATCAAGGTAGGGAGTGAACATCTGGTATTAATCTATAATGCTAAGAGGGTATCTTATAGAAACCATTTTGAAAAAATATGGGATATATCAAAAGTGACCTCTAAAGTATAATTCATCAACTTTACTTTCAGACAAAGTCTGAAAAGTATATTTCTTTTTGTTGCTCCTGTGAATCGACTTAGTCAACCACTACTACTAGTATTAAGTCCATATGGCGGACAGACCTGGATTCATGACTTGACCTTGCTTGGCACTGGTTCGATTATAACCTCAAGCTTCCTTAGGCATCCAATGGTACTAATATTTTTTTTTTTATGGCTTTTGAAAGGATTCAGTGAGAGAATGTTTAATGCATCTAGAAAGTCATGGGCACTCCACAATTGTTTGCTCCCTTTCCTCCCAGTGAGTTGGTATGTTCCTTTTTATATTTAACATAGTTTTCATTGGCCTTCTTCTGTGAGCACAAATGTTTATAGATGCCAGATGGAAATAATGCGTCTATGTATGTAACAATACTGGGGTTAGACTTAACTTTTTTCAATTTATTTTATAATTAACATCAAAATTAACTGTGATGCCTAACAATTTCCTCTTTAACCTCAGATATACCTATTAAAATGTTGTAAGTCGGCCAGGCGCCGTGGCTCACGCCTGTAATCCCAGCACTTTGGGAGGCCGAGGAGATCGAGACCATCCTGGCTAACACAGTGAAACCCCGTCTCTACCAAAAATACAAAAAATTAGCTGGGCGTGGTGGCGGGCGCCTGTAGTCCCAGCTACTCAGGAGGCTGAGGCAGGAGGATGGCATGAACCCGGGAGGCGGAGCTTGCAGTGAGCCGAGATGACGCCACTGCACTCCAGCCTGGGGGACAAAGCAAGACTGTCTCAAAAAAAATAAAAATGAAAATAAAAATAAAAGTTGTAAGTGAGATGAAAGATAATGTAAAGCTTATGAACTTTTTTGTTGGTGTTTGAGGATTATAATATAGGTAAGAAAGTAATATAAGCTAAGAAGTTTAATAGTTATGGAAAAAAATTAAAAGTTACTTCTTTTATTGAGGCTTTGCAAGCAAACATTAAGAAGCACTGAATAGTTTACAAAAAAAATGTGAATCTGCTGTTTTGGTGCTGTGGTTTTTATGTGGCACATGGTAAAAAAGTAAAGAGAAGCTCTTTCCAGATTGATCTGAGTGGCTTTCAGGTTATATTTAAATGCCAGGAATTCTAGAACCACACAGGCCACACCTGAAAAGATATACAGACAGACAGGAGTGAAGCAATGGCAATTTTGTGTGTCGAATGCTGTGTCATGAAATGCAACCCCCACCCTCTACCCTGCTCCCACTTAACATATACACACTCTTCTCTTACTCCAACTCAAAATAAGAAAAGAAGGTTTCTTTCCCCTCAAGCTAATTTCTTGGTGTACAGCAATCTTTGTTCAGCTATTCTGCAACCATATGTAAAGGAAAGGTCATTTTAGAGCAGGTTTTCACACTCTGATCTACCTGGAGAAGTGAAAAGTATTGTCTGGTCATTAAGTAAAAAAATGACAGGGTTTAGAATCCCAAAATGTGTACCAGTATTAAGAGTTTAAAAGAATACTGTATATAGGATTCAAGGATAACACTAAAAACAACAGTGAAACTGTCTTCCAAACAATTGGAAAGACCGTGGATAATGCAGTCACTATGTGAAGAGAAAAAGGAGATTCCTAACCGATTTCTCTTCAAAGGAAGAGAGAGGGATATCAATTTCTCATACTAAGTGAATTAGTATGATCGACTTTTATGAAAATGTTCTGGTAAAGAAAAATGGAGTCTTTCCTGATGTCCCTTAAGCAGCTATACTACACATTCTGCAGACTAAAACTAGAGAGAAAACAATCTTCAGAGAAAAAGCTAAAATGGTGTGTTTTGTCAATATGAAGTGGACAGTGGAATACAAAACAGAAATCTTCGGTCTGACTTCTCCCTAAAAAATGTCCTCCTGGTTGGATCAACCAAGCCAGGTGGGGAAGAAGAACCGTTGGAGGGCCTAGTATAACATTGCCTGAATGTTCTGGAATGCTGATGACCTTCCAGGAATATTAGCACATCTCACAAGTGATACAGACTCCCAAACTCTTTCTTCTTATATATAACAGTTGGCTTCTATGTTGCCAACTTTATTAACTTCAAAGCTTAATGTGAAATTTAAATCACCATATCTTCCAATGAAACAATAAAAATTGAGGAGGAGGATTTGTTTCAATTTGCCATTTCTACTTACAGACATCAGCCCCTGGCTGGGTGCGTTGGCTCACTCCTGTTATCCCAAAACTTTAGGAGACTAAGGTGGGAGGATTGCTTAAGGCCAAGAGTTTGAGACCAGCCTGGAAAATATATTGAGACCCCATTCCTATTAAAAAAACAAAACAAAACAAAAACAATCAGCCTCCTAGAAAGAATATGTGAGTAGAAAGGCACTTATGCTTCATTTTCCCTTCATTCTTGTCACCTCTTTTCTTCCTCTATTGTGAGAATTTAAAAAGGACAGAATGTCATAGGTATCTGTTGGGTGTTTTTTTTTCTCTTGGAATTCTGGAAATTTAAACTAAAGAAATTATTGAGATCTGGCTTGTTCAGAACTGTAATTAATGCCTTTCTATTTCAAGAAATGATTGCTTCAGTTTTTTTTGGGAGCTTTAAATGGATTTAAGACATTTAGCCCACATTAGATTCCCTTTAAATTTGTTTGTCAGCTTGAATCAAGGTTAATTCTATTATTCCATGGTTTTAATCATTAACCCTTTCCTATGTAGGATAATAACATTCTTTTTTTTTTAACCTTTGCTGATTACTGCTGCTCTCTTCTGCCTTTTGTGAGAATACCCCATCATTCAGCTTTTGGCATTCTCTGATCTTAGTCTTAGATTCTATTAATTTTCACATTTTCATCTGTATATACTATACAAAATTGCTGACATTTCTATTTTCAAATTTTTCCTTTTGTCTGAGTTCCAGGCCCATACTTTCAGCTCCCGCCTTGGCTGTTTTCCACCATCTGAACTCCACCCATCTCCCTCTCACCTGTTATTTTGTTGGTGGTTCCAGTATTGTCCTAGTTCCCTGGGCATAAAACCTTGAAATTGTTTGAGTTCATCATTCTCCCTCATTCGGTGTAGCCTATCACCACATTCCATGGATTTTTCCATTTTGTAAATTCTTTTTATGTCCATATATATTAGTTTCCGACATCAGTTTGGCAGTTATTGCAAAATCCAAAAATGACAGTGGATGAAACGCAATGTAAGTTTAGTTCTATCTTATGTGCAATCCAGGCAGGTGCTATAGGGCTGGTATAGTGGCTTAACCAGGTTAGGGATGCAGGCCCCTTCTATCTAGTTGCTTTGTCATCTCCAAGGTATTGTGTTTGTCCACCTCATGAAGCATGACTCGCAGCAACAGATGCAGTCCAGTTTTCAGAAAGGGCAAAAGAGGAATGAGAGACCACATTCCCTTCTCTTTCAGTATGTAACCTGGAAGTGGAGTATATCACTTCTGCACCTAGCCATATTTAATGAAGAAATCCAGTTGCATGACCTAGCAGCATGGAAAGCTTGGTAATACTATCTGTGGCTGTGTACCCAGCTAAACTTTCTATTTCTATAGAAAGGGGGAGAGGAGCAAATAGCAGCCAGCCAGCAGTATTCCCTACACTCGTCTTCCTCCAGTTTTATAGTCTGCACCCTTTGGTGGGCCCTTATTGCCCATTGCCAAGGCTATTTCTAAAAACTTTTGCTGGATTTGCTATTTGCTTACTACCAATCCACCCATCACCCATTCTTTCTTATAAGGAATCACATGTTTTTGTTGTTGTTGTTGTTGTTGTTGTTGTTAAACCTCATCAGACCTTTGCTCAGTGGCCCACAGCATGAAGTCTCTGTTTCAATATTCTTTATAATCTGGTCCTAGTATACCTGTTGCCAGCCATCTTTCAACTTTTATTATTTCATTAATTTATTCATTTAGTATATGTATGTTGAGTACTTACTATGTGTCAGGCAGAGTCATTCATTCTCCTAAGCTAGTTCATTTGAGTTGGTGGACAGAAAACATCCTCATGAATGCACATCATTTTCAATGTCACCATGATTCATCTCTGTGATGATTGTGTTCACCATTGTAGTGCTTGAGAGGTTAAATGCATCCTCTTAAGAGTAGACTTTTAAAACTAGGTCTTACAGTTGAAGTGGTTAACTTGCTTCACATAGTCAGATGATGTTCAGTGGATACATTTTAACTTTCAGGGTTTTATGTATTTTAGAACTATGCCTTGCTTTTAAAAACAAAACAAAAATTTAAAAGAATACTTATTGAAGAGGCCAGGCGCGGTGGCTCACGCCTGTAATCCCAGCACTTTGGGAGGCCGAGGTGGGCGGATCACGAGGTCAGGAGATAGAGACCATCCTGGCCAACATGGTGAAACCCTGTCTCTACTAAAAATACAAAAATTAGCTGGGTGTGGTGGTGGGCACCTGTAATCCCAGCTACTTGGGAGGCTGAGGCAGGAGAATGGCTTGAACCCAGGAGGCGGAGGTTGCAGTGAGCCAAAATTGCGCCACTGCACTCCAGCCTGGTGACAGAGAAAGACTCTGTCTCAAAAAAAAAAAAAAATACTTATTGAAGTATCTATAACTAGATTTAGTAGCTCATTGACATTGTAAAATAGTTCAAATGAAAGCATAGGTTAGGTCTTATCTCGTGTTACAGTTGTCTAGTTGCTTATTTGTTCCCAAGCAACCTCACCTGATCCCCAGTCTTACAGACTGAAGTGTAAAAGCCTTTACCGGAACATGCCTTTGACTGAACTTTGTCCTCCAAACTACATTTCCTTCTCCTTCTACAGTCCTTGGTGTTTTGAGGCAGAAATTTGCATAATGTAACTAACCTGACATGATTTTTATGTTTACAATTCATTTTTCAGAGAAGTCACTGAACCAGGTGAGATACATGAGGCTGACTTATACAAGTTCAGGGTTAAATCTGTATTTAAAACTTTGATATTTTGTTCATCATAGATCTTTGCATAAATTTCTATTTTTACAGTGTATGGCATTTACATGTTATTTATCTTGATTTCTGAGCTTTTGGGCACCCCCTGAAATTTTGTGCTTCAGACCTGATAGATTCTTCTCCTTTATGCATGTTATTTGCATGTTAACATGGCTGGCTGCTTGAGTAATTAAAACTCAAGTTAGAAAATATATATTTGGAAGAAAAAATAAGTATTTATTGTTTTACCAAACCCTAGTACCAAAAATTACCTTAATTCCTGTTAGTTAATGGTTTAAGTATTTATATTTACAACTGAGGTCAGCTTGGGACATGCAGAGAAATCAGTTCCTGCAAGCAAATACTGATTGTCCATCAAAAAGGAGGATGGACAAGCACCAAGATGAATATTTTTAGCTACATTATTATATCTTTCTTGAAAAGGCTGCTCTTGTTCCATCTCCAGCCTGGTAGCCTCATCTCTAAAGTGGCAGTGTAGACATGTAGTTTTCCCTGAGAAGGAGGAGAAGAGTAGGGAAGGGAGTGAGTAGAGCATCAGACCTTGAAGCCCGAGGTACCCAGAGCAGTTCTGCTTGCATCCATCTTGAGTGTAGGCCTTCTGCTAAGGGGTTCATTTAAAAAGAAAATATTCCTCATCTAAAAACAATAGTTTGAAAATGATTGAACTAAATGACATTCAACATCTCTGCTAATTCTGAATGTGCATGTGTTTCTACTGTGATAAATTTCTGCTGATTCACCCATACTTTGATCTGTTCCCTTTGTAAAGGGTATCAATACACCTTGATGAGTCCACTGGCTTTTTGGCTGTTGATATGTCTTAGCTTCCATGTATATCACCAAGTTTTCTCTTGATTTAGTTGTAGTTTCAGGAGAGAGAATGGAGAAAGAATCAGACCTCGTGTGGTAGAAACATGCAAATTCTGCATCGTACACTGAGGATCATGAAAAAATATTAGAACATCTAATTATATCTATTTATATTTTATTTTTAATGTCTGTTAATGTATTTAACATATATAATAATAATATAGCAAATAAGTTATATTAGACTATTAGGATAGTAATACTTATAATTTATAGTATAAATATTCATATATAGGAGATATGTACACACAAAAATTATTTTTATATTTGTTAGGGGCGTGCTACTGTTCTTGAAATCTTCCCAAGAATTACTGCACTTTCATTAGTAAAATATTTGATAAGTGATATTTTAAAGGATGAGTAGAGACTCTCACAGTCTCAACCTTTAGTATTTTTGTGTTAAGCATATCTTCATTAAATCTGAATTTTTATGTACATTAGTAATAAAAAACATGGATGAAATATTTTCAAAGTCCACCACATAGGTATATTTGTTTGTAAAATAAACTGGAAAGAAGTGGAGAGGGAAAAACATAACTATTTCACTCATTTTTTTTTATTTTGGTTGTGTTGCAATAGACAAGGATAGGTGGATTTCTGTAAAAAAAATTAATCATGGAAAGGTTATAAAATTATAGGGATATTTTAAACATGCATTTTTAAAATGCAAATAGCAATGTTTACTTTTATCTAACAGACTTTAAACTAGATTCTTATTTATAGTTTCTACTAGATCTTTGCCAAGAGCTGCATCCAAATGGTTGAAAATATTAAGACTACAAAATTTTGTTTTCTTAATCATGTCTTTTAGGTGTGTATATTTACATTACATTATATAAGTTTTGAAGTTTACAAATTTTTATCTTTTTGCTACTTACTGTATCATCATTTCTTCATTTATTTCTCACTTCCTCTTCTCAGTTCCTTTTATTTGGTCTGGACATATAGGACTCATTGAAGGAAAAAGTCCCAGACAAAGAGTGAGAGGAAGAGCAAAGATCATTTGAGAAACTGAGTATGGGAACAAGGTTAAAATGATGTCTGCTTTTAATTTTAAAATTCTTCCAAGGTGGTAAAATACGCATTCAGGCAGCTCCAAGTCTGAAAAACACCTAATGCACCTTGACATTCAACAGGTATTTATTGCACTCCTCCTACCATCTGTGAAACACTGTGCTGGGAACAAGACAAATGAGTCACAGTCCATGCCCTCAAAAGGCTTAAAAAAATGTGTTTGCAGCAGAAAAGCAGACACTAAACTGAAATGTGTAATGCCTGTGATAAGCACAAAGACAGATCTATACCAGAGTGTTTTAGAGCACATAGGAAGGAACCTGCCTAGACTAAGGAAGACATAGAAGGCTCTGGAAAGGGTTGCCCAAGTTGACCCAGAAGAGATGAAGAAGATATACTAGCAAGGAGATGGGGAAGAGATGGAGGGCAAAGAAACTCAGCCACAGGGGTGACAGAAATAAAGCACAGGATTCTACTGGTGGAGTGTGACTGCAGAGTTTTAGGATTGGTGGAGGTTGGGCATGGGTGAAAAGGAAGGAAAAGTGGAGTGGGGCTAGTTCTTGGAGGGCACCATGTACCACGTGAAGGGATTTGGGCTTGATATTGTAGGTGATAGGCAAACTAATAAGGGTTAATTGTAGAATGATCATGACTATATTTACTTTGAAATAATTCTACCTGACACCTGTGTAAAGAATGGATTTGCAGGAAGCAAGAATGCATACAAGAAAATCATTAGGACGTTGTTGCCACAGTCCAGGAAGAGTGAATGGTAGGTTGAACTAAGGCAGTGAGAGTGTGGTGAAGGGAATTTGCAAAGTGCCTTATTGCTATGAGTGGCTAATGTGCATACCGACGGTTCATACTCCCATTATTTTTCACCCTTCTTATGCCAGATGCTAAGTCCTGAAATATAAGGCCCATTCTGTGAATAGGAATAATATATAGGTAGTTTACTTTGATTTCCAAGAGCAAGATGGTTCGATTCCTTTGACATGATCCTTATGTGGGTACTGGTAATATTGGTACAATGCCTTAGAATACTTATGGAGGGTGCAGAAGATTCTCTACAATTATATTCTCAAAGTCTGGTGTGTTTCTACAAACTTCCAAAGGTGGTATCATGCCAAATATTGTCCTACAATCATTTTTATGTGGCTACAAATATTTCCTGTAATGATCAGTTGTTTTTACACGATGATTTCTCAACCTGGCAATGATCCTTAACAGCATCAATGCAGCAATCATCCACTGGATTTTGTAGCTGATAATCTTGGGAACTAATAACTGTTATTTGAAATAAGATCCTTTTGACTTTTAATAGAAAATTTTATGTTTGAATTAGAGGTTCGGCTTTTCCCGAGAAAGTCAGGCAAGTCATGATGTTTACCAGTTTTAGCTAAATATTTTAAAAAGCCAAAAGTAATTAAAATTTGATTAACTGGATTGCCACCTTTTCTGGTTCTTCATAGTTTTTTTTTTTAATTTGCAGGAAAGAAAGTTTATCAGAATTTTTTAAACCTGTCTCAGAAATAACAACATATTTTAATCAGAGATTTGTAAGTATCCTTTTCTTCTTTATTTAGGAAATTATATGTTGATTTTGTGAAAGAAATGGTTCCTACCATAAAACACTTGACAGGAAATGGATATTTAGTCTGAAGTGGCATGCAAAATTTGAATGAGAGTAATACATATGCAAAAATCTACCACTCCTCAAACAACAAAATAAATAAACCAAAGCCTCAATTAGAAAACCTTCACCAAGTCTATCTATAGCTCATAAATATTTGGTTTATTCTTTGGACATTTCTCTTTGATGATGTCTTTTTCATTATCGTTTTTCCTTTTGTGAAGATACATGTGTGTCTACATATTTTAGAGAGTTTGTCACATCAATGAGAAGGAAGAGAAAAAGAGGTCCACAGGAAAGGGAAGAAATAGTATTCTGTTAAAAGTTAATATGGCTTTTCTATGACCACTTTTGGTGAATTTTTTTTAAAAATCAAAACTAGGTCTCATAATACTAAGGTCCATGCAGTTTCATCATAGTTCTGAAAGGCCTATTATTGTCCTATACCCAAAACTGATCAACTCACGAATGAGGAATCTAGGAGACTTTTTCTATTTTAATTTACCAGAGTTCAAGACAAGCACACATTTTCACAAACAAATATTTTATTAGATAAATTTAGAAGAAACTGTAAGTGAAAAAAAATTATGTTTTTTTCCCTGAAAAAAAATCATGTCTAATGAAGTTTTATTATAGCACTAAAGCAAATAATCAGCATATTGAATTTAAGAACACAGAGTTGATGGTGTAAAGCAGCAGTCCCTGACCATTTTTGGCACCAGGGACTGGTTTCATGGAAGACAATTTTTCCACAGACTTGGGGTTGGAGGGGATAAGGGACGGTTTTGGGATGATTCAATCACATTACATTTATTGCACATGTTATTTATATTATTATTACATTGTAATATATAATGAAATAATTATACAATTCATCACAATGTAGAATCAATGGGAGCGCTGAGCTTGTTTTCCTGCAACTAGATGGTCCTATCTGGGGTGATGGGAAACAGTGACAGATCATCAGGCATTAGATTCTCATAAGGAGCATACAACCTAGATCCCTCACATACACAGTTCACAGTAGGGCTTATGCTCCTATGGGAATCTAATGCTGCCACTGATCTGACAGGAGGCAGAGCTCAAGTGGTAATGTGAGTGATGTGGAGTGGCTGTAAATACAGATGAAGCTTTGCTTGCTCACCTGTTGCTCACCTCCCGCTGTGTGGCCCAGTTCCTAACAGGCCATGGATTGGTACCCAGCCCATGGCCCAAGTGTAAAGAAGATCAGTAAAGCAAAGTCATGCAACTAAAGTCTGGAGCTGAGTGGGCTCTTCAATAGCTGTGTGAGACCTTGGACAGCATAATTCTGGGGTTCTCAACTATAAATATTTGTGTTTGAGGGTTGACTAAAATGATGACTACCCTAGATCATTTTATGATTCCAGGATATCACTGAAACATTGCTGCTTAGTAGTTAACAGTCACTTTATCTTGGTTAACTATTATTATTATATGACATTAACATTTGTGTAGTAGCTAATAAAACTGACCAACAGGAACTGAGATATATTTCTATCTTGCTTCATCAGATAAGACCTCAGCAATTGTTTAATGAAAAGGTGCATTAAATGTTTAATTACACATTTTGCGGCAATATAGGCTGTTTCATAGCTTTGTGGCATTAGTTTTCAGTTTCATTGCATACATTTATTAATCTTGTGATTCCAGGTAAGTTGCCTGAACTTCCTAACACTTCAGTTTGTAAATATTAACAATGACATTAACCTATACTGTACCCGTGATTTCCTGTCTTTACTACATTGTTTTATAGATCTTGAGGTTTTGTCCTTGTAAAGATTTCATTTGTAAGCATATATATGCTATGTTATGGATGATATTGGTATTTGTAAAGTCACTGGAAGAATTGCTATAATGCAGATTCTTGGCCACACTTCCAACTATTAACAAGTATCTTAGGTAACTCTTATGAAAGTAATTCATAAGCTAGTCTTTGAGAAATACAAATTTTCCTTTAAAAATGATCCCCAAATCAAAATCGAAGGGGAGCTTTGTAAAAAATACACATTTCTAGGGCTCTATCTTGGAGCTCCTGATTTAGCAGCAGGGCTGAAGCAAGGCCTTGGAACTTGTTTTTTTTGTTTATTTGTTTTTTGTTTTTTTTAAAACTGCCTCATTGATTATAATACTTTGAAAATTCCTGCTTTACAGCCTCACTGCATCGCTAACTTTTGGTTGAAGAAAGTTTTGGCTGTGCTGCTTACCATATATGGATGAGGGGTTGTAGTCAGACTTGTGTGCTTCTGCTAGTGCAGATCAAGTAAAGAATGAAAATGATGAGTTTGGATTGTCTGCAGTGCATACATTGAGATTGACTGTCTTCTCACCCTTGGCTATGTAGCTGCTTTAAGTAAATCCATATGTCAAGCCCATAAATTTCAGATTTCCTGAACCAGAGAAGACTGTTGGAGATGATCTAGTTCAAACCCCTTATTTTGCAGAGGAGGGAATTAAACTCAGAGATTTGCCCCAAGGCCCCCGGAGAAGACCAGGACTAACAGTTGGATTCTTGCCCCAAGCTTAGTTTCATTTCTGTCACAATTGAATGACTCTAATTCTGCCATTTTAGGAACCTATGCAACTTGTGAAACCAGCTTTCTTTTCTTCCTTCCTTCCTTCCTTCCTTCCTTCCTTCCTTCCTTCCTTCCTTCCTTTCTTTCTTTCTTTCCTCTTTCTTTTTTTGTTTGAAATGGAGTCTCGCTCTGTCGCCCAGGCTGGAGTGCAGTGGCGAGATCTCGGCTCACTGCAAGCTCTGCCTCCTGGGTTCATGCCATTCTCCTGCCTCTGCCTCCCTAGTAGCTGGGACTACAGGCACCCACCACCATGCCCGGCTAATTTTTTGTAGAGACGGGGTTTCACCGTGTTAGCCAGGGTGGTCTCGATCTACTGACCTCATAATCTGCTCACCTCGGCCTCCCAAAGTGCTGGGATTACAGGCATGAGCAAAACCAGCTTTTCTAGTGCTGACTTCAGGCTTCCAGAGCAGGCATAGAAAGTGCTCTTAACTGTCCAGCTCTATGAAAGTGAGAGCATCTTCCTTCCCAATTCCAGTTCTCTGTCCTGAATGAAAAGAGGCAGGAGGGCCACTGAGGGATTGCTCATACTCACCTGGACAGGACTTCTGTTCCTATAGTTGCACCATTTTCTCTATTGCCTTCTTGGTCTTTATGTTAGCCAGAGCCAGGCCTTTTCTTAAATTCTGTATCTCCAGAAGGCAGAGCCATCATCTTAGTTTGTTTCTTTTTTTTAATAGTTGCATCTTTCTGTTTTGTTTTGTTTTGTTTTTTTGTGGCACATCTTTACTTGCCCTAATTTGGACATTTTTCAGCTCTGGAGTGCAATTAAGTTCAACAAATACTCAGTGCTTCTCTGTCCGAAGAGCAGTCCTGGGTACCAGAGATGTAAAATGAATCCAGTATAGTCCTAGTTTCAAAAGCATTCACAACATCATGAGAAATGAGATAAGTATGAAAATTGTTGCAGGAATGTTTGCAAGTGCCACAGGAGCACAGAAGCCATGACTTCCACTTACTAGGAGAGTCAAAGAAGTCTTTGGAGAGGAGGTGACATTGGTCTGTTTTAGGTGCAAAACCATAACCCACAATATAAATGTACAACATTTTGAAACCACATGAAAATAGTGTATCTAAGTCTTAATAAAGAGAGCAAATGCAATGCAGATAAATAAGGCTGGTGTCAGCATGATGGAGGAAGAGGGACACTGCAACACGTGGCGGGAGGCCTGTGTCTTCTCACACCACTGCCTCCAACTTGTGTGACTCTCAGCAATCCAGTCAGACTTCTGTGGCTACAGGCAATCCTACATACTTGGGATACCATCAAGTGAAAAAAAAGTGCATCCCAAACAAGGTGTTATGTGTGCCAAAACTTCAGTTTTGAGTAGTTGTTGCCCAAGTGAAGAGAAGCCTTGGAGGAAGAGCACTTCAGCCAGGAGGAAGCACAAACGTGCAGTGACCTGTGTTTGGAGGTGAAAGGGAGTATGTCTGAGAGTTATAAGTCCTGAATGGAGGGTAGTTTATTTCAACTGCTGGACTGGAGGGGAGCAGAGGAGCAGCAAGAGAGAAGCCTGGGAAGTAAGCAGAGTGTATTTTGTGAAGTGTGTTAAAGGTCATGTTAAGAAATTGGGTGAGCTTTTCCTGATGTAAGGGGATGGCTGAAGAGCTGAGATGGTAAGATTTGCTGGGCTGTTGTCAAGAATGGATGAGAGGGCAAAAACCGAGGCAGGAAACTCAGTGAAGAGGACCATCTAAGCTAGAGAGGCTGGTGATCTTGGGTAGTGAAAGAGGATGAGAAAAGCAGTCCATCCACAGATTTAAAACCTATTTAGAGACTAGAGTTTATATGACTTGATCATGGAGGGTGAGGGAAAAGGATGCCTCCTGGGTTTCTGGGGTGGATGTACAGTGGTGTTCACTTGCAGGAAAATCCAGGAGGAGGAACAGGTTTCAAAAGGAAGGTGATATTTCTAAGCCACGGTGATGAGATCAGCTGATTTGTCCTGGGGCTCTTCAATATTAACTGGCCTTCCACATGCTGAGAGAATCACGTACATTGTCACACTTCATCATCTCAGTTGTGAGAGGTATTCTTTTGTGAACTCCAAAGAAGTGGAAGCTGAGGCTTCGAGAGCTTAAGTGCCTTGTATAAGGTCCCTTAGATAATAGGTAGAGGAGCCAAAAGTTCAGAACAGATTCTAAACCAAACCACATGTACCTTCTATTATAGCACTCTGCTTTCTTTTTTCCTTTGACACATATAATTCTGTAAAAATAGGTCAATTGTAGAACACAAATAACTTGGGACTTTATGGATTGTTAAATAGAACACATAAACTCTACTTTCTATAGAAGGTTTGCTGAAAAATCAATTCACAAAGGCTGATTAATTGGAGAAAAGGCATACAAATCTATTTAACATGAATACATAGGAGCCTTCAGAATGAAGACCCCAAAATACAGGGGCAATTTTCCATTTTTACGCTTAGGTTCAAAAAAGTATGGATTGCCATATAGAAATATGATTAGACAAAATTGATATTATCTCATGCTAATAGTCTGACTGGGGAAACCCAGCAAGGTCTGTCGGTCTAGATTCTTCTGGGCTTCTCTAAGCATGGATTCTTTCCTTCTGGATTTGGGGGAGGACCCTCTCTGAAATGGAGGGGTTCTTCAGACCTATGGTTGAATGAGTTAGATAATTTCTTTATGGCCAGTTTTTAGACAGAAAGGGAGAGGGAAGATTAGAGTCATATTTTTAGGTTTCATGGTGGGCTTTGGGAAAAGAGGGATTCTGATTTCTGCGACCTGCCTTGGGGAAGAGGGATTCTAGTTTTTATGACAAGCCTCAGGGGAGAATGGGACTGCCAGACAGGAAGGCAGGCCAAGATCAAAGAAAAACTTTTGCTTCTGAGGCTGCTTCTGAAGTTTTCACTTTGAGGTATTGCTTACTGAGCTCCAACATGTCTGAGTTACCACCATCCCTCAGTTGAAATACTGCAATTGCCTCCTAACTCATCTCTTGAACCAACTTTTCCTCTTTTCCAATCTATTCCGTTTGCTGTAGCCAAAACGAACTTTTTAAAATTCAGTTTTGATTGTCATACTATTACTTAAAATCCTTCAATGACCTCCTGTTACTATTAGGATAGAATAAATTCTTAATATGTCTAAATGTTGTGGCCCCTACTAACTGACCGACTTCATCTTGTGTCTATCTTTCCCTTCTTCCCTTTGCTGTGGCCACACTGACCTTCCTTCAGTTCCTAAAATGTGCTCGTCTCTCCTGCATGAAATACTCTTTTCCTACCTCAATACCAGTTAACTACATTTCTTCCTTTATATCTCAGTTCATACTATCAATGAGCCAGGTCCTGACACATTCACATAAAACCTTGTAATTTTTTTTTTATCTAAGACTTACCACATTTTGGAATTATATATGGATTTGTGTTAATAGTTTTTATAATGTTTTTTCTCATCCATTGGAGTTCTTTAAAACAATTATAAAACTGTTTGGGCAGGCATATAATTGGCACTCAACAGATATTTTTCAAATGAATTAATACATTCATAAGTGAATAAAAATGACTTTGGATTAGCTAATTTATATTTGATCATTTGGTAAATTACTTTTTAGAATTCAGAAAAAGGACATTTCTTTTACACCTATAAAATAAACTGAGTTTTGCTCATATACAATATTGTTTTATTATACTCCAATGATATAACATTTCCCCTGGTATTATATTGTAATTGCATTTCTCCTTCTGAAGTCAATTTTCTTTTGCTCAATAAATGAAGATGATTCAAACAGCAGAGGGGTAATTACCTAATTGACATTTTTTGGATTAACCAATTAAGAAAAAACAAAACTTGGAAATGGCAACTATAAAGATCAATATGTCACCATTCAGTGTACCAAGGAAAGAGAAAAATATGTCATAATTTACTTTAAATGTCACAGCTTTATTGCACTTGCTAATTAAATGATGCTTTTCCATCCCAGCCACATTGAAAATGATTTAGAATTTTAGGAGTGATATTTAATTGTTCCCTCAAGAATGATTTTCTACCATGTGACTGTGCACCATGTAACTAATGAGGCTTGGATATGGCTTAAGAAAGCATGCGCTAATGTGTCAGCCTACAGCCCTCAAGTGGTGATGTGCTATCAGTGCTCAATATTCGTTCCAGAACTCAGGACTGAACAACTGATTGAACTGTGGGATGGAGTCTAGCGTGAGAAATTTCTACATCCTATTTTCCAGTTATACTGCTGTGGCCCTCTGGGATTGTCTACTGCATGTAGACAATCACAGTTATCTAGCCTTTCAATATCTATGAACCACCTCAGAGAAATAGATTAGATAAACACTAACTTTTTTTTTTTTAGCTCGAATAGTCTATAATTCTAAATGGAAGAAGTGGGGAGTTACAGATAGGTGGAGGAAGGCTTATGAGTTAGAGAGTAAAATTATACTTGTTACAAGACACAGTTTTGTCAGGCGGCTGGCCAGTAGGGCCATGATTTATGATACAATTGAATGTTTGCCAACATGGGGGTCCTGGTCTCCTAGGATTCTATAGAATTATTAGAGGAGTCCACAAAGCCATGTGTCTGTGTCTAAATACTGTCACATTAATGCTACCATTATCTAAATGTACATAGATTATTTTATAAAAAATAATTTATTTAAAGTATTTAATTCACAAAAATGCTTTTTTGTTACATATATTCTGAATCAATGGATTATCTAAAAACTGTAGGTTTTTTCAACTTGAGGGGTTATTTTGGCATAAAACCTCAATAAATATAGTTGTAACTTTTATACCTCAGGATGTGCCATATTTTTTAGTATTACCCATACAGAGTGTTTCTGACAACCCTCAGATTCTATTAATCTATCCTGGGTGCTGCCCATCACCTCTCGTCTGCTGCTCTGGTCTCTCTGCTCTCTTCCAAAGAGAGACTTCTGCTGTCTTCCAAAGCTTCTTGAGCCTGCTACAGTTCTCTCTGGTCCACGTCCTCCTGGGATTGTTCTCAGCAATTTTACTTTACTGTCCAAAGCAAAGACATCACTAGGATGATTATGGTGCATAGTAAACTTTACCAAGCCCTGAGGATAACATGAGAGAATTATAGTGCAGAAATGGGAAACCTGGAATTGGTTATTCAACATCATTACTAGAGTTCATTGGTTGGGCCCATTCACAAGGGTCCCCGGTTGATTGGCCCTTTCCTTACTTTGTAACCTGTTTCAGGTGTCTGCTCATCTCCCACAGGCAAGGTTGATTTAATTATGTGCTGCCTCCCTGGAATCGAGTCAATAATTCTCTCTGCACATAAATCAGTACACATTATGATTATTAAAATTTGGCAGTTATGGAATTCAGAGCCTGTATTGGGCTGTTCTTACATTGCTATAAATACCTGAGAATGGATAATTTATTAAAAAGATTTAATTGGCTCATGGTTCTACAGACTGTACAGGAAGCATGGTGCTGGCATCTACTTGGCTTCTAAAGAGGCCTCAGGAATCTTCCAATCATGGTAGAAGGCAAAGGGGGAACAGTCATGTCACATGGCAAAAGGAGGAGCAAGTGAGAGAGTTGGAGGGGTAGGTGCCACACTCCTAAATTACCAGATCTTGAGGGAATTCACTATTAGGAAGAGAGTACCAAGCCATAAGGAATTCACCCCCCATGATCCAAACACCTTCCACCAGGCCCTGCTTCTAGCATTGAGGATTACAATTCAGCAGAGATTTGGGTGGGGACAAATATCCAAATTACATCAGACGTCAATGAGTACAACTTTGAAATCACATCAATAAGGAACTTTTATCATTCAGAATATTATTGTTCCAAAGTGGAGTTCTCATTTAACCAAGTCTCCTCTACCCCAACAATCTACTCCCAAGCAAGATGGCTTTACCAATGTAGTAAATCAGTTTTTTCGTAAAGCCTTAAAAGAACACAGACTGACTTCTAAGCAAGACTCAAGGGCAAGAAATGTACATGTCTTTCCCTAATAGACCTTACAATCAGAAACTTTCCCCTAAACTAACAATAAGGCTATGATATGATCCAGCCATCACACTTCTGGATATTTATTCCAAAGAATTTAAATCAGGATATTAAAGAGATATTAGCACTCCCATGTTCATTACAGCACTATTCACAGCAGTCAAAATGTGAAAACACTTAATTGTTCACCAATAGGTGATTGGAAAAAGAAAATGTGGTATATTTATACCTTCAAAAAGAAGACAATTCTATTAAGTATGACAACGTGGATAAACTTTGAGGTGAAATAAGCCAGTCACAGAAAGACAAATGCTGCATGAGCTCACTTACATGAAGCACTTTAAATAATCAGATTTGTAGAAGCCAAGAGTGGAATGATGGTGGTTGCCAGGAGATTGCAGAACAAGGAAATGGGGAGTTACTAATCAATAGGCATAAAGTTTCAGTAAACCAAAATGAGTAAGCTCTACAGATCTGCTGTACAACATTGTACCTTAGTCAACAATACAGTATTCTACACTTAAAAATTTGTTAAGCACCTAGATCTCATGTTAAGTGTTATTTTTATCACAATAAAATAAAAATTGGGAGGAAAAAAACACTTTCCCCTAAGCACAATAAAGACCTAGCCCTCAATCTACCTTTCTCTTTCACATCTACCTTTCTCTTTCACATCTCCCCCAAACAGAGGCTGGGCCTTTTACCTTTACAAATCACACCACCATGTCCACTAGTAATCTGATGTTAGAAACTGATGTTTATTCTTGAAAAAAATTATAGAAACCACCATTATCTTATAAGTTTGCCCTAGAAGTCCAGTGACATGAGCTTTAGACTGGATTTTCAAATTAATCAGATGATTAGTCATACCAGCAATCTGGTCTCCTATATACATCTTTGAAAATAGACCGGCTTTTTTGTTTTTAGTTTTGTTTTGTTTATTAATGAGCTGATGATTAAAATTTCTTCTAGCTCCAAAATTCTCAGATATCTACAAATTACACATTGATTGTCACTTGTTTTGTTTTCCTCTTGACTGCCTTTAATAGCATTGATTAATTTGGCTTTGCATCAATTCTCTTAAGTTGTAAAATAAGAAAAATAAACTGGATAAGGTATGCTTTGGTCAAGGTCAGATACACATGTGAGTCTCTTATGTAAAATGTACATTGCAATCTTAAAAATTAGTCTATTGAAACATTTCTATAAATTTTTTAAATTGAGAAAACACATTTATTAATTTTCTTCCAGCTGCTAAACTTCTCAGATTATTGAAAATGTGTTATGAAAAGTTAGTCACTTGCCCCCGGTCATAGACAGTGATAGAATTAGGAACTGGATCCTATCACTATCTTTAATTTAAGAAATGAGATCATCATGAATTAAAGGGGGAGATTGTGCCAAAGTGTAGGTAATACCAAAAAGCTGCAGTTTTAAAAAGACTAAAAATTCTATTGGCATTTATAATTACTACAGTGTATATAAGCAATAGAGATAAGAATGACCCAATTTGTATTTCCCAGATAAATCTCAAGGCAAGTTTTAAAAAGAATTAAAAGAAAGAGAAGAATCTTAGGTTCAAATGAGTTTACATCATGCATAAACACAGCAGCAAAATGCCCATTCTATTTGGCCTCAGTTGGACAACTGCCTATAAAAAAAGAAATACTCAAGGAAAATTTCTGCTGTAACTGGGCTAGCTTTTTAAAATTAATTAATTAATTAGTTTTTATTGGCTTTTTATTTTTAATTTTTGTGGGTACATAGTAGGTGTATATATTTATGGAGAACATGAGATATTTTGATACAGGCATGCATCAGGGTAAATGGGGCATCCATTACCTCAAACATTTATCCTTTGTGTTAAAAACAATCTGATTACACTCTTTTAGTTTAGAATATAAAATTAAATTATTATTGACTATAGTCATCCTGTTGTGCTATCAAATACTAGGTCTTATTCTTTCTATATTTTTTTGTACCCATTAACCATCCTTTACTACCATCCCACCACTAACCCATGATCCCCTTCCCAGCCTCTGGTAACCATCCATCTGCTCTCTGTCTCCGTGAATTCAATTGTTTTAATTTTAGCTCCCACAAATAACTGAGAACATGCAAAGTTTGTCTTTCTGTGCCTGGCTTATTTCAATTAACATAATGTCTTCCAATTCCATCCATGTTGTTGCAAACGACAGTATCTCATTCTTTTTATGGCTGAATAGTACTCCATTGTGTATAGGTATCACATTTTCTTTATCCATTCATCTTCTGATGAACACTTAAGTTGTTCCAAATCCTAGCTATTGTGAATAATGCTGCAGTCAACATGGAAGTGCAGACCTCTTTGATATATTGATTTCCTTTCTTTGAAGTATGTACATTGCAGTAGGATTGCTAGATCATATGGTAGCTCTGTTTTAATTTTTTGAGGAAACTTCAAAGTGTTCTCCACAGTGATTGTACAAATTTACATTCCCACCAACAGTATATGAGGGTTCCCTTTTCTTCTCATCCTCACCAGCATTTGTTATTGTCTCTCTTTTTAATAATAGCTATTTTAACTGGAGTAGGATGGTATCTCATTGGTTTCTATTTGCATTTCTCTGATAGACGAATGATATGGAGCACCATTTCTTATACCTGTTTGCCATTTGTATGTCTTCTTTTGAGAAATATTTTTTTTCAAATCTTTTGCCCATTTATATATATATATATTTTTTATTTTTCGAGAAAGGATCTCACTCTTTCATCCAGGCCTGAGTGCAGTGGCATGATCATGGCTCGCTGCAGCCTTAACTTCCTAGGCTCAAGCAGTCCCCCCACCTCGCCTCCCAAAGAGCTGGGGCAACAGGCAGGTGTCACCATGTCCAGATAACTTCTTTAATTTCTGTAAAGATGGAGTCCCAGTAGATTGTCTTTTGAACTCCTGTGCAGAAGTGATTCTCCTGCCTCAGCCTCCCAAAGTGCTGGGATTACAGGTGTGAGGCACCACATCCAGCCTTTTTTGCCCATTTTTAATCTAATTATTAATTTTTTCCTATAAAGTTGTTTGAGATCCTTATATATTTTAATTATTAATCTCTTGTCACATTGGTACTTTGTAAATATTTTATCCCTTTCCATGAGTTCTCTCTTCACCTTGTTGATTGTTTCCTTTCCTGTGAAGAAGCTTTTTAACCTGATGTGATCCCATCTGTCCATTTTTGCTTTGGGTGCCTGTGCTTGTGAGTTATTACTCAAGAAATCTTTGCCCATTTCAGTATCCTGGAGAGTTTTCTCAATGTTTTCCTTTAGTAGTTTCATAGTTTGAAGTCTTAAATTTAAGTCTTTAATTCATTTTGGTTTGATTTTTGTGTATGGCAAGAGACAGGGGTCTAGTTTCACTCTTCTGCATATGGATATCCAGTTTTCCTAGTACCATTTATTGAAGAGACTATCTTTTCCTTAGTATATGTTCTTGGCACCTTTGTTGAAAATGAGTTTACTGTAGATGTATAGATTTGTTTCTGGGTACTTTATTCTATTCCATTGGTCTATATGTCTGTTTTTATGCTAGTAGCCTGCTGTTTTGCTTACTGTAGCTCTGTAGTATAATTTGAAGTCAGGTCATGTGATTCCTCTTGTTTTGCTATTTTTGCTTAGGATAGCTTTGGCTATTATTCTGGTCTTTTGTGGTTCCGTATAAATTTTAGGATAGTTTTTTCTATTTCTGTGAAGAATGTCATTGATATTTTCATAGGGACTGTATTTAATCTGTAGATTGCTTTGGGTAATATGGACGTTTTAACATTATTGATTCTTCCAATCCACGAACATGGAATATCTTATCATTTTTTGTGTCCTCTTTAATTTCTTTTGTCAGGGTTTTAGTTTTTATTGTAGAGATATTTCACTTCTTTGGTTAATTCCTAGATATTTTAATTTTAGCTATGGTAAATGAAATTACTTTTTTGATTTCTTTTTCAGATTATTAAATCTTGGCATAAAGAAATGTTACTGATTTTTGAATGTTGATTTTGCATCCTGATATTCTACTGAGTTTATCAGTTCTAATACTTTTTGGTGGAGTCTTTAGATTTTTCTAAATATAAGATCATATCATCTGCACACAAGAGTAATTTGACTTCTTTCTTTCCAATTTGGATGTCCTTTTTTTTTTAAATTTTATTTAATGGCTCTAGCTAGGACTTCCAGTACTATGTTGAATAACAGTAGTGAAAGTTGATATCCTTATTATATTCCAGATCTTAGAGGAAAGGCTTTCAGTTTTTCCCCATTCAGTGTAATGCTAGCTGTGGGTGTGTTACATATGGCTTTTCTTATGTTGAGGTATGTTTCTTTTGTATCTGTTTTTCGAGGGTTTTTATCATGAAAGGATGTTGAATTTTATCAAATGCTTTTTCAGCATCAATTGAAATGATCATATGTTTTTTTGTCCTTCATTCTGTTAATATAATGTATCACACTGATTGATTTGTGTATGTTGAACCATACTCTCATCCCAGGGATAAATCCCAGTTGGTCATGATGAATGAAACTTTTAGTGAAGAGTTGAATTGGTTTGCTAGTGTTTTGTTGAAGATTTTTGGATTGATATTCTTTAGGGATATTGGTGTGTATTTTTCTCTTTCGGATGTGTCTTTGTCTGGTTTTGGAATCAGGGTAATATTGGCATTATGGGATGAATTTGACAGTATTCTTTTCTTCTGTTTTTTTTGGAATACTTTGAGTAGGACTGGTATTAGTTCTTCTTTAAATGTTTGGTAGAATTTAGCAGTGAAGCCATTGGGTCTCAGGCTTTACTTTACTGGGAGACTTTTTATTATGGCTTCAGTCTTGTTACTTGTTATTGGTCTGTTCAGGTTTTGTATTTCTTCATGGTTCAATCTTGATAGATTGTATGATAGATTGCATGTCTAGAAATTTATCCATTTCTTCTAGATTTTCCAATTTATTCCATATAGTTACTTATAGTAGCCACTAATGAGCCTTTCTTTTTTTTTTTTTTTTGAGACAGAGTCTTGCTCTGTCGCCCAGGCTGGAGTGCAGTGGCGCGATCTCGGCTCACTGCAAGCTCCGCCTCCCGGGTTCACGCCATTCTCCTGCCTCAGCCTCCCGAGTGGCTGGGACTACAGACGCCCGCCACCACGCCCGTCTAATTTTTTTTTATTTTTAGTAGAGACGGGGTTTCACCATGTTAGCCAGGATGGTCTTGATCTCCTGACCTCGTGACCCGCCCACCTCGGCCTCCCAAAGTGCTGGGATTACAGGCGTGAGCCACCACACCTGGCCGATCCTTTCAATTTCTCTGGTATTGGTTGTAACATCTCCTTTTTCATCTCTAATTCTATTTATTTGGGTCTTCTCTCTTTTTTTCTTAGTCTGGCTAAAGGTTTGTCAATTTTGGTTATTTTTCTAAAAACCGAATTTTCGTTTTATTGATCCTTTGTGTTATTTCTTCATTTCAATTCCATTTACTTCTGCTCTGATGTTTATTTCTTTTCTTCTACTAATTGTGGGTTCAGTTTTCTCTTGCTTTTCTAGTTCTTTAATATGCATCATTGAGTTGATCACTTGAAATTTTATTCTTTTTTGATGTAGGTGCTTATTGCTATTAACTTCCCTCTTAGTACTGTTTTTGTGAATTCCACAGGTTTTGGTATGTTGTGTTTCCATTATCATTCGTTTCAAGAAATTTTTCAATTTCCTTCTTAATTTCTCCATTGATCTACTGGTCATTTAGGAGCATATTGTTTAATTTCCATGTGTTTGTATAGGTTCCAAAATTCCTCCTGATTTCTAGTTTTATTCCATGGTAGTCAGAGAAGATGCTTGATATTATTTCAATTTTTAAAATGTTTTAAGACTTGTTCTGTGGTCTAACATATGGTCTATTCTTGAGAATGTGCAGTATGTTGAGGAGAAAAATGTGTATTCTGCAGCTGTTGGATAAAATGTTCTGTAAATATTTATCAGGTTCACTTGGTCTATAATGCAGATTAAGTCCAATGTTTCTTTGTTGATTTTCTGTCTAGCAGATCTGTCCAGTGCTGCAAGTGGGATGTTGAAGTCTCCAGCTATTATTATGTTGGGAGTCTATCTCTCTCTCCAGCTCTAATAATATTTGCTTTATATATCTAGATGCTCTAGTGTTGGATGCATATATATTTAAAATTGTTATATCCTCTTGCTTAATAGACCCCTTTATCATTATATGACCTTTGTTTCTTCCTATAGTTTTTGTCTTGAAGTACATTTTTTTTGATATAAGTATAGTTACTCCTGCTCTTTTTTGACTTCCATTAGCATGGAATATCTTTCTCCATCTTTATTTTCTGTCTGTGTGTGTCTTTGTAGGTGAAGTGTGTTTCTTATAGGCAACAGATCATTGGGTCTTTCTTTTTTTTTTTAATCCATTCAACCACTCTGTGTCTTTTTATTGGAGAATTTAGTCCATTTACATTCAATGTTACTATTGATAGGTAAGGACTACTCTTGCCATTTAGTTGTTTTCTAGTTGTTTTGTGGTCTTTTCTCCTTTCCTGCGTTCCTTTTAGTGAAGATGATTTTCTCTGGTGGCATAGTTTAATTTCTTACCTTCTATTTTTTTGTGTATTTGTTGTATGTTTTTTGATTTCAGGTTACCATGAGGATTGCAAATACTATCTCATAACCCGTTATGTTAAACTGATGACAGCCTAACACTAATTGCATAAACAAACAAACAAGCAAAAAGAAATCTAATAAAAACTCTATACTTTAACTTCCTCTCCCTGCTTTTTTAAGTTTTTGATGTTTCTATTTATATCTTACTATACTGTCTATGTCTTGAAAGGTTGTCTCAGTTATTATTTTTGATTGGTTCACCTTTTAGTCTTTCTACTTAATATAACAGTAATTTACACACCACAATTTCAGTGTTATAATATGCTGTATTTTTCTGCGTGCTTATTAGTAACAGTGAGTTTTGTACCTTCAGGTGATTTCTTCTTGCTCATTAACATTTCTTTTTCTTTCTGATTGAAGAACTCCCTTTAGTATTTCTTGTAAGACAGGTCTGGTGTTGATGAAATCCTTCAGCTTTTGTTTGTCTGGAAATGTCCTTATTTCTCCTTCATGCTTGAAGGATATATATATATATATATTTTTTTTTTTTTTTGCCAAATATACTATTCTAGGGTAAAAGGTTTTTTTCCTTTAGCCCTTTAAATATGGCATGCCACTCTCTCCCGGCCCTAAATTTTCCACTGAAAACCCTGCTGCCAGACATATTGGTGCTCCATTATATGTTATTTGTTTCTTTTCTCTTACTGCTTTTAGGGTTCTTTCTTTATCCTTGACCTTTGGGAGTTTGATTATTAAATGCCTTAAGGTAGTCTCCTTTCAGTTAAATATTCTTGATATTCTATAACCTTCCTGTACTTAGATATTGATATTTTTGTTTAGGTTTGAGAAATTTTCATTATCTTTTTGAATAAACTTTCTACCCCTGTATCTTTCTCTACCTACTCTTTAAGGCCAATAACTCTTAGATTTGCCTTTTTGAGGGTATTTTCTAGATCTTGTATGAGTGCTTTATTCCTTTTTATTCTTTTTGCTTTTGTCTGCTCTGACTGTATTTTCAGATAACTTGTCTTCAAGGTCACTAATTCTTTCTCTGCTGTATCAATTCTGCTATTAAGAGACTCTGATGCCTTCTTCAGTATGTCAATTTTATTTTTCACCTCCAGAATTTCTGCTTGATTCTTCTTAATTATTTCAATCTCTTTGTTACATTTAACCGATAGAATTCTGAATTGCTTCCCTGTGTTATCTTGATTTTTTTTTTAACTTTCCTCAAAACAGCTAATTTGAATTCTCTGTCTGAAAGGTCACATATCTCTTTTTCCCCAGGATTGGTCCCTGGTAGCTTATTTAGTTCATTTGGTGAGGCCATGTTTTCCTGAATGTTTTTGATGCTTGTGGATGTTCATTGGTGTTTGGGCCTTGAAGAGTTAGGTATTTACTGTAGTCGTCTCAGTCTGGGCTTGTTTTTACTTATCCTTCTTGGGAAGCCTTTTCAGGTATTTGAAAGGATTTGGGTATTGTGATCTAAGGCATATCTGCATTACAGGGTACCCCAAGCCCAGTAACACTGTGGTTCTTGTAGGCTTGTAGAGGTACCACATTAGTGATGTTCAATAAGATCCAGAAGAATACTCTGTATTACCAGGCAGAGACTCTTGCTCTCTTGCTTTACTTTCTCCCAAACAAACAGAGTCTCCCTGTCTGTGCTGAGCTGCCTGGAGCTGGAAGAAGGGTGACACAAGCACCCCTGTGACCACCAGTGCTGGGACTGCTCTGGGTCAGATCTGAAGCCAGCATTGCATTGAGTCTTGCCCAAGGCCCGCTGTAACCATCCCCTGTCTATAGCCTATGTTTGCTCAAGGCCCTAGGGCTCTACGATCAGCCAGTAGCAAAGCCAGTCAGACCTGTGTCCTCCCTTCAGGGCAGTGAATTCCCTGGCACATTGAGTGAATTCAGAGATGTCAAATGGGAGCCAGGAACTGGAGTCAAAACCTCAGGAATCTGTCTGTTGCTCTATTCTACTACAGCTAAGCTGGCACTCAGACCATGAGACAAAGTCCTTCCCACCTTCCCCTCCTTTCCACAGCCAGAGGAATCTCTCTCTGTGGCCACCACCACAGCCCCATGGGGAGTACTTCCAGGCCATTGCT
Organism: Homo sapiens; assembly: GCF_000001405.40. Lineage (NCBI taxonomy): Eukaryota > Metazoa > Chordata > Mammalia > Primates > Hominidae > Homo > Homo sapiens. Next base: position 122,692,506 of record NC_000006.12, read on the forward strand.
TATTTTCACTACTTGCCTAAAGCTCTTCAGTCAGCTTGTGGTGAATGCTTCCAGGCTTGCGACTCACCCTTCAGGGCAGTGGGCTCCCATCTGGCCCATGGCAGGTCCAGAAATGCCATCCAAGAGCCAAGGCCTAGAATTGGGGCCTCACAAGGCTGGTTGGTGCTCTACCCCACTGTGGTTGAGCTGGTACCTGATTTTTGGTTCTTATAAAGGTGTAGATAGTTGTTAAATTAAATTGTTGTTTCTGTCAGGGGGACAATAGGTAGAGGCTTCTATTCAGCCATCAAGATCTATCCCTCATCTGGGCTACCTTATTTTAGATTAAAAATACATCAAAGAAACATTATGTTTCAGACTACATAAAGCCTTCTGATTTATAAGTTACTAGGAAACAAGTTTTGAATTTTAATCTTGGCAATTAGCAATACTTTAAATTATAAAGACTATTCAAGTTAAGAGAAGGTAGGCACCTCTGCTTTCTCTCCACGTTCCATAGAGGATTTGCTGAGGATAAAGGACTTGCATTTACATGCAAGTACATAAAAACAAGACAAGAACCAATGCATATCTGCATTGTTTTTTAAGATTTCCACAACTGTAATTGGGGCTTCTGAAAATGTAGAACATTCTATCCTCTGTACCCTGTGACGTATAATTAATTTCAGGGTCCAGCAGACCCCAGAACACAAGGCTTCAAGGTTTTCTGAAACTTCAGTACTCTAGGGTGTAGTACGTAGCTTGGAAGTTAGAGTCAACTAACTGTTGACTTTCAATGTTTCCATACTTCCTTTACTCCCCACCGCCCCCTGCTAGTGAGAATATTTAAAATTATCTTTAATTATACTAATTTGCAAATTATGACAAGCTGAGTCAGCTTTTTAGTATTTTCTTCAGCTATTTGAATTATGATAGATTTGTGGGAATTTTCTCATACTAAAATTCTTCAGCATCCTTAATCAAATGTCAAAGGACAATATTTGAAAGATCTGATGTGGAATGAACAAACTGGCAGGATGACTTGAAAGGTTTTTCTTGGTTCAGACATGCTGCCTAATATATAAATATGACAATACTTAAAATGCCAACAGAACACTTTTATGAAGTTTGATAACATACACTTTCTCTCCCCATAGACAGGATCTGCAAATGATGTGGACTACACAGTGTCAGATCAATGTTAAGTTCACTTGGAAAGCACTCAATGAATATTTTCTATCTACTTTCCACCCTTAGAATCTGTTCTTGCCTCTCGGGAGATTTTAGTCTTCTGGGGAAAAACCATTACCCACAGAGAATGTTTAGTGAACATCATATTAAACTGATTTAGTGGTGAACTTCAGGGTTGATTATCAGAGTGAAAAGTAAAAAACTCTAGGAGATGACTGATCTAGACAAGGCCATCAGCATATATCCTGACAGGGCAGGTATTGAGAAACTTAATTTTGAGATTTAAATTTTTAATTTACTACAAGGCAATTTTAAATAAGGTCTGAAATTGGATGAGTAGGCTTCCAAGGTCGTGCGTATGCATTTCTACACTTTGTTAAAACCACAGTAAATAGTCCATTCATTTGGGTATATATGCAGTTAGATCCTGAAGATACTTAATCAATGGATTTATGTGGCTTACCCTCACCCCCAAGAGTATTACTGGAGAAAGATGGAGGAGAATGTTGCCTAACCTTTACTCCAATTCATTATTCTCAAACTGTGTGACCACAGTTACCTAGGGTGCTTGTAATGCATATGATGTCAGACATACTGAATCAAAAATTCTAGGGAAGGTATCTGGAATCTGTATTGCTAACAGACTTCCCAGCTGAGTCTTATGAACAGAAGTTGGGGAAACACTGTCCTGGTTTAAATGGCATAAGATTAATTTTCAGTAAATAGGTGTTTTATTCAAACTTGCTTTATCTCTCTTGTATTTCTCCCCATCTCCCACGTTAAGATTTGTAAAAAAATCTTAGGAAGAGCTAATTTGCTTTAAATTCACTTTTTCAGTCTCCAAGCTGGCACAGGTGAGATAAAGTTTTCTCAATTTTTTTTTCTTCTCCTTTCCACAATTTAATCAAGTGTTAAAGTGAAAAATCTGGTTCTTTGTGGAGTGGTGCATAAGAAAAAAGGGGAATTAATTTACACTGCCTGGTGTCAGGATGTAATATGATTATGATGGCAAAGCTATAAAAAGAAAATATCCAAAGCTCATAAAAAAATTCGAAGGAGGTCACTGTTAGAGCAGATGGATGGAGCAGAGTGCCTGATCATTGAACGGCTACTGAGCTAAAAGGATATTCAGGTCGAGGTGTACATAGCTGGGAGAAGGTCACAAATCTTAATTAAAGCTTTCAAGGGGAAAGTCCTGGATTTGACAGTAGATGCATATTGATTTGTCTTACTGTATAGAAATGACTAAAAGGACTGGTAAATAGAGTGTAGTCAGCTGTCAATTTCAATTACCCTGAGGGAATCTAATACAGTAGAGGGTTCCTACGCTGCATTCTTTGGAGCCTTCTCTCCTTTGTAACCAGAAAATACCCTCTCATGAAATGCAAACTTATTTTCAAATTTTAACAAAAAAGCTACAAAGATCAAGTGCATTAAAAAATCTAACATTAAGCCAAAAAACAGGATTATTAAACAAAAATTTATATTGACCTCAATATTTTTAATGAATTCTGCCAATTGTTGAGACATGAAAGGTAAGCTAGGAGGCAAAACTAACACACCTTAAAAACAACCAAATATTTAAATTATATTAGATAGGATTATACCACCAATGAGAGAAGTATTTGTTTCTGTTTTATTCTGTGAAAGAATTTTATGACACCTAAATGTGTGTGTGTTCATGGATTACACATATTATATACATTATTGTATTGTATGTGTATTACGTAATAATAGGTATAGAGAACAAAAAATAAGTTTTTTCAAAATTATGCACATTATTCAATTGTATGATCTTTAAGATTCAAAAATGAATTAAAGTTTTCATATCAGATGAATTACTGAAACAATATTTTGGGTTCGCTGAAACACTATGGTGAATATGCGGTTCAAAGAAGAAAAATATTCTTGTTGAAATGATTCAGGCATATTGTAGATGGCTGTACTAGGTGACTTTTAGGTGACTTCTTTATAACTTTATAAAGTTATTTTAGTCTAATCTCTTCTAAATTTATAAGGGCCTATGACTCTAGAAAAGGCAATATAATGAAATTTTTTAAAATCCATGTTTTGGAATCCTATGTGACAGGGCTTAAATCCTAGCTTAGGGCAAGTTTCTTAATATCTAAAAGACTCTATTTCAGTTGTTTCTTTTGAATTGTAGGGAATCTATCTCTCCTCTCTCTTCTCTCCCTCCCTCTCTGACATCTGTGGTAAAGATTAAATAAAATATTGCATATAAAGCCATGTACAATATATATTAATAAAAGCCACTGCCTAGCTAAGGGCCCAATTAAGAGTAGCTGTTCTACCTGTGTATGGCTGATAACATTTTTAGTTATCAACTGAGATTTCTTTACTCCTTTATACTTGCTTTAATACTCTATAAAGGTGGTTCACTGAGGGATGATGCACTTAATCTAGAACAAACGATCACTTAAGTTTCTGTTTTTTAAAATCTAAACAAAGAGCCATAGTCTTGAAAGTCAGCATTATTTATGACAATAGCCTGACTTTTTGAAAGAAAAGATTTATTGAGCTATCTGAAACTGAAGAACTGAGAACAAACCGTAGAGTGGGAATTACTATATGATGATGTAAAAGTTTTGATGTTTCTGGGAAGGGAAATGAGTCATTGACTAGCTAGTGGGAGAAGAATTCAGGATGTAATGAGACCCCAGTCATTATTCAAGTCTCTGTGAAGGTGGCCAGGATTCCAGCTCACTGGGTTGAACAGAAGGGAGATTGAATAATAAAAATTCTAAGGAACATCCAAATGTAAAGAGGACTATCCCTCACTTCCCAGGGAAAATTTGGGTATCAAAAAGAAGCTCTCTTTGTATGTTCTTCGACCCTAGAAAGGTAGACAAGCAATGGTCAAGAGAAGTGCCCAGGCAGATGGGCCTGACTGCCACCTCACAGAGTTCTCAGCCCCTCAGAGGAGTGAAACTCTGAAGTGATTTCATGGACCTCATGGAGGGCATAGAATGATTTAAATAGACCGTCAACCTTAAAGTCCAGAGATGTAACAAAGAGGATGCAGATGCACATATCTCTACCTGAGGTAATAGTTATACCTGAGACAATAGCAGTGGATCCCTGTGCACACTGATGTAACTGGACACATTGCAGCTCAGTGAGGGTCAGCGTGGACACAGGATATGTGTGAACCTGATGCCTTTTCTCCACACTTCAGTCTCCCTTTCATGAGAGAAAGGAACATGCTATTAGTGGTAGGGTGTCTTAGTCACCTCCTATTTACCCTGTGGGTGAGGGAGAGCTAAACACCACCTGACCCTGAAGAGATGAGACCAACAGCAAGTTATTAGTCATGTCTACTGATGGCCTGGGGGAGGAGGACATGGCACACCTTGCAGGGCCACACAGGAGTTGCACTCAAGAGCAGAGTGAACAACCAGGTCTGTAGGAGGTAGCCTTTGGAGAATTAAGAGGGTAGGGTGCTCCCAGTTCTTGTGGAATGATGTGATTCACTTGTTTGATTTGGCAGGCAAACAGAGAACAAAACCTGCTACTCAAGGATAAATAGAAACTGTGCCTGGTCCCCTTCATAAGGATGGTGGTCTGTCTAGGATACCTGATCTATGGGAGGAGAACTTGTAGTTAGGCCATTAGAGACCTGTTTTATCAGATATCAAGCCTAAATTTTTGGCTTTATGCTACAATTGATCACTTGATGCTTTGACATCAGTTTAAATCTTGATGATAACTGAGACTTTTAGGGATTAGGAGATGTGCCTTCCTAGGAAGCAAAGTAGGCACCTGACCAAGCAGAGAGGGCCACATTTTGAGGTGGTTGCCAAAAACATGAACTTCGGGCATGTCTCCATATATAACCAGTAAAAGCAATTGAGAGACCTGTGTGACATTGATGTAGAGAGTGGATGCTCCCAGGGGGTGTGAATTGAGACTAACCAATGCTTGTGGCAGTGGTGACATCAAGGGGGTAGAGGGACATTTGTCTCATTGTGACTTAAATAGTTCTTTGAAAACCCATTAGGCTTATCAATTAAAGTAGCTGCCTGGGGCTAACTACCTGAGGCCTATGGGAAGGCTGCATTTCAATGGAAAGCTTTCTTCAAGATTCCATTGTGTATTCTGAGACATAAAATGAGTGCCTTGGTAACAATCTAGTGTCTAAAACTGCAAATGAGATAAGGAATATCCTGTTGAGGCCTTGTATTGTGGCCTTAGGATATGTAGAGAAACCTGTTGATTTGGTTTATATATTTATATTTGGGTACCTGTGAAACAAGAGATTCACAGAGTTCTTTAAAGTGAGACCCTTAGGCAATGGTCTAAGAGTTGTAAAAATATACATATGAGGTGAAATGGCCAGGGCATCCATTGCCAAGATAAATGTCTAGAGTGTGCCAATTGTGCTGACCCTTGGGTTCTATTCTTTATCAGGGACATCTTGGTTAAGGAATTAAGAGCAACAACTCTCTACTGAGCTCTATCATGTATAATTGTGGCAACATCATTGGTAAAATGTATGGCCTTCTATTGCCATTCATTCAGTTGATCCCAGGGGGCTCTCCAGGTAGCCAAGGACTCTAGGAAAGGGATGACTTCCCCTAGCACCATGGTTTTGGCAAAGGACTGATGGTAGAGGAGGCCACCACCTTCTACAGATAGAATATGCCAGAAGGGCCAAGCTTGACTCCATCCTGTCGCAAAGAGGTCTCATAGCTAGGCCAGATTCATGGGGGTGCTGCTCCAATGCATTACCAGGCATTGCAGTAGCTGGGTACAGAGGGTCACAGGCTCAAAGTCTGTGAGACCCTCTATTTCCAGAAAAGCCCAGTGTGTGGCCAGTAATTGCCACTGTAATGGTGTATAGTACAAGGCCAGGAAAGGCAGTTTCTTGCATCAGAAGCCCATGAGCAACTTATGACCATCACAGGTGGCCTAGAGACTCCAGGAGGCATGAGATGAGGTCGCTGAAGCCTCTGAGGGCACTAACTGGAGTGCCTGTTGATTTCATTTTGGACAGCTTCTACAGCCTTTTGTTGAGGAGGTTCCCCTTTAAGATGGGCAATCTGTAAGTAACAGCACTAGTGAAATTAAAGAAAATTTGCAAAAGAATATGTTGTCTCCAGAACCCAAAAAAGACTAAAAGATGTTGGACTTGTATTAACCTTGTAGGTACTGAGAGGGTTAATACCTGTTTTTTGACAGTATCAGGGATGGAGCAGCTTTTGCTTTACCAAATAACTTTCAGGAATTTAACAGAAGTCACAGGACTTTGTACTATGTGTGAAATATCCACCCTTTTTGTGTGAGTTCCTTTGTATTTGTATATTCTTAATGAATACGTCAAACAAATCTTCCTGGAGAAGGATGTCATCAATGTAATATACCTGTGCTCCTGGAGAAAGGTGGATGTCATTAAGATCCTGCCTGCAAAGACTGTGTGCAGTAGCAAGGCTGCTGAGGTAGCCCTTGAGTAGCCTGGTAAAAATATATTATGTAGCAGCGCACCAGCATGGCACATGTATACATATGTAACTAACCTGCACAATGTGCACATGTACCCTAAAACTTAAAGTATAATAATAAAAAAAAAAGAATTGCATTTGTGAACTAAAATATATATATATATATTGTGTCTCATGGGAGGTAAAAGCAAACTGTGACTGCTAAACTGCTGACATTGGCACCAAATGGATCATATTAGCCTAATTCATAGTAGCAAAATATTTATCAGTTGCTGATTGGATGGAGTCAGAAGTTTCAATACTCAGTTTGTTGGAAATAGGGACCTGAACTGTATGGGACCATGGCATTAAGGTTGCAGCAGTCTACTGTGCTGCACCATTTATTTGTTCCAGGTTTAAGGACAGGCCAAACAGGCCAGATTGGGTTGTTAAATGGAGAAGCAGTGGGGATAATAACCCCTGCACTCTATAGCTGTCATGTAACAAATTTTAATCCTCAAAAGCCCTGTTTTAAATTACTTTGAGCCATGTTAATAATTATTTTAATTTGGGGTGGAGGCAGAAGAGTCGGGAGTTTCCATCCTGTCAAGCCAATTTATAAGTGTCAAGATTTAATCTAATTTCCATTTATTTTTCATTGGGTCAGAGCGTCCATGTCCATTATGGGATATTTTAGGGCAATGATTGCTATGACCATGATGAGAAATTTAGGCAAGACAGTAATTATGATGGTTAAGAAGAGGCATATCTCTTTGTCCTCTATTTTATATGCCAGAACTCCCCTAATGTTATGGGGGATACCATGTTTAAATTTAGGAAGATCCTAGTCATAACTGTAATCTGAGCCCTAATGCCAGTTAAAACCATGAAGGTTTGCCAATTGGTGCATTTCAGCAGGTATTAAAGTTAATTAAGAACCTATACTGTAGAGGCACAAAAGCCAATCAGTGCCCCTTTATCTTGGCTATATAAATGCCTTTAATATATTTTGAATTTCCAATTGGGTCAAATTGTAGATCTTTGTTTTAGGGTTCTGTTGTTGTTGTTGTTGTTGTTGTTGGTTCCTCCCCGTATCCAGGATATTTTTTTCTTTGCTTTTTAAAATTTCTTTTCTTTCTTTTTTTTTTTTTTTTTTTTTTTAGTGGTGGTCACTGGACATATTTGGTGGTGGTGGGGTGGTGGTGTGGGATCCTCTTTACCCTGATGATACTTATAAGTCTTTTCTCTCAGAGAGCTTCAAATTAGTATCATCAGGGTTAGGGGTTTCCCCCACAGCAATGGTTGCTTTATATGGTTTAAAGACCCTGGGCTTAAGTTGAGTTTGAATTAATGGTGCCATGGGGTACCACAGTGCCACAAAGGTAACATAGGTATTTCTCTATAACCTCAAGGATTAGGATCTTTATTGCAACAGAGACATAGTAAGCAGAGTGGTACAGGGAAAGAAAGCTAGGTTTATAACCCAGACTCAATAGACCAAAATTATCTCCTGCTGCCACTGCCCTACCGTTTCTGTCGTGTGGACTTTTTCCCTCTTTGTTTGTTTCTTTCTCTGCACAAATTCCCTGAGAATATTTTGAGTTTTTAGCTAGGTGAAATTGGAGCTTTCTGTAAAATCACCTGTGGTGCAAACTTTCTGGGTACTTATGGGAAAACATTAGGGAGCTTAGTGGCCTTTCTCAGAAGTGGCTGCCTCTTCCTCTAGGAAGTGCGAGTCCATCTCTCTAGAGTTGAGGTCCATATCCAGTAAAGTCATTAGTCTATGGCTTGGATAGGGCCAGCAAGCCCATGATTGCAAGATTGGCCATTTGGTGTGCTAGTAGGCAGCAGTGCTGAGCCCAGGCATACTGGCTATGGGTTTTGCATTGGCAAATCATTTGAGTACCAAATGCTCCTTCCTCTCCCCACCCTTTTCTTTTTTCATTAGCACCTGTGCCACAGGCCACCATGGATCTGCACCTCGATGCCCTTCGGAGTCATGAGAGTGCAAGCAATAGCAGCTCAGGAAGCAGCAGCAGAGGAGACCAGAAAGGTCACTACCTTTGCATGAACAACAATGGCAACCAGGATACCATGCTTGGTTCTCCATGGTGTGGCCACTTTCCTTCCCACAAACCTCACACAGGGCTGCCTCTGCGCCTGTTCCATAGGTGTACCATTACAAGCAATGTCTGTATTGCTGCTCCAAGCAGCCAGTGACAGTCACCAGGCTAGACATGGTGATCAGAGAGCTCTAGCCTGAGCTCTGGTAAGCAGGAATGAAGTACTGACTGGTTAAGGCACTGTTTTCTCATTGCATTTACAGGCTGAAGCTTCAGAGATCACCTGCCAAACACAGGCTGAACCTGACAGCATGTCACACCAGGGTATAGTTAACAACCATTTTCTTCTTGGGGACAAGAGCATTGCAGAGTTAAAAGAGATGGCATAACAGTGCCACATAGGCCATAGCTCAAGCCCATCAGCAGTTAGCAGTTCTGTCTCAGGTACCCTTGCCAAATAACTCAGAACCAAATAACCAAGGAACAGTTAATTTTAACTGACTAGGTGTCTTCTGAAATGGTTGGGCATGTCATATGGTTCATAACACCAGTGGATTTTATTGCTTTCTATTCACCCCATTGGTGAACGAAAGATTCCTGCCCTGGAGATTCAGAGATGCCTAGACAACCAACACCCAACACTGGACAGATGAGATCCACAGCAGTTTACTGGTCATACATACCACCAAAGGAGAAGAACATTGCAGGGCATGCAGGAGCATGTGAGGGTTGTAACCAGGAATAGTATGAACAACCAGGGGCTGTGGGAGTAATAGTAACAAGAGTTACTATTAGTTACATTAGGTAACCAGAATAAGACTTGGATTTCTAAGAGTGACATGCTCAATAAAAGGGTAATATGACAAAACCCTAACCTCCAAGGAAGACAGTAAGGAGACTTGCCAGTCTTGACTTTGCCTTGGATGGAAACGGGGGAAAGACTCTCTTAATAACTTATGAACGAAAATGAAACCTCACATTGAGTGTGCAAATTTCCAACTGTGTAGTCTATGTAATCCGAACAAAAGTCATGCTGAGAATATAAGGCTACCAATCTGGTATTGCCCCAGCAGAGGCAAATTCAGAGCTAGGTAGAGGAAAACACCTTAACCCCATTTAACCCAGGTCTCAGGTAATTTTTTAAAAAAACTTTTTTTTTTTTTTTTTTTTTGAGATGGAGTCTCACTCTGTTGCCCAAGCTGGAGTGCAGTGGCGTGACCTCGGCTCACTGCAACCTCCACCTCCTGGGTTCAAGTGATTCTCCTGCCTCACGCTCCTTAGTGTCTGGGATACAGGCACACACCACCACACCCAGCTAATTCTTATATTTTTAGTAGAGACAAGTTTTCGCCATGTTGGTCTCAAACTCCTGACCTCAGGTGATCTGCCCACCTTGGCCTCCCAAAGTGATGGGATTACAGGCATGAGTCACTGCACCCAGCCTTAAGGGAAATGTTTTTAAAAATATGATCTCAGAACCCCAAATCACGAAGCAACCAAAGAAATAAGTCTCCATGAGAAAGATTCGACAAAAACGGTAAACAATGGGATCAGAGTATAAAGAATTTAAATATTGGAATTTTTCGTAGAGAATTTTTTTCACTATTTGAGAAGAATATATTTTAGTACTGTGGCATAATGTATAACTTTTTATAATAATAACTATATATGATATAGTATAGGTCTTAACTGTATCATTCATCATACAGTTATATGTTAAAATAGTTAATATTTATATGCCATAACATGAAGCATGATGTCGTGTACTTTCTCCTCCATTTTTCATTTGGAATACATTCTACAACATGACCCAAAATGTAAGAACTTGTGACTTGTAACTTTTGTTTAAAGCCATAATTGTGCAATAATGTGCTACAGAAAGATTCAATTGACTTCTCTTACGAAACAAGCTTCAATGTATCAGCTCTATTCTGTGAAATGCCCTTTAAGTAAAAGATAATATAACATTTTAATGCATCGTGTATAATGTACACATGCATATTGTCTATGTACTGAACACACATTGTATATGATATTGTTATTACTATTTGTAAAAAATTTTTATAGCCTTAATATATTTGAAAAGAATAATTGAGGGTTTTTTAATTTTTTATTTCTTTTAAACTTACAGAATTTTAATGGGAAAATGCTTATGTCGTATGTTAAGCAAACACAGCAGGAAACAGTACAGTATTTTGAAAACTATTTAAAACCCCACAGAAAAAAGACTGAAAGCAAACAGTTGCTCTTGTGTGATAAGACTACTGTTTTTATTTCAATTATTAAAACATTCCTTTATTATTTTTACTATGAGAAAACATATGTAAGTATAAATGACTAAGTAATAAGATACTGTAATACAATGAACTAAACTTGAAAAAGAGCAAAGTAGATTGCCTAGAAATAAAAATATGATAATTGGAAATAAAAACAGTGTGTGGATTATGCAGCTGATTAGACACAGCTGAAGAGAGAATAGTGAACTATATACACTTATGATGCAATTCTCTGAAGAATCTAATACACTTATGATGCAGGTGCCGTTCTTATGTAGAGCGTTTTTGCCATTCTTATGTAGAGCTTTTACATATATACATACACACACATATATATACATATATGTATATATGTATATATGTAAAAGCTATATATACACACATATATATGTATATATATGTAAAAGCTCTACGTAAGAACGGCAAAAATGCTCGCTCTCTATATAAAAAACGCTATATATATATGTGTGTATATATATATATATATATAGAGAGAGAGAGAGAGAGAGAGAGAGAGAGAGAAATTGGTTCATGCAATTATGAAGGCTGAGAAGTCCTAAGGCTTTGGCAAGCTAGAGACTCAGGAGAGCTAATGATATGGTTCCAGTTTGTGTTCAAGTCTGATAACCGGGAGACCCACTATTGTCGGTTCCAGGCCAAGTCTGAGTTTAAGGCAAAAGATTGAAGACTGAAGACAGCTTGAAGACAGGCAGAGAAAGAAATTCTCCTTCTCTCTATCTTTTTATTCCATTCAGGACTTCAATGCATGGGATGTGGCCCGCCCATATTGAGAAGGGCAATGTGTTTTATGCAGTCCACTGATTCAGATGTTAATCTTTTCTGGAAACACCCTCACAGACACACCCCGAGAAATGGTTAACCAAGTATCTGAGCACTTTGTAGCCCAGTCAAGTTGGCATATAAAATTAGCCATCACAATTAGCAAACTTCTTAACAGCAAAAATAGAATAATGTGGAATAATATTGTTAGGTGCTTTCATCCTAAAATAGTGTATTTGTAAGAATGAAGATAAAAATAGATCTTTTCAGTCATCAAAAAACTATAGTTCCCAAAAGAATTTCAAAGGCTAAACTCCAGGAGAAAAGGTGAATTATCTCAGGAATTGGAACATGAAAAAAATAACATTGTGGAAATATAACGGTATGATGGATATACACAGAAGACCAATTCTTAAATACTTAGATATATGCTAAGGTATTTAGATATGCAGTGTCATGTTAATGGCAGCTTGCTTTCAGTTGGTGAAATAATAACTGTGTGTGTGTGTGTGTGTGTGTGTTTATGTTTAGAGAGATTAAATATAGCAAAGTGTTGATCATTGAATCAGGTGGAGGCTCCTTCTTGAAACCCCAGTACTTTTGGAGGCCAAGGAGGGAGGATCACTTGAGGCCAGAAGTTTAAGACCATCCTTCAACTCTACAAAAAGTTTTAAAATTAGGCAAGTGTGATGCTGCCCACCTGTAGCTCTAACTATTCGGGAGGCAGACAGGACATTGCTTTTAGCTCAAACAATTGAGGCTGCAGTGAGTTGTGATCATGTCACTGCACTCCAGTCTGGGAAACAGAGGGAGACCTTGTCTAAAAATAAAATATACCAGAAAAACACTATAGCTGAAAGCCATCTATTTAATAATCCTTAGAATTTTTGTCACAAATTATTATAAACAAGATCTATTGTTTCCATGATCAAAAATTTCTCCACCAATATCTAATTTTGTGGTGCCTTTGTGAGTCCTCCAAGATCATCATGGTTCAATGACCACATTGATAATCAAAGCCTTTTTCAGAAATCAATGGACAATAAGAGTGTATTTGTCTATTTCTAGAGTGTCTATTTTATTTTGTATTCTATTTGTCTACCCTTGAGGAATACCACACAGAATTAATAGCCATCAAGTCTGATAGTGTAAGTCCTTTACTTTTTCCTTTCTTTTTGGAATAAGAAGTTATTCTCAGTCTGTAGCATTTTCATATAAATTTTTGGAATCAGCTTATTACTCTATTGTGGTAGATTTGATTTAAAAACTTCACCTTTTAATATGCTTTAATGGTTCTCCTTGACATCTGTCTCTATTTTCAGAAAGCGCATCTTTTTTTTTTTTTTTTTTTTGAGACGGAGTCTTGCTCTGTGGCTACACTGGAGTGTAGTGGCGCAATTTCGACTCACTGCAACCTCCAGCTCCCTGGTTCAAGTGATTCTCCTGCCTTGGCCTCCTAAGTAGCTGGGATTACAGGCACATGCCACCACGCCCAGCTAATTTTTTGTATTTTTAGTAGACATGGGGTTTCACCATGTTGGCCAGGATGGTCTCGATCTCCTGACCTTGTAATCTGCCTGCCTTGGCCTCCCAAAGTGCTGGGATTACGGCATGAGCCACTGCGCCTGGCCAGAAAATGCATCTCATACACACCTTTACTATGTGATTTAGAAGTTTCATGATTCCCTGGTGCTTACAGGATACGTTCACATATTGTTCATGGCATTCATTTTCTTTCCCACTATGTTATGACTATGCTCCAACTCATTTTTCCAACTCCACGTGGGCATAACACTCCATGGCAGCGAAATGTTTCCTTTTCTCTTATTTAGAACTTGCTTTTTGCACTCCCCTCTTTTAGCTTACAGATATTTCTCTGGCTTAGTAAGCCTTTCATTCCCTTTCTACCTGTGTGGATTCCTCCCAAATTTTGAGGCTCTGTGTGTGTTCTACAGCCTTTGTGAAATATTCCTTAATCACCCCAAAATTCAGTAACCATTTATCTTTTACATTTCTATAGTAGTTTTATTTATAACACTTATTTGAATATATCATATATTTACTTCTATTTTTACATTTCCTTTAATATGCAACATATTCCATCTGTACGATGAGTTCACAACTCTTTCAGGGTGGGGACCATATATTAAGCATCTTCATGTGTCCCCACTGTTTCTATCACAATGCTTAGTCTTATTTGCCACTGTTTCCCCAGAGTCTTGCACTGAACGGAAGATATAGTAGATGCTTAACAATAATTGATTGAATGAGGACTGAGTCTGTGCTCAATAAATGTTTGCTGAGGTGTAATTTAAGGAGAAAATAATGAGTTGTGAGATGAAATGGGTTCCAGTCTTGTCTCTGTTACTTGCTAGCTAGGTTTAGCCAAACCCTTTTATTTCTATGATCGTCAGTTTCCTCACCCTTAAAATGAAGACAGTAGTGACTAATCCACAGTGTAGAATCACATGAACAAATTCTCAATAAAGTGCTTTAAAACAATGCATGCTTAACACATGCATATGCCATTTTTCATATCATAAAAATCTTCATTATAGAAAATTTGGAAAAAAGTAAAATTCAACGAAGAAAATAGAAATCATTAATAATAACATACACAAAGGGAATAACTATTATAATTTCAGTATATTTCCCTTAAAATGTTTTTCTGTGAATGTATTTTAAAACTAATATATGCATAGTGGTTTTAAAATTTTGAAAATTTATGTTTTTAAATATTTTAGATATTTTCATGGCCTCATTTTTCTATTTAACTTATATAGTACTAAAGGACTATAGTAACATAATTTTGTACAAAATGTTTTTATAAAAGTTAAATGTATCAATTTAAATAATGCTACTTCTATTAACTTAATTGCAGGTTAATATAAACATGCATAATTTGATGAAAAAATATTTCAATTAGATGATTTTTCTTTCTAAAGTTGTTTGCCCTTTGGTTGGGATTTTTTTTCCTCTATGACCCAGAAAAATTCTCAAAACTACTCTTAATTTTTGTTCCCATAATTTTGATTGAATTTTTTGCTTGCTGCAACGTTATAATGATTTCTTCTGTAAAGTACCGAAGATAACTTAGAAAACAAATCAGAGCTCAAAAAGGCTTAATCATTTCTCTCCTTTTCTTTGTTGGAAGAAAAAAATGAATATTATATTCATTTAAATATGGGCTAAGAGACATCCTAAGAGTTTTTCTTTAAATTGATGAAATAGAAGAAAAAGACACTACCGAAACTGTGGGTGCATTTAAAAAAGCATTATACCTATCTATTTTATACCCATTTTATTTATCCGATTAAAGAAACATTTATAAGTAATTTCAGTACTCAGCCATGTTCCTTGCTTTTTGGCTATGCATATTTTACATAGTTGGTATATGCTCTCTAATGTTAACATTCAAGAAAATTTTATTTTTTCAAAACTGTCATTAGAAATTTTGAATTATGTTGATTTGAGAAAGATTGCATTTTTAAGATATAATAAAATGATATCAAATAAATATCATCTAGCTTCAAACTAAATGGTGTGTAAAATATGTTGTGATATTCTTGTATATGTGCCGCTGAAAAAATTCTGGCAGGTTATGCACCAGAATTACAACAGCACTGTTACTGGATAGCGGGATGGCAATCTCTTTTTCCTTCTTTATGTCTTTTGGAATTGTCCTTTTCCCAACAACAAGCATATATTAATGTCATATGCAAAAAGAAAAAAAATTCATGTTGAAAAGTGGAAAGACAATTATTTTATTTATTGAGTGCTTGCTGAATAAGAATCAGGCATGGCTTTTGGTCCTATGAATACATCAATGAAACAACCTACAAAAACAAAAGCTCTGCTTTGTGGAGCTTACCTTCTAGTGAAGGGAGACAGACAATAAGCAACAACTGCAATCATAAGTAAATGCGAATACATTTTCAAAGCTAGTAAGTGCTAAGAGAAAGTAAGAGGAATTAGAAGCTGGAGGGATGAGATGCAATTTTAAACAAGGTGGTTAAAGCAAGCCCCACTGAGAAAGCAGGACTCTGTCAATATTATCTTTTGTGACCCTTTTTCCTATGCCATATTATCTCATTTTAATATTACTCAGATTAAGAATGCTTTTTTAGGCATCATGAAGAAATCAAGAATTTCAATCCCATTTTAACCATTGGAGAGAACACTGAAACATGGTTTGTTTCTGAAAGTATGTGAAAATTTCACCTTTAGGGAGAAATCTTCCTATGGGCAGTGTAGGGGAGATATGGTTTTCTGTGACTGGTGACTTGTATGGTTCAGATGTTGCAGAAACGTAGACAGGTTTGAGGGTGTGCTGGGAAGCAGATTGTAAATGATTTTTTGAATGCCTTTTTAAACAATATCAACTTTCTGGAAATGTCTCAGAGTTAATCTCTTTTTCTTGACATGGAGTCTTGCTCTGTTGCCCAGGCTGGAGTGTAGTAGCGTGATCTCAGGTCACTGCAACCTCCTCCTCCCGGGTTCAAGTGATTCTACTGCCTCAGCCTCCTGAGTAACTGGGATTACAGGCATGCGTCACCACGCCTGGCTAATTTTTGTATTTTTAGTAGATACTGGCCAGTAGATATTGGCCAGGCTGGTCTCAAACTCCTGACCTCAGGTGATCTGCCTGCCTCAGCCTCCCAAAACCCTGAGATTACAGGCATGAGCCATCACGCCCAGCTGCGTTAATCTCTTTCTGCCTACAGTCCAACATCAGAGGCTGTCTCTAGAGCCACGTCAACACTGTTGCTTAAAAGAATAATTGATATTCATAATGATACTCTGTCATAGTGCCTATAAATTTATATGACTGATATCTAAATAAATTCCATTTGTGTAGTTGTTAACCAAGCACATTTATAACATTAGTTCATTTGAGTCCAGGGTAGTAAAATAGATAATATAAATCCTACTTTTTAAAAATGTAGAATGCTAATCAACAAAGAAGTTAGATGTCTTTCTAGAAGTTGAAAGTCCAGGATTCAACTTCAGAAGTGTTCACTTTTAGGCGACCAAACTTCCCATTGCTCCATATAGACCGTGTAACAAACAAGAGGACTAAGGGCAGTCACTTTGAGAGTGTGTTAATGCAGTTAAGTAGTGCCCAAAGCTCTGCTTTCAAATCATCATTTAAAATAGTTTTATTTTGAATATGTGCAAATCTAAATTACCTAAGGAGGTTTTGAAAAGTAGCTGAAGTCATTCTTAGTACAAAGAGATGGGATCAAGTGGGAGTTTTTTTTTTTAATTAAAAACAGTTTACTATAAAATACGTTATATTTTAAATAGAACATGTTACCACTATTTGATGTATGAGTATAAAATGAGTTGCAATGATGGAGTCACAAAAACAGTTTCAGAAGTGGAATAAATATGTGGCTACTTAAAGTAATTGCTTTGATAGATGATACTCATTTCCATCTATAAATTTTGGTGTGTTAGTAAAAATAGTTCTATTATTTGGTATCACACTGCATTTTCCCTTTGAAAGATAAATAAGTATATATTAATTATAAATGCTTTCTGAAATGAAAGTTTAAAATTTAAAGTGTCCATGTGTATAACCATCAGATGTCCTAGATGAGGGTCGTACTGTATGAGTTTTTGCAGCAACTACTGCTCTGGCTCTACCAATCCAGGTTTACTACCCACATCTAAAAACCATTGTATTTGCCATTAGTCTACAGCCTGACTCCTATCTATTTTGATGTTAACAAAACAAAATCTATTTTAATACTGAATAACTGAACTTTCAGTCTTATTATTTATTTACTTTTGATCTTTATTATGAATATTAATAATGTAAAGGACCTTCATTTTCAGCTCATAATCGATAGGTATCAGCTATTAATTCAACATTGATTTATTGATTGTATTAAGCAGATATGTTCCAGTCTCTCTACTAGGCAGAGGGATATGAAGCCATTTCTATTGTGACCACATTGGTAAGAATTAACTTCCCCTTCTCTTCTTCCTACTGATGTCATAAACCGCCATTTGACATTTTAAAACCATATATCTCATTGAAAAGGGAACTGACTTTTTAGGCCTTGCATGTAAACCCCCAACACAGACGGCCGTGTTCCCTCTTTGTAGGGAAGAGTACAAGCAGACCACAAGAACTTCAAAATCACATTGTACACAAGAACTTCAAAATCACATTATTTTCCCACTAGGGCAAATTCAGTGCTGGGGATTTTGTGTACTTGGAGTGTATTTGTGCCCCCTTTGAAATCTAAGAATACTTTGTGTACAATAGTAGTTGGAAAAGCAACTAAATGAGAAATGGGTGGTCTGAGGGCAGCCCTTCTCTGAAATTTGCTTACTTATTTTCTGGGGTTCCATTAAATGCTGTGTTCCCTGTGAAGCCTGGCCTCATTTTCTATCCTGGAATTAAGCGCTGCCTCCACTGCTCACGTGGTAAAGGTGCTAGCACGCAGCCTTCACAGACTGCCAGTTAAGGCATGGGAAGACCTTACTTACTGTGCCAAATTCCACAGTATCTAGCGTGGGGCTTTGCAGAGTTGGTGTTACATAAATGCTTTTTGAATTGAACCCTAACTTCTTTAAGCAGGCTCCAGTACCTCAATAAAATAAGAACCAACAATATTTGAGTCACTGGTTAGAAAGAATAATGTGAAACAAATGAAAGTGAAGGAGTATAAATAGGGTTTGAGGTAAGGTGGGAAAAAAAGAATGAGAAGGGTTTCTTCAAATCCGTGCTAAATCCTCTCAATTCTGAATACTCTGAAGCTAGAAATAAAAGCTAAACTATATAAAATGTAGACAGTAGGGATGCTTTGCTATGGTTATAACCACTTATATTCATCTAAAGGAGAAGTGAAAATATCACTGTATTCTGGATAACACCCAATATACATAGCACACACACACAAACACACACACCACACAGGGACACACACACCCCACTCAAGCTAATGTATTAAAAAGGAAACCTGTTTAATTTTTAGAAAGACTTTTTCATATACAGTGAATTTTCTTTTTTATTTTTATCCCTGTAGATAGCTGGGTTTGTTTTTGTTTTTTGTTACGGAAAGCAGCAGGAGGAATCATGGTAATGGAAGAAAGAGTACCGCCTAAACTTAGGAAAGACTTTGACACAAATTAAGCTATGTTATATTGATGCATCACTTAAGTGTCTGGATCTGGAAGTCTGGACTATATCATCTTTTCAAATGTAATATCCTGCAATCATGTGAGAAATTTATTAGTCCTTTTGGGAATCTGCAAGTGGTTGGGAGAAGCCCAACTAACTCCCTGCAAACCTTTATGGAGGATACATGTTGAATAAGTCTTTCTAGTATGAAACTAAAAAGAATAAGATGACCAGTTAAATCTGACTCCCCCAAACACAGACACATACTCAAGGAGGCTACATAGTTTATTGCAGTCCATCTTTTTTATCATTAACAACATTCATGTATATTAGTATTGTAAGTGGCCTTATGTTAGTATAAGAAGTAACATTGTGCTGGAAGGGTATTCAGCTTTGTGCATTAATTTATCTGGAAAATTATGAAAAAATTAATTTGACTTTGCATTTTGAATTTTATATGTTTAAGCTGTCAAAAATTCTCTGTGGTAAAAATAACTTCCATGTGCCTACCAATGTATATTGAAGGATCTGTCTATGCAATTAGCAAGCAAGAACATAAACATTAAAAAATGTGCGTGTCAACAAACCAAAGGTAGGGTTCCCTTTGACTTACACTAGAGACAGAGAAATACCATCTTTTGAAAAATTTCAAAGACAGGAAAGTTTCTAAGTTGAAAAAAATTACGCAGGTCTACATTTCATGTAAGTTCTGTTTAGCTTAAAATGATCTTGATACTTAAGTGAATAGGAGATATGTAAAGCATTTACATTTTAGGAGTGGGTAATTTTACTTTATTTCCAAATAATAGGATTTGAGGTCAAGAAAGGTAACTAGAAAGATCAAACTGTGTCTCATCTCACCAGACTCTGGGTTCCTCTTTGTAACTTGTGGGCCAGCAACAAGGCTTTGCACTTAATAATTTAGTAGGAGCTCAAGAGATGACTGAATGAATAAATAATGATCTGTTTTTGTTGGCACATAAAGAAGTAATTCTAGTTCTTTCGCCTTTTTTGGAAGAGGTTCGTGTGTTTCAAAACAGAAAATTATATGAAATAAATAATTCGTAGGCAGAGAACTGAAAACATGTAGCATAAGGGATTAGGATACTGAGAGCTGGAGAGAGGTAGATAAGGCATTTGGTTATCAGGGGAGACCAGTGTCAGTCTGTCCATTTGTCAGTCTCTCCTTCTCTCTTAGTCTTTGGTCAGGAAAAGCACTGACATTTTTTCCAAAATGCATGTTTTTACTTCTTTGTTATTTTGTGTTTTTTCAGAAAGTCTGACTCATACCTCCAGGGAACTAATTTAGCGGGCAAGAAGTTTATTTGAAGTCTTAGGTATAAAATGAGCAATGGTTTCACTGTGGAAGATAGGGTGAGTGATATGTATCTGGAGATGAGAAAAGAATGGATCTACCATTTTGCAATCTTGGCTTCAAGTAAGGAAGCTTGAGAAAATAATGTGTTTGAATTAAGAAAATGGACCTGTTGTGGGGAGGAAACAGTTTGCAAAACTTCTGTTTGTTTATAATTATGCTTCTAACATACTAACATCCTCTTTTTCTTAGCAGGCTCTTCGGGGCCCACTGGGTTCTGACTGGTGATTTTTTAATAGCCTTTAGTGCTCCATTTATCTTGAACATCTCGTCCTCTTGAGTAGTGCTGATGTTGCATTCTCAATATTTCAGAGACTGTAAAGATGCTGGCATGTGTGTATATACATATATAAATATATATATGACTGTGTAATAGTCTTTTCTCAAGCAGCCTGAAAATTGTATATTTTCAATAGAGATAGAAGTGTGTCTCAGGCAACGTAAATTGCGTTACCTTGCTGTGGGATTGCAAGGACTTTTGTGAAATCTCCAAATGTCTAAATGGTTCCAGCTCCTGTAAGCAGCCACAGTTGACAAAGCAGCACTCATCTAGAGTCCTTTGTTAATTCTCTAGAAGAGAAAGAGGAAGAGTTGCTAGTGAGTCAGCTGCCTTGGTTGGCAAACATAACATAATTAGCTATTTAAGCCCAGAAAATGAAAAGACCCTCAAGTTAATCTGTCATTTTTCTCTGCAGTATTTCCTCATCTTTCTGTGGGCTATATATTATAATTATCACAAGCCATTTGAAGAGAGCAATTGTCTGTTTTCTATATGTATATCGCCCCTTTTAAAAAAACCAAGCATGTGCAATCGGTGTTGTATAGAAAACTAACAACAGACAAATGAGAGATGGCTACTGGGGGAAGGAGAAGCTTTCACTTAACGATATGCTATCATTTGGTTAAATTTTCAAAATGTTACTTTTAGAGCCTTTCTGTGCTAGAATATCTGTTTATTTATAATTTTTCCAGGTGGATTTTTCAATTCTTTTAAATTACAAAGGTAATATATATGCTCATTAGTAAAAGTGAAAATATGTAAAGAGGTAGAGAAAAAGGTTAATATTTTCCTTGTTCTACCTTCCGTTCCCAACTAGAATTTTTATTATTTGTATAAAGTTGAGGTTACATTGCATTCATAATGCTCTCCCCTTTTCCCCCTATAAATATTAATTTTTAAACTTGCTTTATTTCACAGTGTGTCAGTGGATCTAATACATTCTTTAACACTGTGGTATAACATTCCATAACATAATTACATAGCTTATTCAGATACTTTTTTTCTTGTTGGGCTTTCAGGTTGTCTCCAGTGGTACAATAAATCTCTTTGCTTTGGAGTTTAAAGAGCCCAGCTAAGAGTCACCTTGTGGATTCAAATATTCCTGCCACCAATTTCTAGGCCATTGACACATTTGGTCAGGAAAATAGCTTTTCTCTGTAGAAAGTGCCATCTTCCTACATCGCTGTGAGGCTGGGCGGGGTTAGCTATTCGGTCTGCCTCTGGTGAAGCATGACATCTTGGTCAGTCAATATCAGTGGCAGACTGAAAGGAAGATTGTGCCAAATGTGAGTTTGCCACAGCCAAGTACAGCCCCGAAGTAAAACAGTTTTGTTACTTAGCCTCCCTATATGGCCACTTCTGTTTTCGATCTTAAAATAGTAGTTAATGAATATAATTTTAACAAACTTTTAGATAGTTTTGTGATTCTTTTATTTTCCAGCATCGATCTACAAAAAGGACTAATTAGAAAGCCTCTATGTGAAATAATAATATAAAGGCAAAAGGAAAAACTTCCAAAATAGCAGTCAGCTAGCAGCAAAATAATCTTGAAATAAACGTGAAACCCAGAATTTCTTTTTCCATGCTGACGGCCCACTCCAAGGGCCACTTTTTAGAAGTTCTTTTTTAACAACAGACATTGGGGTTCACTTGAGGGTGGAGGGTGGGAGGTGGGAGAGCTGCAGAAAAGATAACTATTGGGTATTGGGCTTAATATCTGGGTGATGAAATAATCTGTACAACAAATCCCCATGACACAAGTTTACCTACGTAACAAACTTTCACGTCTTGCTCTATCACCCAGGCTGGAGTGCAGTGGCGCAGTCTCGGCTCACTGCAGCCTCTGCCTCTGGGTTCAAACGATTGATTCTCCTGCCTTAGCCTCCTGAGTAGCTGGGATCACAGGTGTGAGCCACCATACCTGACTATTTTTTTTTATTTTTTAGTAGAGACAGGGTTTCACCATCTTGGCCAGGCTGGTCTCAAACTTCTGGCCTCATGATCTGCTCACCTTGGCCTCCCAAAGTGCTGGGATTACAGGCATGAGCCACCACGCTGAGCCAAAAAAAAAAATATTTAAAAAAAAAGGAATTTCTCTTTCAACATACAAATTTCAACTCAATATTCATTTAAAATGTCCCATCTTGCTGAAGAAGTTTACCTATTTTATTTTATATAAAATATATAGCATTTATTTAAATATTTAAGATCGCATATCTTAACATTTTAAAAACTATTATTACATTTAATTGTAAGGTTTTAGACTATCAGGCAAGTAAGAATTCATTTATTCATGGAGCTGTTCCTTTAAGACCAGCAGAGTTAACTTCTTTGCAGTTACACAGGAAGAGATACTTGCAGCCATAGTGGTTTCTGATGTGAAGTGAATTGGTGGAGGACAGAGTGGAGGCCAGAAAATGGGGTCTACTTCCAAACTAGCCACTTCTTACAAGCTGTTGAGAAGAGATCTAACTGAAATTAATGTACCATGGGAGGGCTCACAAGATAACCAAACATTCAAACTAGAGAAGAACACTGTGAAAAGACAGGGAACCAATTATGTGCATCAGTTGTATATATATATATGAAGAGAGAGAGAGATTATTTCATCACTCAGGTATTTTATGTATATATATATATATACATACACATATATATGAACTTTAACAAACTTTTAGATATATATATGTATATACACATATTTTTCCCCCTGTTTTCTCTATATAAAAATAATAAAGGCAGAATCTAAAGTAGCTTTAGATGGCTAACTATGTGCATTATGGGGATTTGAAGAGATAATTTTGTGATAATCCATTTCGTGTTGCTTTCAGAGTGAACTGAAATTGATTTGCATGCCTGAGTGCTGACTTAGCAGCTGTGCAACTTTAAATGAGTCGCTTAACCTCTCTGACCCCCCAGTTTCCACATCCACAAAGCAAGGGTCATACTTCAGTACCTCATGGGATTATTGGGAGGTTTAACTAATGTAATATAAAAATGTTCATGTAGTATTGAATAAAAATGCTGGTTTTCCTCTTGGAAAATGCAAGAGGTCTTCCCAATAGGAAAATACTTTTTGTTAGGATTAAATGGGATACACAAGAAGGTGGTAGAATAAAGAACATTTAGTGAGATATGAACAATGATGCCAACAATCAGACATATACCTTATAGTTACAAAGAGTTCATTTATTCTTTATCTCATTATTGCTTCACCAGCATCCTGTGAATCCATAGGCTAATTGCTATGCCCGTTATATAGGGGAGGAACTGTGACTCAGAGAAATTAAATGGATTGAACAATATCACCTTCCAAGTCTATAATGGAGCACATTCTTTTTGACCAATAGTCTAGTGCTCTTTACAGTACTCTAAGATATCTATACATTCTCCACAGTTGCCAAATACCAAGCAGTTAAAAGTCTAATGGATTCCAAAATTGTATCTCAAAACATAGCTCTGTTCTCAAATTTCCCATGATTCCTGGAAAGACAATAATATCTATGGAATTAATAGAATGACTCTTTTTTGGGCAATTCCAAACTATTCCTGGACTCCTAAGGACCATGCTAAGCTCAATTTGCATTTCTTGCATTCTATGAACCAAAAATATTGTTTCTAATGTCAAATGCACCATGTTTTGTGACTATGCCATTTAGTGTTTAGCATTTCCTGAATTGAAGTTACTCCCTCCAACTACCATGAAAAGTTGGATTTGTTCTGTGTAGCCCAAGGTTTACATATTTCTGCCCTTTTTAGGTATCACAAATGAGCATCTCCATCCTTCGGTCAATACTTAGTGCATTCTGTGTTAGGGTGTCTATCTCTGCAGGCATATATTTTCTCTCCCTTTTGAGAGTGCAAGTTCCCTAAAGATGGAAAGTATACCATACGTCTGTACTCTCAGGCCTAGCTGAGAGGCTAGCATTACATAGCTTTTCAATACAATGCTTCTGCTTTCGAGATGCTATTCAGAGTTGACTTCTCAGGAGAGATTCATTCCAAAACATAATAAAAAGGTCAGTTTTAGAGTAAGCAATAACTGTTACCTTCCTCCCTTTATAGTGAATGATCTCTTGAGAATTCTTTCTTAGAGAGAGACAATTGCTAGGGAGATAAAGGGTGCTTAGGAAAGAACTAGTAATTACCATGTCAACCTGAAGGTAAAAAAACCTAAAATAGGTCCTACTCTTCAACCATTACCATGAGTCTATCGAAAATTAGGTCTCAGACCAGAACAGATCAAAATATTTAGTGCTCTCTAGGGAAAAAGCTTTTGAGATAAAGTGGAATTTCTTATTTCTAAGAAGTAGGAAAAGAGTGTTTTGTTTGGTCTCTACAAATTATAGTTATTTGGTTTCAGCCTGAACAATCACCACAAGCAAATACTGGCAGAAAGAGTCTCTACAGGAGTGGTCAAAAAAGTCAGTTTTCATTTCCTTCCAAGCCCTAGTTTGGCTGATCCATCCACAGAAAAGCAGAACAAAAGGCAAGGGATTACTGCACCCTTAAGCATCCAAGTGGCTCATTCGGCTCAGGGGTTATTTTTAGCAATCTGGCTCACACTGAGGGCTTCCTGCTCTATTCAGCAAATGTGCAAATGGATGCTGCAGGACCGTAACAGTAGACATTGATGAAGGTTGTGATCAATGATTAGACTCTCAAGCCTGTTGTGTTTTTGATCTAGCCATGCCTTTCAACCACTGTGGTGAACATTTACTTCTGAATAGGCTCATCTTCTTCATATGCACATTCTATTTGTAGATGTTGCTATGAGGACAGATTCATCAAAAATGACTGACGTGGAGTCTGGGGTCGCCAATTTTGCATCTTCAGCAAGGGCAGGCCGCCGGAATGCCTTACCAGACATCCAGAGTTCAGCTGCCACAGACGGAACCTCAGATTTGCCCCTCAAACTGGAGGCTCTCTCCGTGAAGGAAGGTAATACTCAAAATCCTCTTACAATTAACAGCACTTGTCCCTTCTTAACCAAGCCTTTTCTCTGGACAGTCTTTCTTTTATCTAGTTAAAAGTGCTCAGTTTCCTTATTTGTTTACTTAAACCTCTCAGCTTTTGTTTAAGGCTTAGTAGATGTTCAGCCTTTTCCAAAGTAGAATATTTCATCTTTTTTCTTATGCTGTGTATGTGGAAACTGAAGTTTTATTTATTCATTGCATGTGTATAGTCATGCACAAAGCTAGTAATTGGGAATACAAAGGTGAACAAATATGATCTTTCTCTCAATGAGCTTTCAAGTTTATTAAGAAGTATTCATAAATAAAATAATTTTTCTTCTGCCATCCATTGACAAATCACTTTGGAAGCTTCTGCTTCACTGTAGTGTGCTACAAGCCCTTTAATTTTCAAATCTAGGAAGAAGTTTACTATCAAGTAGAGATGAGATTCTTTCAACAGAATTTTTGTATAAAAGGTGATACTTTATATGAAAGTATAAGGATACTTTAAATAAAGTGTTAAAAGGTGCCTTTCATTTAAAAACCCTCATGGAGATTTAAAAAAACAAAACAAAACCCTGAATCAAAGTTAAAAAATACACTCAGAGAGATTAAAGATCATTTTAGTTCCAAGCCATTAGCAAAATACTCACGTTTTGTGCCCCATTTTAGACTCTCAGGTGGACTCTAGTGTATGTTTGGGAATTTATTCTTGGTGACAATGAAGCAAGTGAGAACCAGAAGCCGCTTGCATCTAACCCATTCCCGGGAGCCCAAGAAGAAGGCTCTTGGTTCTTTGCTTCAGGAGGTTATTTACTACCTGGTAAAGTTGCAAATGTTCCTGGTTCATTCTCTATGAAATAGTTATATCCTTGTAGGCCAGGAGCTGTGACCAGATCCTGCAGTTCCATGATTACCTCATCTTTTTCCAAAGGCCACTATTTCTCATATGCAACACTATAGGTGAGAGTAAAAAAGCATACACATCAACGTAAAATATTATAAGAAGAATGAAAAGAAGGAAAAGATAAGGGAAGAAAGAAATAAACATATATGTAATGTTTTTGGCCTTTTAAGTTTGAAAATGTAATATGACCATAGGAAGATGTCGTTGCTGTTCAAGAGTCCATTCTAAACTAGTGAGGTAGAGAAGGCAATTACTTGTTCGTGTAAAAACCGTAATTAAATTTTATACACCTTCAACACACACAAAACCTTAATGTTTACTGACATTACTTAATCAAGCAAAAGAGAGCAAATACACTGTGGGAGAGTCAGCAGTGTTCTCCATTTTATTTTGGTCACTAGAGAGACTAGGATCTGAAAGAATATGTTCCTGTTTTTATATTTTTCTTCATATCATTTTGAAATAAAGTCAAAGGCATCAATTAAGAAACTGAAAATGTTAAAGATGAATTTACAAATAACACCAGATGCTAAAGATTACACAAAAGGGTGAAGGCAAGTTGTAAAGTGAAATATGCCAGGCACAGAAAGGTAAATACCACATGATCTTATTCATGGAATCTGAAAGAGACAAACTGCTAGAATCAGAGAGTAGAATGGTAGCTACCAGGAAAATTAGGAAAATGATGGTCAAAAGAGATAAAATTACAATTAGACAGGAGAAGTAAGTTCAGGGGATCTATTGTAGCAACATGATGACTATAGTTAATAACAATGTATTGTATACTTGAAGATTGCCAAGTGAGTAGATTGTGAGTGTTCCCACCACACATACACACACACACACACACACACACACACACACACACACACACACACACACACAAAGTATGTGAGGTAATGGATATGTTAATTAGCTTGATTTAGCCACTCCACAATGTATGCATGTATCAAAACATCATGTTGCACAACAACATAAATATATATAATTTTTATTTGTCAATGAAAAATTAAAGAGTAGAAAAAATACACAGAAGGATATAGGCTTACATAGGTAGATGACATAGATAATATTTTATTAACAAAGTCACAAGTAAGCAGTTTGAAGGCTTATTTTTTTCTCATTAGCTAAGCATAGATGTTATTATGAATTTTAAAATGAATGGTTTCCAGTTGCTAATGAAAACTGAAAGCGGGAGTCTGTCTCAGATGTTATGGTTTCAATAATTTATTCACTTAAACATACAAATTTTGAGGTGAGGAAGATCTGCAGATTTCCCTCAGATCTATCCTTTGTTTTTATTTTTAATTTTTTTAATAAATATGCCTAAGTGGCAGGAAATCTAGGATTTCAAGTGTTTTGCATGCTGCATGAAATTAACCTGAGATTTGCCCAGTTCATAATCTGTCTTAATCTATCCCTTATAAATTGATAACCATGATAAAAAGGTCAATGATATTTGATGACATATGAACAGGAGGTGACAGAGGGTGGCATCCTGGGATGGAGAAAGATCAGTGGATTTGGGATATGTTTTATAGGCAGAATCAATAGGACTTGCTGATGAATTGGATGTGGCAGAGATGAGGAAGAGAATTGGAGGATAACTCCTAGAGCAGTCAGGCAGGTGCTGATGCCATACACCGAGAAGGGTTAGCCTAGAGGATGGGCAATTTTAAGAGTTGGAGGAGTGAAAATTTTTGTCTTCAGGATGCCTACGAGACATCTAAATGGACAAGTCAATGAAGCGATTTGATATATAGGTCTGGTGGATCAGACGGAAAAAGTTTCTGAGATATACATTTTTGAATATTTGAGTGTATTTTTTTTTTTTGAGACGGAGTTTCACTCTTGTCTCCCAGGATGGAGTGCAATGGCGTCATCTTGGTTCGCTTCAACCTCTGCCTCCCGGTTTCAAGCGATTCTCCTGTCTCAGCCTCCTGAGTAGCTGGGATTACAGGTGCCCACCACCACACGCTGCTAATATTTGTATTTTTAGTAGAAACGGGGTTTCACCACGTTGGGCAGGCTGGTCTCAAACTCCTGACTTCAGGTGATCCGCCTGCCTTGGCCTCCCAAAGTGCTGGGGTTACAGGCATGAGCCACTGCGCCTGGCCTTGAGTGTATATTTTCAAAACATATTTTATATGATTGAGGAGAAAACAGTGCAAATGAAATTATCCCATACCTGACAAGCCACATGAGTAGATTACCTTTTCAGTACAAATGGAACCACAGAATATGAGAAGGAAAGACGGAGCCTTAGAAGTCCTCCACTCTTTTGATATATAGATGTTACCATAACTAACCCCAAACAGGTTAAGTGACTTGCCCAAGCTCACAAAAATTAAGTGATAATAGAATGTCTGGTTCCAAAGCCTTCATCTTTCCCATTATACCAATTTTTCTCTATAAATGTTTCATAGAAATTATTTTGGGTGTTAATGTGTCACCCAGAAAAAAAGGGTGCTGTAGTCAAATGAGTTTGGAATTGCTGGTTTCAACATAATTGGCTTTTTACACTTCTCGGAATGTTTCCTTTTTAGACAAGGACTTCTCAGAGCCTTTGTTACAGAGACTTTAAAGTAATAGTGTGTCTACACCCTTCTAAAAATAGAACATACAACATTTTTTTCTCTCATTTATTTGGCCATCTCTGAAGAAGCATCTTGCAGAATTATTGTTCTGGGAGGCACTCTAAAAATGTGACAAGGAGTAGAAAAGGCAGTTGATACAAAGAAGAGCAGAACACAAGGATGGAAATAGGAAATGTAAAAAAATAGACTATTATATCTGATTTATATTAAACGTATATTAATGAAAAGCCTAATTTAGTAAACAGTTAAAGTGGTATGTTACCTAAAAGATATATAATAAGGATCTCAACATAATATTTATATAAAGTAACATGTTACTACATATATATATATATATATGAGAAATGTTTTTCCAAGCTAGGCTTCTAGAGAACAGAAGAACCAAGCCAGATAATCTAGAACTCAACATTTTCTTGCTTTCCCAAGAGTTCTTATTATGATCAAAAAAGTGAGATAAGTAACAGTTCAAAATAGCTTATTCACATTTGAAATGACAGTAACAGGCTTGAAAGGGAAGTTTGATGTTGCACTCTCAGAGAAATTATGTTGGAAGAATATATTGAAAATATATTCGATTACATTGAAAGCACTTGACATATGCAGAAGGTTGAAGAATAACAGCAATGTTAACTAGGAAGCACATAATATATGAAAAATCATTTTCCTTTCATTAACATCACAATACAAAATGTTTTCCTTTCATTAACATCACAATACAAAGTTGACAGCAATCATAACCTCTTGAGCAGATTATTGTTTCTTTTTATCTGCAATCATCTTTGAATGTATTTCTAAACACTTTCACATTACAAAGCAAAAAATGAGACTATAAGAGGTATTTGGAATCATGTTTTATATTTTAGTTAATAATCCTGAGCAAGATACTAGATTGACAATAAATGATATCCTGTTAGTTTTCATCTAATTATTATCTTGAGTTCCTAGTTCATTTCACAGAAAGATAACAACTTAAGGGGACTTCATATCATCTTCTGCTCATTAGACCAACTTAGAGATAGCAGATATAACAACTCTTCTCTGAAAGCTATAAAGCTTTGTGTGTAGCTTGCTTAGAATCAGTGGTGGCAAGTGCAGCTTCAATTACTGTGCAAATAATTTAGTGTTTTGTATTTCATATGGTTATAGAGTACCATTTTCTACCAAGCTTATTTTTCTAAGGGATTTCTTTCAATAAACACTTATTAAGCACCTGCCATGTTAATTAGAAGGCAACCAATTATGATTGTTAGGGTGCAAATTCTCCCTTGATCCCAATTCTCCTCCAGCTACTGTCCTAGTTCTCCATTTCTGTTTTGTAACAAAACTCCTTGACAGAGTTATCTGCTTCTGTGGCTCCAAATCTTCTGCGTACCATTCTTTCTCTCACCCTAATAAGATTTTCACCTCACCACATCACCCCACTGCTATTTCAAGATCACAAATGACATCATTTCTGCTAACACCAGTGGTTCATTCTTAGCCATCCTCTTGCACGATCTCTTAGTCACAGATGATTGTCACTCTTTCCTGTAACGTTTCTCTTCCCTTGGCTTTCCGGACACTCCACTCATCTGGTTTTCTTCCTGCTTCCCTGGCTGCTCCTCCTTCAGCTTTTCTTTCCTCATCTCCCCTAACTCTAAATAAATTGGAGGTTATCAGAATTCAGTCTTTGGACATCATCTCTATCAACACTCCCTCACTTGTGATGTAATCTGATTTCGTTGGGATAATGATTGTGCTTTTGATGACTTACAAATTTTTGTCTCCAACCTGGAGCTCTCCTGAACTGCACACTCATATACTAATTGCCTAATTGGCGTCTCCGCTTGGATATCTAATGGGAATCTCAAACTTAATGGGTATAAAAGCGAACTCCAGATAGTCTCCTGACAACAGCTCTTTCTGCATTTTCCCATCTCTGAGTGGCAATTCATACTTCCAGTTAACAAAATTATTGCCAAAAATATTGGAATCATCCTTTTCTCCCCTCTTTTTCTCGTATTCTCCATCCCATCTATCAGTGAATACTGTCAGCTCTACTTTCAAAATTGGTCCATAAATCTGCCATTTTTCACTCACAGGATCTAGTTTTTTTGGTACCTCTATGACTCCATTTTCTATTCCAATTTTCTCTACCACTGTCCCGCTTGCAAATCCTTCCTGCATATTATTGTCTTTGGCTTTGTTTTTCTCTGTGCTTGGAATGCTCTTCTCCCCACTATCTATATAGAATTCTTCTTCACCTTTTCAGGCCTTTACTCAAATGTCCCCTTCTCAGTGAGGCATTCCCAGCTAACTCTGTCTAGAATTGCATCCTTCAGGCCACAAGACTTCTTGAAAATTTCTATTTTCCACTCCTGTTTTAATGTCTTCATTAGCCCTTTTTACTTCTTATTGACCACACATTTCATTTATTTTGTTTATTGTCCATATTTCTCATCAGATTTTCCTTGAGAGCCGGGATTCATGTTTTGTTCATTGCCTTGTACGTAGTACATGCTTAATAAATATTTGATGAATGAGAGTTGAAGAACTGAATAGAGTCCATCAGATTTCAAAGATACCATTGATGACTTGGTAGGAGCAGTTTTGCAGGAGTAGTAGACCTAAATAGTTTCACTTAAAAACGGAGACAACAAAAGAGGGATACCTTTTAAAGGATGAAAGAGAAGATAGTATGTGGAAGACTTACAGTTGAAAGAGGGTCTTTGTTAGTTTAAAGACAGTAGTGACTTGTGGGAACGAAGGAGCCAGGAGAAAGGGAAAGTCAGGTAAAATGAAGAGCGCAGATGATTATTAGAGTCAGCCTCTTGATGAAGCAAAAATGGATAGGATGGGGGATCATGAAGGTATTAGACTGCATAGCAGGAGTAACACCAGGAGCCAGCTCCAAAATTGTGCAACCAGGGTGGTTGCATAGGGCTCCTTGATTAGAAGAGACTTGCATTTGGTTTAATGTTCTATTCTTGCTGTCTTGAAATTTTTCATTATTTTTGAACAAGCGTACTGCATTTTCATTTTGCACTGGGCACCAACAAATTACATAGCCAGTGCTCACAAGTGCATCTTCCATTGTAAAAAGAGGGAAGGCAGAAAGAATAAGCACAGATCACGGGGAGTTTTAGATATTTAATGGCAGGAAGTTGAGGGAACTCCTGTCTGATAACTTTGATTATTTTTTTTTCCTATGAAGTAGAAAGTGAGGTTGTCTCCTAAGAAAGAGCAAAGGGAGTAGAAAGTGTGAAGAAGCTGGGGAGAGTGCAATCCTGCATAGGGAATTGGCTAAGGACATACACCACGGAGTCAGTTGGCCCAAGCTCAAGTTGTGACTGTCACTCACTAGTCTCTGACTTTGGACAAGTCACTTTACCTGCTTGTGTTTCATTTTAGTAATCTGTAAATGGAGGCTCTGAGAATACCCTAGAAGACTGTCTGGCACTTCATAACTCTGTAGAATAGGAGAAAGTTGATCAGGAGAAGGTAGATTCCCAAACCTACTCATATCGCTCTTCTTTGTATAGTTTCCATATCTGAATTGAGGGCAAAATATGGACGGTGGACAAAGGAAAAACCAATGGTTTTATTCTAACATAATACAAAATAAATTTCAATATATTCCACATATGAATGGAAATTTTTTTTTCAGATGCAAAAGAGAAAGATGAAAAAACAACACAAGACCAATTGGAAAAGCCTCAAAATGAAGAAAAATGAAGGCTCATAATCTATCAAGAGTGCTGAATTTCTGCATGTTGAAAGACTTAGTGGTTCTGTTTTCTTGAGACATTTAATCTGGTGGTAACTGTGGTAACATTGCAGCCCTAAGCAGCATGTGTATATTAGATAATTGTGTTGTGATGCTACTCACTTTGATTGCAATGATGATGTCCAAGGTAAGCTATTAAAAGGCAGGTTACTTCCAAATCGCACTGAAGGAAAAGGTTAAGAATAATACATGATCACAGAAATGCATACCACTGTCTGTAAACCCAACAAAATTCACTGTTCTCTTTTGGATTTATTTAGCCTGATGTATTTTTAATTCAATTTTTATGGTGATGGGCAAATCATTCTTGGTAAATGTAAATCAAACATGATTGATTTAAAACTTCATGGAATTTGTAGAAAATTATGGACATTTTTGGTGAGAAAGAACAATAGTCAAAACTCACATGGATAGAGTGTGTTTGTTTTTTGCCAAAAATGCCCCAGACTTTTTCCCAAACCTCAAAAACGTCTTGGAAAAATTGTAAAAGTTTGATAACAGAAACATCTTTAGGATATTTTTGTCTGACATATTTTGCTTCTAGTATGTGCCTACTGTGATTTTTTTCATGTGGAAAATGCAAAATTTGTAACAAAATGGTTATATGGAACATGCCTATTAAATGAATTTTACTATCTTCCCTAACTTTGGTCTGTGTATGTGTGTGTGTTTTACTTTAATATGAATTATACAAAATACTAGTTGTTTTACACTCTCTTTTCTTATTCTTAGGGCTTTTGTGTATGTCTGACTTGTTTTTAAATAACTTCCTCAGCAATGCAGACCTTAATTTTTATATTTTTTTAAAGTAGCTAACATAGCAGTAGGCACTTAAGCATTTAGTCAATGATATTGGTAGAAATAGTAAAATACATCCTTTAAATATATATCTAAGCATATATTTTAAAAGGAGCAAAAATAAAACCAAAGTGTTAGTAAATTTTGATTTATTAGATATTTTAGAAAAATAATAGAATTCTGAAGTTTTAAAAATGTCAGTAATTAATTTATTTTCATTTTCAGAAATATATGCATGCAGTTATGTTTTATTTGATTGTTGACTTAGGCTATGTCTGTATACAGTAACCAAATAAACTCTTTCACTATTAAAGAGATTTCTTACTGACACAAGTCTCCTTCATTTTATCTTCAGAAGTAGGCTGAGTAAAAAATGGTGACACATTTTATAGAATGAAGTTAACAGTCTTTGCAATATAAATCACCTCTGGCTTATTATTTAATTGACAGAGCTTACCTTTATATCTTATATACACCAAAGGGGTAGATCTCAAAGAACCTGATTGCTTTAAGTTTTCAAATATAATTTTTTCTTTATTAAATAATCAAAAGTAATATTTTAAGTGTAGCACTAATTTAATATTCAATAACATTTATCACAGCCATTAAAATTATATTTCTAAAAGTTATTTAATGACATGAGGTTTTATAATCAGATAAAGAGGGGTTAGAGTGGAACAGTGGTTTTCAGCATGGATGGGGAAGAAATTTTGCCCCCTAGAGGGCATTTGACAATGTCTGGAGACTTTTTGGCTGCCACAACTGGAGGTGGAAAGCAAGGGAGAAAAGGTGCTACTGTAATGTAGTGGGCAGAGGCTGGGGATACCGCTAAGCTGCTAAGCATCTTACCATTCCACAGGGCAGCCCTGACAGCAAGGATTACCCGGTCATGTGTGTCAACAATGCTGAGGTTGAGACACTCTGGAGTAGAGTTAAACTGTTAAGCATATGGATTTTAAATTCAGATTATCTGGGTTTGAATTCTAGCTCTGCTACTCAGTAGTTGCGTGATCCTGGGCAACTTACATCATGTCTCTAAGTCTCAGTTTTATCCTCTGTGGAATGGTTTTAATAATAGCGCATACTTTATAGGGTGGGTGGAGGCAGTAAATGAGATAGTATATGCAAAACAATTGAATAATGCCTGGCAAAGAATAATTATTCAATAAATATTAGCTATCATCATCATCGTTGTCATATTTATTCAAGATGCTCTTGCCAATACTGTGGTAGTGGAGGTGGTAGGAAGCTCAATTTGTTTATTTGTCTGTCTTCTGCCTTTCTCTGTGACTTCACAAAATCTCTGTGATATCCCCAATGCTTGGTGCTGGGAGAAAACAGGATGGTAGAAATAGACAATTCATGGTAATTACCACATGAATGCTAATTCAATCATGCTAATGGGTGACTGACAGGCCATGAGTATTACCATTTAACAATGAGTCTGCTCACTAGTGTTTTATGACAGTTACTGCAAAAAAATAGAATCTTGAGTCAGTATTTAAATGAGTAATTTGTTCCATGAAAATGTAGAAGAAATAAAGTAACATCGTTCTTGGATCATAGTTTTCTACAATATTTTTCTCATTTAGAAGACCAAAAGTAAAGCCATGTCCCTCCTCATTATTGCTAACAGTTACATATATTCTGAATGATATATATTCTAAATCAATTATTCACTACAATGCACACACAAACGTTCCATTATTTTGTATTACCCAAGGTATCAGGCTTGTTCACTGAGAATATGTGCTAACGAAAATGGTTTATTTTCCCTGAGGAGTCCAGACAAAGGAGAATGAGAGGTCAGTAGCAGTTTAAAGACAACGCTGAATTTGCCTACCAACTTTTTAAAAAATCAAGCTATTTTGAGGAACCTATGGTATTTTGTCATAGCAAGTAGACACTTTTACCAAAGCTATTTATTTGGGACTTATTAAAGAAAGTCTCCTTGCCCATTTTGCCATTGTCTTTGTACAAGGCACTTGCTTTAGTCAATAGCTATGAAGTCTAAATTAACACTGTCAGATAATCAGGCTAAAAGGTGACAATAAAGCTATAAAGCAGCTGTCTGAAAACTTAACTCTGTATAAAGGAGAAAGAACAAAAAGAATCTATTCTGTGTCATGTACCCAGAGATATTTTGTGTTCTGGGTAGAAAAGATTTGAACTTTCTTAAAACGTTAGTGAGTATAAGGGGAGGTGCCCTACTTAGAAAATAAACCACTAGTTTTCCTCAGGTGGCTTGACAACTTGGGCAGATGTTTGGCAAGGGACAGGGGGATAGAGAGGAGCCAGAGGAAAATGAAAATTCTGGTGTTCTATGCCACTGTAGAATGACTATACTTAGTAATAACATATAATTTAAAATAGCTAGAAGGGGCCCTGTGCAGTGGCTCACACCTGTAATCCAGCACTTTGGGAGAGCAAGGTGGGTGGATCACTTGAAGTCAATAATTCAAGACCAGCCTGGCCAACATGGTGAAACCCCGTCTCTACTAAAAATACAAAAATTAGCTGGGTGTAGAAAAATAAAAATTAGCTTGATGTGGTGGCATTGTCCCAGCTACTCGGGAGGCTGAGGCAGGAGAATCACTTGAACCCAGGAGACAGAGTTTGCAGTGGGCCGAGATTGTGCCACTGCACTCCAGCCTGGGCAATAGAGCAAGACTCTGTCTCAGAAAACAAAAACAAATTAAAATAAAATAGCTAGAAGGAGGATGTTGAGCATTCTCAACACAAAGAAATGACAAATGCTTGAGATGATGAATATGCAAATACCATGATCTGACCACTCTAAATTGTATGTATCAAAACATCACTATGTACCCCATGAATATGTATAATTATTATTTGTTAATTAAAAAGTAAAATAAAAAAAGGATATAACCAAAGCTCACTAATCTGTTACCCTGTCTGTGGAGCCTGGCCCCTCAAGTTCAAAGTACAGCTCTGCCATTTGCTCTTATGATTTTGTTCATTTTATTCCTTGTGCTTCCATTTATTCAACATGTAAAATGATAAATTATTATGAGGATTAAGTGAGTGAATATTAGTCATTGATAAGGGCAGTGCCTGGCATACTAGCAAAAACTCATATTATTATTATTTGCCAGAACATAAAGGATGATAAAGACTTTAAGTTGAATGTTCTAGATCTGTTGATTTTTTCCTATGTTATTTGCCAGTATAGATTTCCTTCTATTCTTCTGCTCTTTTCTTTCCGCTAGCAACACCTCCGTGGCTAAAAACAGGACTGATTAATCAGACTGAGTCCCTTTTTTTTTTTTAGTGTTACTGATGACAACTCTCAGAACATTAAAAATCTGCAGCCAGTTAAAAACTGGAAGCGTTGGCTCAAACAAAGGGCTGGGGCAATGTTGTTGTTACTTGTTAAAATCCTAGAATGGATTTCTCAGTGGGCACACATCAACAGAAGTCATCATCATAGGCCGGGCGCAGTGGCTCATGCCTGTAATCCCAGCACTTTGGGAGGCCGAGGCAGGCGGTTCATGAGGTCAGGAGATCGAGATCATCCTGGCTAACATGGTGAAACCCTGTCTCTACTAAAAATACAAAAAAATAGCTAGGCATGGTGGCGGGTGCCTGCAGTCCCAGCTACTTGGGAGGCTGAGGCAGAAGAATGGCATGAACCCAGGAGGCAGAGGTTGCAGTGAGCTGAGATCATGCCACTGCACTCCAGCTGGGGCAACAGAGCAAGACTCCGTCTCAAAAAAAAAAAAATCATCATCATAGCCAAATTTCTTGTGACTGGTGATTACTTAGCACATAGTAGATCCTTTTGAATCTTCATAAAAAATCATATAAAATAGTTGTTAATGTTTCTCATTTTTACAGATGAAGAAAATGGATTCAGAGAGTATCTTTGAGAGTTCACACAAGGAAGTGCAACAGTGACTTAGGACAGGGCTCTCAGAGTTTGGATGTGCACAGCCTCTCTTGTACCAAAAGTCCCCTCTTCCCCAAACCAGCTCATTCATGAGCATATTAGATTTGTCTGAATTTACTCAAAATTCTTAGGGAAATTTAAAAGTTGTATAAGAAGAATAACATATGAGCCAAAATGAGCACTGATATCTCAAAACAGCAATTTTATTTATTTATTTGGCTTTATTCTTTCATTAACTCATATTTTACCTCATTCCAGAAATGATTTTATATGGCAAGCTGTTGGTATTGTTGTCATTTAATTTTCCATTAACTTGTAGAGCCCTGAAGGAGTGCAGAGTTGGTGAGAAGACTGGGATTCTTTGGGGTGGGAAGTAGTAGCTGGAAGAGAGGCAGAGAAGAAAGGCTCCCCATCCTTGGCTCGGCTCACATTCAGCTTGGGGCTAACCATGGTTGTGAAGAGGGCACATGGACATTCTGAGACACAAACTGCATCTGGCATGAACTAACTATGAACATTTTTAGAGAAGGGCCACATAGGTAAGTGAAATCATCTCATTTGTTCCTCAGTGATAAATTTCAGAGGCTGAATTATTTTTGGCAATGTTGATGGCAGAGAAGCATCCGAAGTGCCAGATGGGTCGCTACAGAGACCTCAGGGAACCATAAGAAAGCCAGAAATCTGAAGAAAAAAAAAAAAAGTCTCACCTTAGAGTCTGTGGAATTGAGCTCTCATAGTGCTTTAGGCATACCAGATATTCAAATAGTCCTGTTTTATAACGTATTTGTCACCTAAATTGAATTTCCATTAGTGGAAGGGATTTGTTTTTTACATATTGCCTTTCTTTGATGTAAAATTGTGGAGAATAATAGGAGAAAAAGCATGGGGCTGTCGTCAATAAATGCGGATTTGGTTCCAGGATTTTGACCTAAATTTAACCTATATTGACTACGTGCCTTTGGGTACATTATTTTCACCCTGGGCAGTTTTTCTTATTTGAGAGAATTATTCAAAACTGACACTAGGTGGTGCTCTGCTCCCACTGGCTCTACAAAAAATTTAATCGAGGCATGCCTGAGGTTTCCAGTTTGTTTCACCAATTCTGCTACATATGTTGGTCAGGATTACTGCAAAAACAAAACAGCAACCAAAACTATAGTATTTCCAACACAATTTTTTCAAGAGACACAAGAAAAATATTATAACAGTGTGCTATTCTGTGGCTACCAATTTTTTAGGATACCCTATGTTCTTAGGTACCAAAAGAAGGTGTTCTAATATAGCTTAAAAATATACTTCTCCCAAAGGAAAAATAAATCATTATGTTAAAAAGATACCTACACCAGTATATTTATCATAACACTATTCATATTAGCAAAAATGCAGAATCAACCTGTGTCTATCAACAGATGACTGAATAAAGCAAATGTGGTACAATACAACGGAATACTACTTAGCCCTAAAAAGAATAAAATCATATCTTTTGCAGCAACATGAATGGAACTGGAGGCCATCAGAAAGTTTCTGGGTTATTTTACTTAGTTACAACATGTTCTCACTCATAAGTGGGTACTAAATAATGCATACATACAGACATAGAAAGTGGAATTGTAGACATTGGAGACTTGGAAGCGGGTGGGAGTGAGATGAGAAATTACCTATTGGGTACAATGTACACTATTCAGGCGATGGCTACACTGAAAGCCCAGACTTCACCACTAGGCAATATATTCATGTAACAAGATGATACATAAGCCCTAAATCTATAAAAATAAAAAAATACACTTCTTAAGAATATATGGGGAGCAAGGGGAGGAATAGCTTTAGGACAAATACCTAATGCATGCGGGACTTAAAGCCTAGATGATGGGTTGATGGGTGCAGCAAACCATCATGGCACATGTATACCTATGTAACAAACCTTCACGTTCTGCACATGTATCCCAGAACTGAAAGTATAATGAAATAAAAGCTAAAAATAAATAAATAAAAAGAATATAAAGTCTATCACTTTTTCTGATGTGTAACAAAGAGTTCCTTTTTCTGTGTAACAGGGTCATCTGGATCTTTTTAAAAAAAAATTTAAAATAGCAATACACAAATGTTTTATTCATTAAAATCAAATTACAAATAATCCTGAGTTCTCTACAAGCTTCAATTCAAAATAGACCTCTGATGTCTTTCAAGTTTAAAGCACTGTTTTCAATTGTGACTTTTAGACTTGGAAGAGCCCCTGGCAGTTTGAACTCAAGTAAATGTGTAAATGCTATGTGAATATGTGGTTTTGTTCTTGATTTAATTCAAAATATCATCTTATTGCTTAATAGTTCCCCTTCCAATTAGAAGAAAGATTGGTGTCTCCTAAGTGGAGGAATTGGGGTTAACAAGATGATTATTCCTGTTTTTCCAAGAGCAGGAAGGAAAATAGGGAGAACGTTTTCCACAAATCCCACTGTGTGTTATGTGGGAAAGTTGAATGCACAAAGGGGACGCTGGCCAGGTAGTCTTGGTGAGGTTCTATTGGGGTGAGAGATTCTGAGCACAGCTTCTGAAATCTCTGGAGTGCTTTCGCTCTACAAGAAGATGTACATTCAGTGACAGGCCCACATGTGGGTAGTTAACAAGGGGAAGGAACAGATAGTATATAACTAACCCTTAGTATGTATTAAAACTGTTCTCAGTGCTTTATGAGATTATTTAATTCTCACAATAGGCCAACATATGAGAAAATAGGCCCAGAGACGTACTGTCCAAGCTCACATGAGTAAATGTTAAAGCCAAGCTTCAAACCAAAGCAAGTTTGTTCCAGAATCCATGCTTTTAATCACTAATCTACATCATCTCCCCAAATGAGAGCAAACACACAGTGATACTGTTGTAAGTGCTTTATTCACATTAACTTTTAATTTTCACAACAACCTCACGACACAGGATTTATTCTTGGTCTCCTTTCACAGCTGAGGAAACTGAAGCACAGATTAGTTAAAAGGTTAAGATGATAATTAACGTTGAGGGTGTGCTTAAAGACAAGACTGCCTCTTAAAGTCTGTTTGAAGGGCACTCAGCAGGTGCAGAATTGAGCTCTGATCCCCACCACCTTCTTTTTTCCCTGGGGTTCTTCTTACTTGGGTAGATCCATGCTGCACAGCCTCCGAAGGCTTTGGTCTAAGCCTACGGATAATTTTGGTTCCTGGTGCCTCTTGTCATAGTTGGGATTAAAAAAAAAGACACTAAGTATAGAGGAAGAACAGGATACACTTCCTCTGCACTGAGCTCTACACTTTGAAAGAGCGCTGCTTTAGCAACAAAGTTCTGAGGCAACTTCACAGACACCTCCTGCTCCCTAGCACCAGCCGGCTCTCCAGGGGCACCATCTTCCTAAGTTTTCCCTTTTAACACCACAGTCAAGAAGGGCTTGGGTCTCCTCCCCAGGTGCTTGTCACCTACTGGTAATTAACGAAATGAATCATTTCACTCTTCTGATGAAACATCTGCTTCCCTATAGCAACGGATGTTTAGGCGGTTGGCTAGGAGGGGGAATGTGTAGACCCAAGGAGATACCTTATTAGTTACTTTACCTATTAGCAGAAAATGAGGTCTGGTGGCTGGATAATTGTGTCACTAAGAATGACAGAAAATCCAAAAGAAAAAGAAAGAGTGGTTCTCTTCCATTCACAGGTTCTTTTCAATACAAGTGTTCCTTTATTTCTTGGAACTTCAGTTTTCTTATATGCAAAATGAATTTATTGAAAAGCCCTCTAAATTCTAGCTAATTCTGATAGTCCCTGAATTTTGGACTCATTTTAAGAGAAATTTTGAGACAATAAAATGGATTATCAGTAATAATATATGTATTTTAACTTGCAACTAAATTAATATTTCCTTTTTTAATTTGTTTTCTATGTTTTCTGTGTTTAGTTTTCAAGCTGAAAGAAAACAGGCTGTATTATGCATACAGTATCTACAATTGCACATTCAAAAACTGAGTTATATCATTTCTCAATATTAATTGAAGAAATGATTAGAATCCCTATAGAAAGTAATGCTGTGTTCATTTACTCAATTACTTTGATGAATGCCTTCCTGAAGCTGTCCTCACTCCCCCTCATTGCTTCTCCAAGGTATGGAAATAGGCAGCCCCATACTGCCACATGTCTATGTTACATATGTGTTATACCATGTTATCCTGGGTAATGAGTCATCCTATCTGACTGGCTGGGAACCATAAGGTGTTCTCCTTCTCTCAAGATTTTTGCCCCTTGAAATAATCTTCCTGTTTCGTCTCACACCAAAGAGTCCCTATTCTTATATGCTTCTGGAGTTTCCATATTTGAGTTCTTCTGGCAATGACGGCCAGAGAGAAAGGAGAGGAAAGGAACCCACCAGTAGCTGTCTTTCTGCTGCCTGTCTGAGTACAGGTATATACAACGATGACGGGGGACATGGTGCGTGCAAACACATGATGAGCGTGAGCCATGCCAAGCGGGGACCTGAGTGAGGACCACTTACAGGTGTGGTGACAGAGGGAAGATGGACTTGGGTCCAGAAAGACGGGACAGAGAGATGGGCAGGAAAAGGGAGAGTACTTCACATGAGGAGAAGCTGAGAGACGGCAGAAGTGCACATGGGTATTTTGAGAGAAGCAGGCTGGGGTGGTTGGCACTGAGGCGCAGAGAGAAAGTGGTGGGAGACAAGAAAAACAGGGTTGGAAATGAGGCTCACAGTAGATTCTAGAGATCCAGGAACGTCAGGCTAAAGCACCTGGCCTTTATCTTGCAGGCAACAGGGAATCTTAAAAGGCTGTGCGTGTGTGTGTGTGTGTGTGTGTGTGTGTGTGGTAAACGAACGGGATGAGTGCTATCAAACCTTGGTATTTTTCTTAAGTTATATAAAATAAATTATTTTCTATTTTATTCTTAGCCAATAAACGGGATCGAGTGGCAACTAACAAAAACTAGCCAACTCTGTCAAAAAGATCTCCACATCAGAAACCAAGACCTGGAAGCTGTAAGAAGCCTGGATCCACACAAACGACTGCTTAGCATTCAAATACTCCCCTCCCAGAACACTTGATGTGTTTCTTGCATATCTGACTTACTCTGCTGGCCATCTACTGACAAAAGCAATCTCTTCCCAGATGAAAATTTCTCTGGCCCTTTCTCTTTGTTTGTTTTTGGTATTGTTTAAAAAACAGCATTTCAAATTCCTTCAGCCTTCCAGGAAAGCAGACAGATGTGTAAACTAGATTCCAAAGCACTAAGACTTCTGCTTCTTAATAAGCTGGGACACAATCATGCCCTGGAAGCAAAAGTGAATAGAATTTCCTCATTCACGAAGGGTCTACTGTTGATTTTCTAAAAAGAAACAAAACAGTAACCAGATGGTAGTTGACAGGGCAACTTTAAAGACAAGTATTTGTTTTGATCTCATTCCTAAGGGAAAGAAAGTTAGATAATTAATAGCAGGAAAGAACAGGAGAGAAAGGCTAGAGGAGAAGAAATATCAAAGATAATGTATAAAGAGAAATGTGAGGAGAAATGGATATTGGAAAATAAGGGGAAAAAATAGCCAGTTCTAGAAAAATAGAAAATGGGATGAAATGAAATATAACTGCACATTTTTCACTAAATCGTTGCCTAGGAAACAACTAGGAGTGTTTCTCCCTGTACTGAATAATCGTTGAGAAACACACTGGACTTAGGGTCTCTTGGCTTTATTGTATCAACTGGGAAACTTACGTGTCAGTCATAGTAGTTATGAGCACCATGCTTTCTATATCATGCTTCTAACAACAGAAGTAGTCAGTTTCAACAATTTTGGAGGGTAATAGCAGAGGAATTGTAAGTTTGAAACCTACAAACACAGGCAGGTTGAGACTTGAAAATCTGATTAGTCTAGGATGACACATTAGTATGTGTAACACTAAGCAACAAACCGTGGAAAAGTCAATTAGAAAAGCAGCTGAAGGCCCATTTGGCAATGTGAGATCATCTTTACAGTTTGCCTGGTATCTGTTGAAAACCAGTTTTCCATATAAAGAGCCTGGTGCACTTAAAGTCATATAGTGTGGAGGCAAAGTTTCACGTTACAAAGCAGTTCTTTATCCTCCATTAGCGTACAGCCCCTATGGATCTTATTATCACTGTTTTCCTTTTAATCTAATAATTATAAAGAACAAAAAGCATTAAAAAATGCTTTACTGCTCCCATTTGAATTTGTCTTTCCTATAGTTTAGTGAATTTTGCAGAAAATATTTATATACATTGTCTTAAATAAGCCCATCTCTATAAAGCTGTCCCTCCTCTATTTATTGGGCTGAATTCTCAGCGTGTGCGTGCAGGCAGGCATGCATATGTGTGTGTGTGTGTCTGTGTACACATGCGCATACATGTGCACTTAGAGAATTGTGACAGGGGTAGGGAAAACAGGTGTGGGAGGGATTGTTTTTCATAATGACTCATACTATCCTTTTCCTAAACAAAAGCAGGAGTTAAGAGTTTGAGAACGTTTGCTGTTGGTTGGAAATAGACCATGGTTATTTCATCTTATTTTTTTCTTCACATTAACATAGAGAAGTTTTCTATAAATTTGTAAGGTCATACATATCCTATCCTGTGAGATAGAGTGAATCCTAAATTGTAAATATTTTTATTTAGAGACAAATTGGAAAGGCATAACAAAACAAATAAGAAATTATCTCGGGCTCCTGACAAATGTTTGAATTGTATCCTTGGAATTCATTTTGTCAAACATTTACTCATCCTTGTATTGGTATTGACTTGTCACTTTCATTTATTATAGAAAAAAATAAAATCTCAGTTCATAACAGGACCAGCAGCAAAGCAAACATGACATTCAACCCTCGGCCATCTGTCTGGATCTAGGTCAAGATTGTTTCCAAAACTGGAATGAGGCAGAGAAAGCCAATAAAATCTTGATGGGTTTTTATTTTGGTTGTATTTATGTGTTTTCCTGGTTTTAAAAAAAATACTGGGGAAAAAACGGTCAGTTATAATATGTACCAT
Organism: Homo sapiens; assembly: GCF_000001405.40. Taxonomy (NCBI): domain Eukaryota; kingdom Metazoa; phylum Chordata; class Mammalia; order Primates; family Hominidae; genus Homo; species Homo sapiens. The sequence goes on from NC_000006.12 coordinate 122,736,981, forward strand.
ATCTCTGCATATTTCACAACATTTAGACATAATTTATGTATGTATATATTCTTTCTTCTAGATCTTATGTTTTAGTGAGGAAGACAGCTACATATCTTAATTCTAAGTAAATCTCACAAATAAGCAAAAAAATTTAATTCAAGAATACTGATTATCATAAAACAAATAATTGCAGAAGTTCCAATAAAAATTTGATATTACAATGTTAGTATAGTATATATCTTACCTACTGCCTCTCAGGCTATACTCAGAGATTAGCAATTAGCTGAGTGTATGTCCCTAACTCTCCTCAAATATATGAAAAAATTGGCCCAGAGATTTTTAAAAATTCTGTTCTGAAAAAAGTCTATAGATTTTTCTATTTAAAAATTCCTTATATAAAAATTAAGAAAAGATAAAACTTGGGAACATATTTATAATTACATAGATAATATAAGTGAATACAAATAAAACAATAAGAAAAGTATTAGTATTCTAATTTTAAAATAAAATTCCAGAAAGAAGTTCACAAAGGAGAAAAAACATGTGTTTAAAAAAATAATAAAAAAAACATGTGTTTAAAAAAATATACAAGTTGTTTCTGTTTTGTTTTTTAAACTATTGCATTAGCCAAAATGAACCAACAGTGCAGTGGTTAAGAAGATGAACTCTGGAGACAGACAAAACTGACTGGCATTGCTGTTCAACTTTTATAGGTTGTGGGGCCTAGGGCAAGTCTCCATTTTCCTACTAAAAATTGGAAATAGCAATAGCACCTATCTCATAGTGTGATGAATGAAGATTTAAATGAGATGACTGTTATGTGCTTAACACAGTGCCTACCATATATTAAGAGACTGATTTTAATGAATTATCGTCATTCAAGCAAGTGGAAATGTAAAATGGTACAGATATTTTAATAAGGATCTGGAAAATGTATTGATGAAATATTAAGCTGTCTTTAACATGCTTCAAATAGTTTTTAAAAACAGAAAAATGGACCTAGCAATCACAGTTTGGGAAGCACAATGAATTAAATGTTCTTATATTTTCCCTTAGCCAAGGCTGTCAACTGTTTTTTTTTTTTTTAGACGGAGTCTTGCTCTGTTGCCAGGCTAGAGTGCAGTGGTGCAATCGCGGCTCACTGCAACCTCTGCCTCTCAGGTTCAAGCAATTCTCCTGCCTCAGCCTCCCAGGTAGCTAGGACTACAGGTGTGCGCCACCACCCCCAGCTAATTTTTTGTATTTTTAGTACAGACGGGGTTCCACCATGTTGGCCAGGATGGTATGAATCTCTTGACCTCGTGATCTGCCCGCTTTGGCCTCCCAAAGTGCTGGGATTACAGGCGTGAGCCACCCAGCCGGCTGTCAATGTTTAAGCTGTTTTGACTCAATACCTTATTCTATAAGAATTTGTGTATGTATAAGCAAAACAGCAACAACAAAAAAACACTAAACAATTAAAACTCATCAATGTCTGGCAAAGGAGATGTTTTATTACTATTGTAGAGTAAATTCTGTATCTAACTTTAAAAGTTTGAAAATGAGATTCTATATATGGAAGTTAAGAAATTTATTTCACATATATTCTCTGGAGGTATATTAATTTTTAAACAACTTTTGGTAATGCCCACAGGTCTCCAAAATTTCAAGTTTATATTTTTAAAAACTCAGTATCTGCAAGTTTATACTTAAATTCAGTAAACTTCTTGATTTGTAAATATACTGACATTTTCTACTAGTCAGATAACTGAATGATTCAACCATATTGTTCACTTTTTATGTGTTATGATATTATAGAACTATGAAGTTATCACCAGTTTAGATTACAAGATTCTTGAAAGATTCTTATAGTTTGTTTAATATATTTACAATACATCTATAGCTACTGATAGTTAGGCTACTTAATCTCTAAGAAATACAGAGATATTAGGCATAAAACATATTTTAAACTAAGAAAACATCTTTTCCATTTGATGAATTATGCACAGCAAAACAAACCTGTTAGGTAACAATAAATATTCATATAAGTAATATTTATATAGATATCATCTATCATTTTTCTATATATATTATATAGCACCTTGTAGAATATTTTGACATATATTCTGAATAAAAGACTTCCAGTATATAAGATTTACAAAGGCTAAGTTAGATAGTAAGTTTTTAATTTTCTGCGAGGATAACAGAGTTTTTTTTTGTTTTTTTTGTTTTTAAACTGGCTATCATAGGTCAGGCATAGTGGCTCATGCCTGTAATCCCAGAACTTTGAAAGGCAGAGGTGGATGGATCACCTGAGGTAAGGAGTTTGAGACCAGCCTGGCCAAGGTGATGAAATCCCATCACTACTAAAAATACAAAAAATTAGCTAGGTGTGGTGGCAGGCACCTGTAATCCCAGCTACTTGGGAGGCTGAAGCAGGAGAATTGCTTGAACCAAGGAGGCAGAGGTTGCAGTCAGCCGATGTTGCGCCATTTCACTCCAACCTGGGCACAAGAGTGAAACTCTTTCTCAAAAAAAGATAAATAAATAAAAAATAAAAAATAAAAATAAAAAACTGGCTATCGTAATATGAAACTTGTCATATGTGAAACCTTTTCCTTATGATAGTTCTTAATTTCTATTAAAACAGTGAAAGGATTTAAATCTTGATTTCCAATGTATTGTAAGAAAACACTTTAATTTATTAAATTGGTATTTTTCTGTGGCTGTTTGGCAATGGAATAATTCAACTTTATTGTTGGTATGGTCTCTTAGGCAAATGATTATCAGGATTTTTAAATTTAATGATTTGTTATTCAAAATTTGCTGTTTGTAGCCAAGTAAATTTCAAAACAAAACATAAAAACAGAGAAATCTTAACTATATTTTACTTTTTTTTTTTTTTTTTGAGATGGAGTCTCGCTCTGTCGCCAGGCTGGAGTGCAGTGGTGCGATCTTGGCTCACTGCAACCTCCGCCTCCCATGTTTAAGAGATTCTCCTGCCTCAGCCTCCAAAGTAGCTGGGACTACAGGTGCATCTCACCACACCCAGCTAAATTATATATTTTTAGTAGAGACGGGGTTTCGCCATGTTGGCCAGGGTGGTATGGAACTCCTGACCGCAGGTGATCCACCAGTCTGGGCCTCCCAAAATGCTGAGATAACAGGCATGAGCCACCACACCTGGCCTATTTTACTATTTCTTACATATGAGCTAATGCTTAAGAGATTGCTAAATTAAATTGGGTATTTTTTCTTAAAAATTTGCTAAAAGGGCAGATTTTGTGTTAAGTGCTCTTATCACACAAAACAGTAACAATAAATAAAAGAGTGGGAGGAAGCTTTTGGAGGGAACGGGTATATGTATGGTATAGATTGCGGTGCTGGTTTCACAGTGTATACTTATCTTCTAATTCCTCCAGTAGCATACATTAAATATGGACAGCTTTTTATATATAGATCATACCTCAATAAAGTGGTTCAAAAAAATAAAATAGATTTTCCCAAGTACTCCATATTTCTATTATTTTTCATAAACATTGTTAATTGCCTTAATATTCTTGATGCAATTTTTAAAAATACCCATCTCTCAAAACAAAATAATTGAAATAGTGCAGTTTGTCCTGCAAATCCAAGATTTCAGATTTGCTCCACAGAACCCATGTGGTGTGAACCAGTAAGGAAGTGCAGGCAGCAGAGATGGAAGTACTGATGATGACTTTATTCTTAGTGTCATGCAATGTCATTCACATCCTATGTACTTTTACTTTCAACACTCCAATGACAACTTAAAACTCTATTATGTAGGGACACTAGACCAACACACCTTTGTTTCACTCTGTACTATACTATAGTATACCATACTATAGTATCACTCATATCAGCACTAGAAATATAAGCAAAGCTCCTTTTCCATCTTCCTCCATCCCACTTGCCATATCTAGATAGTGCCTGTTTTATATATATATATATATATCTCCATACTTAATCATCTATTATAAATGACCTTAAAGTATTCATCAGAGCTTTTTTTTTACTGCAAGAAGAAGATAGTCAATTGAATTTAAGCAAAAAGAGAGGACTTATTGACTCATGTAACTAAGTACAGAGGTGTAGCCAACCTCAGAAAAAGGGAATTTAGGGGCTTCAATAATGCTGTTGTGCTCTGCCTATATTTCTTATCTCTCAGTGTCTGTGTGGCCTTATCTGTGGCTATTTCCGGGAGCTCAGGCTTTGGCTTTGTCGACAGGGTTCATACTCTTTTCTTTTGTTCAGCTTGTCTTTGCTTGGCTTGATTTGTCACATTAGAACCAGGTATGTGGTAGGCAAGATGGCCACCTGTAACCCCAGACTTCTTACTCCTAGCTTCAACATTCCATCCCACAGGGGAAGGAGACTGTTGCCCCCCAACAGTCCCAGCAAATAATTTTTGGGATAATTTGGTCTTTCTGACTTGAGACGTGCTCCTGCCACTGAAACATCTAGCTGTGGAAAGAAGACACATTGATTTGCCATGACTGAGAGTTGTTCTCCCCACTGTGGCAAGGAATGGAGAATTGGCCCCATCTGAACCTGCAGCAGGATAAGCCCCAGACAAAAACCCCTCAGACACCGAGTTAAAGAAGGAAGCGGTATATTCAGCCGGGAGCATCAGCAAGACTCCTGTCTCAAGGGCCGAGCTCCCTGAGTGAGCAATTCCTGTCCCTTTTAAGGGCTCACAACTCTAAGCAGGTCCTCTTGAGATTGTCGTGATTGATTGAGCAAGCAGGGGGTACGTGACTGGGGGGTGCTGCATGCACCAGTAATTAGAATGGAACAGAATAGGATAGGGATTTTCACAGTGCTTTTCTATATGATGTCTGTAATTACAGATAACCGATTAGGTCAGGGGTCCATCTTTAACTACCAGGCCCAGGGTGTGGTGCTGGGTTGTCTGCTTGTGGATTTCATTTCTGCCTTTTAGTTTTTACTTCTTTCTTTGGAGGCAGAAATTGGGCATAGGACAATATGAGGGGTGGTCTCCTTCCTTATTTCCCCTGCTTTGAGAATCTCACTCAATAGTGGGAGTTCTCACTTTCATTCTCACTACGCATGTCTTCTCGCAAGACAGATCAATAGTGATTCATATAGTACACCTATGCTGAAGCATTTTGGTTAACTAAGGTAGCGATGAAGCTTTTTATCATTTGAAGAAGTACAGGTAGCAAGCAAGGGAGCAGTAAGCAGGTTCCTATTACTATTATAACTCCTATTATAAGAGTTTTAAATCCTCCTAGCCCTGGGAACCATTTTCCAAACATGGCCCCAGGATCAAATCCATGCCACACTTGCACAGGCACATGTGCCAGTTTTGTCATATCTCTAACTATGTCTTCAATTACTTGCCCTTGATCATCTATGTGTAGACAGCAATTAGTAAGGTTAAATTTTCTACAGACCCCTCCTTCAGCTGCTAGCAAGTAGTCAAGAGCCAATCTATTTTGATAGGTAGCATTTCTCATCTGAGTTTCTTGCTGGGCTAGAATAGTCAAGGCTCTGCCGGTTTTATTAGTGATTATTTCTAAGACAGCTTGTAACCGTATGATTTGGTTGATCATGTAAATGGGGGTCTGGTATCTCCATGAGCCGTCTTGTGCCCAAGTAGCATGCCATAATATTGTATGATTCTCTCAGGGGGCCATTCATCATCTTTCCAATTTCCTATAGCTATGCTTCTCTTTTTGCGGGAAGCATAGACAGGGAAGCCCAGGAGTTTGCCTGTTTTTATGGGCAGTAGGAAGAAAGATGGTTTAATAGTGCCAATAACACAACTACCTGCCCACTGGTCAGGTAATTTGGCATAAGCTCTATGCCCACATATCCAGTATAATCCAGTGGGGCTGTCCAGTCCTGGTGGGACTCTGGGTGGGTCCACATTGTTTGCAACTTTGGGAATATGCTAAATGGATTCCTCTCTGTGTGATTTGAACTCCACCAAGTGACTATTTTTGTGGTACCATTATACAGTTTCTGTCCCAGACAACTAAGTCGTCCTACGGGGTGAGTGAATTCTTTTCCTTCTCTAGCTATGCAATATTGTCCAATAATTGAGGCTTTTAGGACCCAGAAATTATCAGGGTGATTCTTTTGAGCTGGGAATTCATCAGGAATTGTGTCTGTAGGTATTAATTCTGGGGCTTCCCATGGCCATTGATTTCCCATTACAGTTCCTCCACATGCAAAACATGAAGTGACATTGAGAGACTGGGCCACATGCTCGGCTAATTGCAAAAACAAATTTCTTGTTTTTCCTGGAGTTTCTGGTACTGGCACATTTAGTTCATCATAGAAAGTTTGAAACACTGGCTCAGGAAAGCGTTTGTAAACTTCTCCTCAAACCAAGATATTTACTGGAGGATCCAGTCCAGCCCCGTCGATTCCTAAGGTCACACACTCCCCTTTTTTCCAACGAGGATGAAGGGGATTGGTTATTACTAGCTCTAAGGGGTTACATTGTCCCTTAGTGTAGGAAGGGCCATTTTTTCCTTTCTGAAGGTGGACTGGATCCTTTTCATTTTTTATCCAAGTAGCCCAAATGACACAAGACCAGTATCCACATACATTTCCACACAGTCCTAATTCATGACAAATGTACTTATTTTCGGTCATATAGCCTTTTTCCTAACTAAAGAGCCACATCCCCTTCCTAACTTATTGCTATTAATGACAGTACAGGCATCAAATTTCAAGATTATGCATTTGGGAATCCCTTTTTCTTCTGTTCTGGCTAATACTTGTATCATTTATGAGTCCTCACCAGTCTTCAGTCATTAATCTTATTTCAAAAACTGTGGACATGGGAGGCTCAGAGGGGTCATAACACACATCTGGTTGGTCGTTTCCTGGCTACATACCTTGTACTGAGTGTCATTATATAAATATGTTCCTTTTAAAGTTCCTAGGCATTCATAGTAACTATAGAACAGAAAGACTGTTTTAACTTGCTGCCCTACCTCGGTAACCTGATGTATACACTGAGAGCAGTCTCCATGCAGGGAAAATCAGTGGAAGTTTTTACTATACAAGTCCAAATTATAAGGAAAATGAGTCTCATGATGATTCTCCTCATGCTTCGGCTGTGCGTGGACCAGTCAGCTTCCGGGTGTGACTGGAGCAGGGCTTGTCGTCCTCCTCAGAGTCACTTTGCAGGGGTTGTCCAGGCTCTGTTTTGCCTCCCAGGTTTCAGTGGCTGAAAGGTTTCACACGGCTGTGGTGGATCCAGGCTGGGATTCCTTCTACCTTTACAGCCGTGGGGGTGGTCAGGATGACGGTCTGAGGTCCTTTCCACCGTGGCCGCAAAGGGGCTACGTTCCAGTCCTTGATCCACACGCCATCACCTGGAGAGTAAGGGTGAACTGGGGAGAATAAGCTGATGGGACACCTCTCATTTACCCAAGTTGAGATTGTTTGTGTAATTTTTCCTAAAGCCTGTAGCTGTCGCTGTAATTCAATTTTACCTAACTCTTGGGGAGTGCCTGGAAGCTCCTGTAGTATTGGAGGAGGCCTATGATACAGCATTTCATAAGGGGAGTATTCTATTTTCTTAGAAGGAGTGCATCTAATTTTAAACAATACCATAGGAAGGGCCTGTATCCGCTTTAATCCTGTTTCATGACATACTTTCCTTAAACTATTTTTGATAGTCTGATTCATTCGCTCCACCTTTCTGGAACTCTGAGGTCGGTAGGCGGCATGTAGCTTCCAAGTGATTCCTAATGCCTTTGCTGTCTTCTGTACCAAGTCAGCCACAAATGCTGGCCTGTTATCTGAGCCGATTCATAAGGGCAGTCCAAACCTAGGAATAAGATCTCGGAGAAGCACACGGGTTACCTCGTAGGCCTTTTCAGTTCGTGTTGGATAAGCCTCTACCCACCCAGAGTAAGTACACACAAGAACCAGCAAATACTTGTTACCTCCACATTTCAGCATTTCTGTGAAATCCACCTGAAGATCCTCAAAAGGAGCCGCTCCATAAGCTTGTATGCCAGGTGGAACAGTGGGGCCTTGCCTCTTATTGTGCTGTCGGCAAGTAATGCACTGTTGTGCTACTGCTTTGGCAAGGGCTGGCAAGAGTGAGATGTAGAAGTACCGGCCTAACAATTTTTCAAGTGACTCTTGTCCTAGATGAGTGGTTTTGTGCATGGCCAATATGATTATGGCTCCTAGCAACTGCAGCACAGCTACTCTTCCACCTGGCAGTCTGATCCATCCTCCTTTTATTACTTGCCCCTCTTCTGTGTGGAAGAAGTCTTTTTCTTCCTTAGAATAGGTAGGTACCAGGTCAGGTGTTTGAGGGAGTAAGGGGGCTGCTACTGATGCCCGGTAAGAGGTAGATGCTGCTTTTCGAGCTTCTGAATCAGCTGTAGTGCGCTATGCCAATTGGGTGTCTGCACTAAGTTCAGCATCAATATGGTGACCTCCCGGAAGCGGGGGAACAGCAGGTTGCCTAAGGAGGGGTGGACCGGCCCAGGTCGGAAATTGAGCAGGTCAAAACTCCCGTGCTGATCAGTAGTGGGATCGTGCCTGTGCTGTCAGCAGATCTGAGCTTTCTTCTTGGACACCTTATACCCACAGTCCTCCAGGTGCCAAAGCAGGGCATCCGTCCCTTTAGCACACCTGACTGCTGTGGAGTGTCCCAGCAGAAGGTTGTCCACGTACAGGAGCAAGATGCAGCCTAAGTCTTTAGCAGGAAGCTTTTGCAGGTCTCGAGCCAGGGCCTCCCCAAAGATAGTAGGGGAGTTCTTGAACCTTTGGGGAAGCCGGGTCCAAGTGTACTGAGTAGTGACACGTGACTCCGGATCTTCCCACTGAAAGGCAAACAGCTTCTGGCTCTCAGGAGCTAGTCTGATGCAAAAGAAGGCATATTTTAAGTCCAGACAGGTAAACCAGCTGTCCTCAGCTAGCAGCAGCCCTAATAATGTGTAAGGGTTAGGAACTGTTGGGTGCAGAGTCACTGTAGCTTGGTTGACCAAGCATAAGTCCTGTACTGGCTGGTAGTCCTTGGTCCCTGGCTTAGGCACAGGCAGGAGGGGGGTGTGCCATGGAGACTAGCAAAGAACTATAATTCCATAGGCTTTGAAGTGCCTGAGATGAACCTGGATTCCTTTAAGAGCTTCTCTGGGAACTGGATACTGCTTTTGTCTAATTGGTTGTGCCCCAGGCTTAACTTCTATGAGTATGGGGGCTTGGTTGACCACCAGTCCTGGAGGATTATCCTCTGCCCATACTCGGGGCCATTGCTTAGCTAGAGCTGATTTTATCTCTTGGCCTGGCTTGGTTAGAAAAAGTCTCCATTCTTCTTCCCGGGGGACCGTAAGGGCCTTGATAACTCCTGTTCCCGGTAACTTTAGCTGTAAAGAGCCCTGTTTTGTAAAGCAGATGGTGGCTCTCAGCTTGCTAAGCAGGACTCTTCCCAGCAATAGCAAAGGACAGTCAGGCATGTACAAGAACTGGTGAACTATCTTATGTCCCCACACCAAGCAGGTCCGTGGTAGACAGAAAGCCTGCTTAGTGGAAACTCCTGTTGCTCTGATTATATCAATGGTTTTCTTGGATAAGGGGGCGACCAGGGTTGTCACTACTGAATGTTCAGCACCAGTATCGACCAAAAATTTAATGTCCTTGCCCCTAATTGTAATCCTGACCATGGGCTCCTTGGTGGTGCTTGAGCCCGGTCCCCTTCAGTCCAGTAGCCCTTCAGCCAGATTGAACAAAGCTCCCTCATCTTTATCTGAGGTCTTTTGTTCTGAATCACCTTGCTTTTCCTTCAGCTGGGGACACTTATCTTTCCAATGTCTTATTTCCTTATAGTAGGTGCATTGGTTATGTTGCAAGCGTGGGGGATTAGACTGGGTATTCTTCCCGGAACCCCCCCTTTCCCTCTCCTTTCAGAGGAATTCCCCTAATGGCCGTGGCCAGTAAGTTGGCGTTTCGCCTAGCCTGGCGTTCACCTTCCTTACGGCTTTCTCTGCGGCTTGTTGCATCTCTATTCACAAACACTTGATTGGCTGTTTCCAGTAACTGTGAGGTATTCACACCTGCAAACTCAGCCTTGTTTCTGCAATTTTCTCCTGATATCTTTCACGCTTTGACTAACTAAGGCCATGTTAATCATGCGCTGATCTTCAGGGCTATCTGGATCAAAAGGAGTGTACATACGGTAAGCCTCACACAGTCTTTCATAGAATTGTGCCGGACTCTCCTCTTTTCCTTGGATGACCTCAGAGACCTTATTTACATTTGTAGCCTTTTGAGACCCTTTCTTTAGACCTTCTATTAATGTCTCACGGTACCATCTTAGCCTCTCCACGTCTGGTCCCTCATTCGGGTCCCGTTGGGGGTCTGTTCCTGGCAGCTGAATTCTTATATATTCTTGGGGGTTTTGGTAATCGGCTGGGACGTGCTCTTCTAGCCACTTAGTTGCTGCCTGGAGCACCCTTCACCTTTCATCTGTATTAAAGAGGTACATGAGCAGCTGAGGCCATCAGCCCAAGTAGGATTATGAGTCTGTATAATAGTTTGGAGCAAGTCAATTAAAGCTTGAGGCTTTTCAGTGTAAGATGGAGTATTATTTTTCCAATTGAGGAGGTCAGCAGAGGTGAAAGGTTGATACACAAAGGCACACCTTTCCACCATGTGTCCGTCCTCATCTACCCCAGTATATCGCTGCTGTCTCAGGGGCATTTGGATTCCAGTCTTGGGCAGTAAGCGAGCTGCCAAGGGAGGAGTTTCTCCTGCGGCTTCACTTCCTCTTTTGTCTACTCTGGGCGGTCTAGGGGTGTGGTTATCTGGTGGAGGTGGAGGTGCTGTGGGCTCAGGGCTTGGGGAGCCCTTCCTCTCCATAAGGAGGGGGTACTGCTGGTACCAATTCCTGCCATGATTCTTCTGGTGTTGGGTCGGACAGACTTTTGGTGCCGACTTCCCTCTGCGGGTGGAGCGAGAACCTTCCTTAACGAACTGTTCCTTTGCTGCTAGTACTGCTGCTGCCTGTCCTCTTAACCACTGTGGGGGGTCCAAAACTAGCTGTAACCAAGAATCTATATATGGGAAGTGATCTGGGTGTCCTGGCTTACAGGTTACCCTGTGCCGTACTTTCGAGACAAGGGACCTGTCCAGGCTTTCTTCTGATGGCCAACCCACCTCTATGGCCAGTCTATCTCACACAAAGTTCTAAGTTTTCCTGGTATCATGATGCCTCTATAGTCTCCCTTAAATCCCTTTTTGAAATTTTTCAATATAGTTCCTAGTGGGGTGGGCTTACTTTGTGCCTGACCCATATTTCCTCGAGACAAAACACCACACTCACACCACACGCACACCACAAAATGAAGAACGGGTAAAAAGGGCACACACACACTTTTACAGTTTACACCAAACCAGAATCAAAACCAAAATCAGAGTATCAAGAAATCCAAGCCAGGTCAAAACCAAAACCAAAGTATCAAGCAATTCAAGTCAAGTCAAAAACAAAAACCAAAGTGCCAGTACAGGCATGCTGTGGGTGATCAGGCCATGCTTCCACTCAAATGGAGTGGGCAAGTTCCAAAGACTAGTCTTACCAAGTTTCAGATGTCCGGACTCCAAGTGCCAGTTCCTTCCCGGTGTTCAGCCACTGTGTTGATCCTCCACGGGGGCCTGCCATGTGCTGCTCTGGCGAGGCATTCCACTGGGGCAATTGCCTACCCGGGAGCGCTCTCAGGATCCACGTCGCTCAAGCTGGCCAGAGTCCCCTGCAGGGATGCTCCACAGGGCAGGCCTAAGCCGCCTAAGGGGCTGCCTCCACTGTCCGTTAATCACCACGTTTCCTGGTCAGGGAACCAAGAAATGTAGCAGGACAAGCCGCAGACAAAACCCCTCAGACACTGAGTTAAAGAAGGAAGTGGTTTATTCCACCGGGAGCATCAGCAAGACTCCTGTCTCAAGAGCTGAGCTCCCTGAGTGAGCAATTCCTGTCCCTTTTAAGGGCTCACAACTCTAAGGGGGTCGCTTGAGAGGGTCGTGATTGATTGAGCAAGCAGGGGGTACATGACTGGGGGCTGCGTGCACCGGTAATTAGAACGGAACAGAATAGGACAGGGATTTTCACAGTGCTTTTCTATACAATGTCTGTAATCTATAGATAACATAACCAATTAGGTCAGGGGTTGATCTTTAACTACCAGGCCCAGGGTGTGGCACTGGGTTGTCTGCTTGTGGATTTCATTTCTGCCTTTTAGTTTTTACTTCTTTCTTTGGAGGCAAAAATTGGGTATAAGACAATATGAGGGGTGGTCTCCTCCCTTAAACCTGGTGGAATGCAACTGAAGGAGAAGGATTGGAGATCTGCACTTATCAAAACAGCAAATCAACAAAAAGGTAAACAGCTTATTTTTCTGAATTTTGAAAACATTTTATGATGCTGCCTACATTTATTAAAGAACACATGACCATAATGATAATAGTGAAAATTAAGTGATGATTAATAGTCTCTCTCTCTGTTTTTATGTGTGAATATTTCCATATTAGGAAAAAGAAGTGTCTTTGTTTCTTAAGGTCCGATGCTCCAAAATGGAATAACGTGACTTATAACCCTAAATATCTACTCTCATGACTGACACCACCCAAGATCCAGGGAATCACTTCATATATATCCTTTCCAGTATCCTATATCCTTGAAAGAGAAGGCAGCTGTATTTAAATGCCACAAATGTTTGTGGGCAGTTTCCTTGCCAGTCTGCAAAACAAATAATGCTTTGAGTGGAGGGAAGATTTGAGCAGGGGAATCATTTAGCTAAGATAAAAGACAAATTAACTTGTCAAATGATTTCTCACAGACAAGAAGAAGGCAGTAGATTCTTGTATTATAAAAGATCATTTCCCGTAATACCAAGCATACTGTTTCTTGCTTCATTTCATGTTGCAGTTTATGGTTCCAGTATTAACCACAAATCATGATGACATTCACAACAGTTGCACCTGGTGGCTGAGGGACATTTTATAGAATTAAGTTATTTATGTTACTTCTAGACATAACATGAATTGTGATACCAGCTCAACTAGCTGAAAATTGAACACGGGAATTATGAGTAGTTTGAATTGTATTAACATACACAATAAGATTTATGTAAATTTTTAAAAATTAAATAAAAACCTTAAATATTCAATTTTAAATTTTTATGTTTTATAATTTTAATAACTAATGTTGAATATTTCATGAGATAATTTTTTGAAAATGTAAAAAATAATTTTAATTTTTGAATTAGTTTACATTAATTTTAATTTGCTTTTTTGATGAAATAGTATTCAAGCTTTGCATGCACTGAATATGATTACATATTGTCTTTTCATCTTTTAGAATAATTGCTACCAGTAGATCTTAAAATAGGTGAAAATATTAATAATTATTATGAAATAATCATTTTGCTAAAATGAAAGCAAGAAAAACACATTTTATGTAATAAATAATAGATCAAAAATTAAACTTGTCTTTATTACTGATTTATACATTAATCATGCATCAACAGTACAACCAGACATGTGCAATAATAACTAAATTCATTTGTCTTTGATATCTTGCTAGTTTTCAGCCTTATGAAACCATAGTGTTTGTTACCCATGTCTTTGGATTTTTTCATTAGGAAAGTGTATTTGGCAAGGTAGGGAGATAAGACATATGTTTAATGGTATGTGAGCCTTATTTTTACCCTCCCCTGGGCCCCACTGCTGTTAAAGGAAGAACTAAACAAAGAAGACAAGAAACTTGGTCTAAACCGGAATGTTGTGTGATAATTTAAGGTGTTGATAAAAGCAGACTTTAGTCTCAGGCAAAGCCAGTGAAGAGAGAAAACTGAAGTCAGGAGTTAGCTGATGAGTGGAAGAATAAGGGAAAGTTGAGAGACTACGCTGAAAAGTTCGGATTTTGAAGCTTTGCCTGTTCTTTTGGACTGCTTGAGTTACTCTGACTTTTTCTGTGTTTTCATGCCAATTATGCTGTTATTTTCAGTCTTTATTAGCTGGTTTATATATCACCTCATAATTCCCAATAGATATCTTTAGTGGGTTCACATGTCTGTGTGAAAATTTAGGTATGCAATAAAATCATATGTATTATGAATAAATAAATATGTGTGCTTAAATTTTTTTCTTTGAGTTCTCTAGTCTAGAAGGTATCATAAAATTGTTGTCAATTAGTTCCACTTACTCTAAATTAATTCAGAATTTTTATTCTTAACCTCTGCATGCCTGTTTTCTCATCCATAAAGTGAGTACTATAGTGGTATTTACATCATAGGGTGGTTGTGAGAATTAAGTGTGTTAATATACGTAAACTACACAGAATATGTAAACTACATGCCTGGTCCCTACATAAATGTGTGCTTCTATTCTTACTGCCTCATCCTTCCTGTTGTCCCTATATTGCAGGTGATGGTGATGGGCTGTGAGGAAGCCAGGTACTGTGGGTGCATCTTGTCCTCAATTTTCACCATCTATGCATGCAGGCATCTATGCCGAGAAGTCTTCCTTTAAAGCTTCCACATAGTTACTACCACATCCTGTCTAAAAGACCCTTCTGGTTTCACTTTACACTTAGTTATTTTCACTTTTTTTGAGCACATAAGAAACATTCAGCTCGGAAATTCTGTGTCAGAGACATCTATTTAAATAATGCAAATGGCACATTCTATTATTATGCTCTGCTATGCTGCAGAACTCAACAAAGCTTTCCACCTTCCACTCCACCTGGGAACTGAGGTACAAACGCTTCAACCCTCATATCCTTCCAAATTTAAGAAGGATTTCTACCTTGTACACCTATTTCAGCACTCAGCCTGAGGAAGGGAAGCCGGCAAAGGAATCTGGGGCTCCTCAGGGCCTTGCTAGCTCCCAGGCTCTCTTGCTTCCTCCCCATCTCCCTCCTTGCTTTCCTCTCATCCCTCTGCCCCAACCCAGGTCATCTTTATTTCCTACAGATCTTATAAAACCTGAGCTGGAGGACTGGCTCTTATGTCAGCAGACATTCTCTCAGGCCCATTGTTTATATCCCTGGGTCCCCAAACCCAAATGCTTTGACTTCTGTAACTGAAAAACCACCACCCACCCCAGCTTTCCACCCCTAACCCCACCACCATCTCCCAATTTTCTTTGTTAGCAAACCTCCCCTAGCAACTTTTCTAATGTACTAATTTGATTGAGGAAAAGGCAAAGGAGCAAATATAAAAAAATCAATGATTTATATTTCAAAATGTTATTTTGTTCTAGTAACTCTGTGTTCTGAGGAAGAAAATTGACTTCTCATTTAGATGTGTTCATCCTTGCCTGCAATCTTTAAAAGGGTGAGAATTAGTTTTCTGTACAGAATCTATTTCACAAAAATAGTAAGTCCCTCAATCATGCATGCATGCACTCTGTGGTTCTATGGGTAATATTTCCTAACCCCTCTGCAGGGTTAAACCTAAATAGTGGGTTACATCTGCAATCTCTTTGGCTAGAATTGTCAACATTTTATATATAGGGGATTTCTTTCCTCTAAATGTTGGCCTAAGCCATTCCCACCCCCAACCTTACCCTCCTGGAGATATTGGCATGATGCTGGCTGAATTTCTCCTTTATGAATAAGCTCTGAGGAAACTTCTTGCATAAGGGGTGAAGAGTTGGTTTTTCTATAGATAGAATCTCTTGGACCTTTGTCTAAGCTAGTACACTTCTGAAAGTGAAAGGGGACACTTAATAATTATGCCAGGACACCATGGGTGAATTTGGATAGTCTCCAGCGAAGTAAGCCTTGTGGCTCTATTTAGAGTTTACAGACAGTGTAGTCTGTTTCCCAACCCAAAATTTTAGCCATCTCTACCCCCTCTACATTGTTATTGCCTAGTCTTTTGCCATCACCTGCTTAGTTCAAGAAAGTTATTAGTCAAGCTGAGGCTTGCATAGGGTTAGTGGTCTCTCTCTGGTTTGTTGAGTCCACTAACTAAGCCTGTGTTGTTTCCATTGTTTTTTGCTGTGGTTTCTTTAAGAGTCCCAGCTAAAGACAAAATGCCATTTTCATAAAGGCAAAGCAAAAGAAAGATGCTTACTCTAGACAAAATGCTTAGCAGCTCTCTGAAAAAAATTCTGTCTGCGAGACTAACCGTTTCTCTCTGGCTTTATAATGAAATTCCAATTCCTCTTCAAAAACAAGATCTGTCTCCCAGCAGGTGCCCAGGCCACTGCTTTCTGGCAGCCCTGCAGGGTAACTTGGGCTATCTGTATTGCTGTGCCTTTGTAGATATCTGTTTCGGAAATTCAGAACTTCAAGAATGGGCTCTAAAGATAATTTTCACCCCTCCCTAAGTGTTCTCCACTGATTTAGCAAATTGAATCTTGGCAATTTACAAGGCTCTGCTGCCTCTTGTTTCTTTCTTTACATAGACTTCTGTGCATCTACTCAGAAAATTGAAAGCATTCAGTAATTCGCTCACACTCAGTCTCATCACTGTCTACTGGTTTATCTAGAACCGTATTGACCTTGGAGTCTGCCTCCTCCCCAAGTTCTCGCCCATCTGTCACCTCAAGATGACTTGCTGTGGTGCACATATTTGTCATGGATGAGCTCCTACACACAGTGGGTACTGTCACCGATAGAGGGTCATGACTGCAGGTTGTCCAGGTTCTTGGCATTTTGAACAAAGAATTGGATAAAACGCCCAGCAAAACGAAGGAATGAAGCAACAAAAGAACGAAAGCAGGGATTTATTGAAAATGAAAGTACACTCCACAGTGTGGAAGTGGACTCGAGCAGCAGCTTAAGGGCCTGGATACAGAATCTTCTTGGGTCCAAATCCCGCCCCCCCCCCGCCCACAGAAGTTTTCCATTGGCCACTTCATGCTCACCTCATGTAACTGAAGTGGTAGCTGGCAATCAGTCTGATTGGTTGCAGACAGCTACCATTCAGAGGCTGGAGTGAAGTTACAAAGTTGCAAACAAAGACCAGACGGGCACTCAGGATAATTTGTTGCCAGTCTTCCATCTGCCACGCAGAAAAGGTCAAAGGGAGAAGCCTCTGGTCCTTTTATTACTTAGGCATGGAAAGTTAGGGTTTTCCTTTCAATTTAGTTATAGGAAGTCAGCATGAAACAGCCTTAGGTTCCCTGCCTTCAGACCCTATTCTCCTGCCTCAGGTACCATTATCAGCTCACAACACTTAGCTGTATAAGAAATATAATTTTATTTTTCTAAATTTAAACTTAGTTTTAAATAGGAGTTCCACAAAGTGGTTTCTGCCTAATCTTTTTCAATCCTAGATAAGCTCAGTTCACTTAAGGATGGTCTTCAGTTGATGAATGTGTTATATTTCATAGAGAAAATTAAACAAATATTTCCTCATCTTCTTCCACCAAACCACCAGCTTCCTGCTTCAGTGTCCACGTGCTCTGCCTTCCTCCTCCCTATTTCAATGGAAGAAATGTCTCCATGCCTGAGGCAAGTCCTCCACTGTGCTGCAGCTCTCAGACGCTTCCAACTTCTGGACGACTTTTCTGAAATGATCCACCTTTTCTTCATTTGCCCCAAGACCTTCAAGATCTCAACTTTTGTCAAAGGTTCAGGCTTCTTAAACTGAAAAACATTCGCTTTAAAACTCCTTCCTCCCATGCTCCCCATCCCCCCACCCCCCACCCACTTTTCAGTGGTAACAATGGGTGTTTTGTCCAATTCATTCAGATCATTGTTTCCTTCTGTCTCTGTGTAGCCTCCTTTGAAGTACATGTGCTAAGACTATCCTCTTTTCCGTCCCCACTTGTTAGCCTAAGAACTTCCCCTCATACCTCTTGATTTCATGAAAATTGAATTACCTGGCTCACCACCTATCTCTTAAACTCAGCATCATTTTCATAGCCCTCGCACCCACACAGAAGATCTATCCAACTCCCAGGACTTGCAGTTCCCTGGTGTCCCTTTCAATTACAATGTTCTCCACCTAAACTCACCAACCTTTCTACTGGTTATTTCCCAGGTATTGACATCACCACTAACTGTACCACTCCCAGATTCTCATTCTCTAACAATCACTTTTTTTTTTTTCCAGTTCACTACTTCCAATAGTGCTACTCCAAAAGGCTTTAACACCAGGGATTTCTAATCAATTTACTCTACCATTTCTTCCCTGTGTCCTCTCTCTCTCACTTACTCACCTTGCCAATACTTGGCTTATATGCCATGATCTATTGCTGTACTTCCTTGCATATATCATAAAGTCACTTGACCCTTTCTCTCTCCATTGTCCTCACCAAGTGAAACTCAACCCTAGCAAAATTCATCTCTCTTCCTACTCTGGGCTGCATTTGAACACTAAAAAACATGTACTTCTTTTTATTATTAATTTACATTTACGTTACATCTCATTATAATATAGTATGAACTATTATATTATAAAATATATTATAAAGTGTGAATTTTTACTTATAACCTTGATTCTTAAGTGAGAATTCAACATTTTCTACTCCTCCCAATATGTTTTGTATTTTTTTTTTTTTTTTTGAGACGGAGTCTCGCTCTGTAGCCCAGGCTGGAGTGGTGCAATCTCGGCTCACTGCAAGCTCTGCCTCCCGGGTTCACGCCATTCTCCTGCCTCAGCCTCCCGAGTAGCTGGGACTACAGGCGCCTGCCACCACGCCCGGCTAATTTTTTTTTTTAATTTTTAGTAGATATGGAGTTTCACCGTGTTATCCAGGATGGCCTTGATCTCCTGACCTTGTGATCTGCCCGCCTCAGCCTCCCAAAGTGCTGGGATTACAAGCATGAGCCACCGCGCGTGGCCTCCTCCCAGTATGTTTCTTGAATGAATACCTTCCCAATTTCTATGAGGTGCTGGGTCTGACCAGCAGACCCCAGCCAAACGACAGATGAAAAAATTCACACAGACACAGGTATCCATTGAAAGAGTGGGTTAGGGGACCAGGCCACTTAAAGACATCAAGGAGGATGCTGTAAAGAGTCACAGCGGCTGCAGTCCCAACAAGCCAGTGCTGCGGGCGTTTATACAGTACAGATTTAATGACAAAGGCTTTGAGTCAACACACTTGTGGGTAATTAACATGGCCGCCCCTCCTCCGGGGATAGAGCAGTTCTGCGCTCCCCCCTTTCCCCTCCTCTCCCCAACGGGAGAGAGCAGATGATTACAGGCCAGGTTCCTGGAGACATGAGTAAACAAGCTATTCAGATAAACTCCCCTGCATTCTTTTGTACCTACTTCTCGCCCTTTGCCCTGGGGTAAGAACCACCGCCTTTGGCTCATTCTTCCCCCAAGCTTTGCAAAACCTCCTGGCCTTCCAAGAAGGTTTGCATCTTTCTATAATTTTTATAATTTTTCCCACCACCCTGATTGAACTCCTACAGTGAGGTAACTATTTCATATTTTCCTTAACTGCTGAAATACCTTCCCCTCTTCATTCTATTAATGAAGTTGCTTCTAATTTCAATGAGAAAATAGACCCAATTAAAAAGGACTTCCTGTCGGCACCACCATGCTCACCAACATATATGCATCTGTAGCAATATAATCTGCATTCTACTCTCATCTAACCTCAAACTTCTACTTATATCCCATGTCCTCTGTTCTCTTGCTCACTGAAATGCTTTGTTCCTTCAATCCTCTCTATCTAACTACTGCCCCAATTTCTGAGTCCTTCTTTATGAAAAATTCTTTAAAGGACTTGTCGATAATACATCCCGTTTGTCTCTTCTTAGTTTCTCTTAAAGCCACTCTCCTCCAGTCTATGGAAATCACTCATCAAAGTCATCAATGACTACTACATTACCCAGTCTGAAGATCAACTCTATCTTTGTCTTTCCCAACTTCTCATCAGCACTTGACAGGTGACCACTCACTCCTTAGAGCGCTTCTTCCTTTGGCTTCTGATATATGACACTATCCTTGTTTTCCTCTCATTTCACTGGCCTCTCTTTCTCAGTTTCCTTGTCTGGATCCTTCTATTCTTCCTGTTTTATGAAAGCTGGAGAGTTCCTAAGGCTCAGGCTTTGAATCACTTCTTTGCACTGTCCACATTCACTCATGGGAAACTAAGGGTTAAGTGATCTATTAATAATTTGGTCCCATGGCTTTAAAGATCAATCATATCTTCTGGTTTCTCCTAAGTGTATATCTTAACCATAAACCTCTCTTATGAACTCCAGACTGCTATATTCAAAAGTCTACCGTCTGATATCTGCCTTGAGTGTATAATAGACATCTCAAACTTATTTCCAAGAGAGAGATACTGATTTACCCCTTCCAATCCAATTTTTTCTCTTGGTCTCCACAGTATGCTAAGTGGAATTACAATTCAATCAGTTCTCCAGCCAAAAGTCTTGTACTCTTTCTTGACACCTCACTTTTTATATGTGGGACAGCATCAGATGCACTGGGGCTGAGTAGGAATCACCGAGAAGATGACTGAAGACTAAATATCGTGATACTACTATAAAGACCATAAATTCCTTTCTGGCCCTAGGCCCCTGTCCCTGTCATGTCATGCCCTGTCCTCAGATATTAGATGCAATGTCGTAGAAGAGGAGGAGGGAGTCCTTGAATTGATTTAGCAAAACATTCAAATCCCTCAATAATCACAAATTAAACAGAGTTTGCAGAAAAGTGACTGAATAGAGCTTTCTGCTACTAGATACACATGAGAAGTTGAGTCAGTAATGAAGTTCAGATAAAAACAAGACAAAGAAATACGTTACTATATGTAGGTCTGCGCTGAAAATTTGTACCCGCTAACCTTGAGGCTTCTCTCCTACTTGTGTGGATTGCAGGCTTTCTTTCATGATTGGCTGGTTCCTTTAGGGGAGGTGCATGCGTTCCAAGGAGTCTGTTAAGGTGCCGGAATAAAATATTAAGGTACTAAAAGAAGAAAATATTAGTATTCCCGTTACTATTTAATTTTATATAAAATGAGATAGAATTTGATCTTTACTAAGATTTATATGTGGATTGACACTGGTCCTTTACTTAGACATGTGTCAGTCACTTTTCATAGTATCCTGAGGACAGAGTGAACAATGGACAGGGGCAGTCTCACTTTTCATCCATTTTACCTTACTGGGCTTTACTTCATTGCAATGCAATAAAGCAAATTAAGTAAATTTGTGAATTATATTATCTAGCTTTTTTTTTTTTTTTTTTTAATTAACAGAGTCTTGCTTTGTTCCCAGGCTGGAATGCTGTAGCACAATCTTGGCTCTATGCAAACTCTGCCTCCTGGGTTCAAGCAATTCTTCTGTCTCAGCCTCCCAAGTAGCTGGGATTACAGGCATGTGTCACCACATCTGGTTAATTTTTGTATTTTTAGTAGAGACAAAGTTTTGCCATGTCGGCCAGGCTGCTCTTAAACTCCTGACCTCAGATGATCCGCCCACCTTGGCCTCCCAGTGTTATCTAGTTTTAATTAAAATGAGACTAAAAGACTGGGAGAATGTCTGTAAAACAACTGAGGATATAAGACAATGCTAATGCTATGTGTACAGTCTAACAACAAAAGATGAGTGCTGATAGGTGTTCTATTCCTAGTGCAAGTTCTTGTCAATCAAATTCTAAGGTATAAATTTGGGCCATATAAATAGTTTTAACAAAAAAAATCGCTAAGAAAGTTCATAATTATAGGATGACTTGAAATGTGAATTTATGTCCATTGTTCCTGAAGATAATCCTTACCCTAAGTATATGCTGGGCTTTGAAATTGTAGCCAACAGTATTATGAAGCCATCTACAATTAGGAAGACAATATATAAAAATATTACTTATGTCATCTTCATCTCATTGTCTCCACATTATATTTTATATGTTTTATAATGTTCACACTATGTTAATATGGTAATATGTGCATATAAGTTATGAATAAATAAATATACATATATCAGGTTGTCAAACTTTTTTGATGGGGTAAAACATAAAAATTATTTAGGGACCACTGCTCAATAGGACAGCAATTAGCATGACTGCTTCTAAATCTTATAGTGGAAAATGGTAGAGCTACACAATGCTCTAAAGAGTTACTTAAAGAAACAAGCTCCCTTGGGACCAACATAATATTCTGTTCTCTTCTTGAGTTTTTCCTTTATGAAGTTATAAAGCAGGGCCACTAGGTTTCACATACTTAGAATGAATTCCATGCTCTCCCATTCATTAATTTATTCAAACATACTTATGAAGCCTTTCCTTTTTGTAGAGTATGACAGTACAGAGCCTAGATGTTCCTCATGGGGGTTTCCAAATCAGGTAGCAAGAATTCTTGCCAACAATTCTAAACTGTTCTCGGTATTTGGCCACAAACTTCCCCCATAGGGTGTGTGTCAGCTATGCAAATTCAATTACAGAAAGAGGTCTGTCATTGCTCAAGCTAAAAATCTAGACATCCAAATAAATTCTAGTTAATTTGGTTAAAAACTGATTTCCAACAAAGGGCTATTTTTCTTCCTTCTTCTTTTCTTCCTATTTTTCTCCTTTTGATGCATTAAAATAATGCTACAAATCATTACAAGCATCCAATCTTAATCAGGCTTAATCAGAGGATACAGAATTTAATAATAGCTAACATGGATTGAGTACTTGCTGTGACATTCTTCTAAGCACTTTATTTGTAGTAACTCATTTAGTCCTTACAACTACTGTTTAACTGTGACAATAATGCTTATTTTAAAATTAAACTGAGGCACAGAGAAGTTAAATTAGTTAATTTTATATATGGTGAGGAATATAAGGAGGCAGGATTTAGCCCCTGGCAGTCTGGCCAAGCATACATGCTCTAAATAACTATGCTACAATACTACTCTAGCCCACTTATGATTCATTTGGAAATGCCATTTTTTCTTTTTTTTAAACTTTATTAAGATATAATTTACAGGCCGGGCACAGTGGCTCATGCCTGTAATCCCAGCACTTTGGGAGGCCAGGGGGTCAGATCACAAGGTCAGGAGTTTGAGACCAGCCTGGCCAATATGGTGAAACCCCATCTCTACTAAAAATACAAAAATTAGCCGGGTGTGGTGGCGGGTGCCTGCAGTCCTAGCTACTCAGGAGGCTGAGGCAGGAGAATTACTTGAACCCAGGAGGCGGAGGTTGCCACTGCACTCCAGTCTGGGCGACAGAGCGAGACTCTGATTCAAAAAAAAAAAAGATATAATTTACATACCATAATTGTACCTATTTAAAGTGTACAGTTTAATAGTTTTGACCAAGGTACACACCCAAGTATTCAAAGAGTCAGTCGAGATGGAGAACATTTCCATCACTGTTAAGAAGTTCCCTCATGCCCCTTTCAAGAAATAATTGAATAATTGATACTTTAATCCTGTAAAATGTTCCTCTTTGTCCCCAGTGAGGTTCATTGTCCTGAAGTCTACTTTATCTCATAATATAACCATTCCAGCTTCCTTATCATTAGCATTTGCATGATACATTTTCTTCATCCTTTTAACATATGTGACTTTATATTTATAGTAAATTTCTTGTAGACAGCATAATTTGGGGCCTGTTGTTGTTTTTTTAAGTTCTACCATCTTGCTCTTTGATTTCTCTTAGTCCTATCCATCTGCTCTTTGTTTTTTTTTTCCTTCTGTTCCTGCCTTCTTTTAGATTAATTGAATTTTCTTTAGCATAGTAATTTATAGCAACTTTTGGCTTATTAGCTATACTTCTTTTCACTTGATTTTGACTATGAAAAATATGATTGGGGAGTGATTTACATTGTAAAACTAATCTTTTATAAGTGGTTCTTTTTTACAAACAGCAAATATCTTAATTTGCTGTAACATTATATTGAATTTAAATGATATTTAAATCAAACAATTTTGATATATAATAGTGGCCAAAATTGATATAATAAAAACTGCAAAATGCTAGAAATGAGAAAATGAATATATAATAGTGATATATCACTATTATAACTTAAATGAATGCTTTGCAGCTTTGTAAAAGATTAGTACATGGTTCCTCATTAACTAATCAGATTTTTATTAAAATTCATGTCAAAGCAAGATTTATGAGACTTCCAGGTTAAAGTTAGCTTTATTTATCTGTGAACTCAAACATAACTATTTAGTTCTGTCCCTCTTCCCCAATTCTGTCTCTTAAAAGTTTAAAAATATTTTCTATCTCAAAGTTTTATTTTGGTAGAATTGTTTCGTTTGCTTTGAACTTGAATCGTGAGAGCATCTAGATAACTGCTTCCTGAGGTATGAGATAATGTTTTCCTGCAAGGTGACTGTTAACATACACAGTGGAAGACCTCTTAACTTGTCTGATAGGGTTTCTATGAGGTTAAATTTGAAAATGAGCCAAATACTATAGAAATACCAAAGAACTCTAGGACATTAGACAAAGAAGAAACCTAAGAGATGATCCAGAGTAACACTGTGATTTTCAGACCATTACTTATATGCTAAAGAAGTTAGGTTATCTAAAGATATACCCTGTGTTTTGAAACTGGCCAGACTATATCATTTATGTAAAGATGCACCCTGTATTTTGAACCTGGCCAGTAATCTTTCAGAGTCAAAACAAGAAAATCTTCTCGTAATAGGATTTCAATATAGGGCAGTCAAAGATTATTATATTAATTGATCTAAGTACTAGATCCAAACAGACTTATGATTAAAAATGCTAATCCCTGGGTTGTAGAGTTTGCTTCATTTTGGTTTTGTTTTAATTATTTTGAAACCCACAGCTATCTTAAGGAGAGCAAAAGAATTGATAACACATACTTAAATGTAGAAAATAAATATGTTACCCAAAGAAGTATCAAATTTTGGAATAAATGAAGTCAAAACCTCATGGCCTCTAAATGAGAAGACTTCATAAAATAATAATTTAATCCTTTCTGAAAAAGAAATCAATTTTAACTCAATTCTTTTCTGTTTTTCAAGTTTTGAAAAGAAGATGTTCAAATTGAGGCAACAATTAATAGCCTACCAACCAAAAATGGTCCAGGACCAGACGGATTCACAGCCAAATTCTACCAGAGGTACAAAGAAGAGCTGTTACCATTCCTTCTGAAACTATTCCAATCAATAGAAAAAGAGGGAATCCTCCCTAACTCATTTTATGAGGCCAGCGTCATCCTGATACCAAAGCTTGGCAGAGACACAACAAAAAAAGAGAATTTTAGACCAATATCCCTGATGAACACTGATGCAAAAATCCTCAATAAAATACTGGCAAACTGAATCCAGCAGCACATCAAAAAGCGTATCCACCATGATCAAGTGGGCTTCATCCCTGGGATGCAAGTCTGGTTCAACATACACAAATCAATAAACATAATCCATCATATAAAGAGAACCAATGGCAAAAACTACATGATTATCTCAATAGATGCAGAAAAGGCCTTTGACAAAATTCAACAGCCCATCATGCTAAAAACTCTCAATGAACTAGATATTGATGGGACATATCTCAAAATAATAAGAGCTATTTATGACAAACCCACAGCCAATATCATACTGAATGGGCAAAAACTGGAAGCATTCCCTTTGAAAACTGGCACAAGACAGGGATGGCCTCTCTCACCACTCCTATTCAACATCGTGTTGGAAGTTCTTGCCAGGGCAATCAGGCAGGAGAAAGAAATAAAGGGTATTCAGTTAGGAAAAGAGGAAGTCAAATTGTCCCTGTTTGCAGATGACATGATTGTATATTTAGAAAACCCCATCGTCTCAGCCCAAAATCTCCTTAAGCTGATAAGCAACTTTAGCAAAGTCTCAGGATACAAAATCAATGTGCAAAAATCACAAGCATTTCTATACACAAATAACAGACAAACAGAGAGCCAAATCATGAGTGAACTCCCATTCACAATTGCTTCAAAGAGAATAAAATACCTAGGAATCCAACTTAAAAGGGATGTGAAGGACTTCTTCAAGGGGAACTACAAACCACTGCTCAATGAAATAAAAGAGGACAAAAATGGAAGAACATTCCATGCTCATGGGTAGGAAGATGCTATATAGTGAAAATGGCCATACTGCCCAAGGTAATTTCCAGATTCATTGCCATCCCCATCAAGCTACCGATGACTTTCTTCACAGAATTGGAAAAAAACTACTTTAAAGTTCATATGGAACCAAAAAAGAGACCACATTGCCAAGACAATCCTTAGGAAAAAGAACAAAGCTGGAGATACCATGCTACCTGACTTCAAACTATACTATAAGGGTACAGTAACCAAAACAGCATGGTACTGGTACCAAAACAGATATATAGATCAATGGAACAGAACAGAGCCCTCAGAAGTAATTCCACACATCTACAACCATCTGATCTTTGACAAACCTGACAAAAACAAGAAATGGGGAAAGGATTCCCTATTTAATAAATGGTGCTAGGAAAACTGGCTAGCCATATGTAGAAAGCTGAAACTGGATCCCTTCCTTACACCTTATACAAAAATTAATTCAAGATGGATTAAAGACTTAAATGTTAGACCTAAAACCATAAAAACCCTAGAAGAAAACCTAGGCAACACCATTCAGGACATAGGCATGGGCAAGGACTTCATGACTAAAATACCAAAAGCAATGGCAACAAAAGCCAAAATAGACAAATGGGATCTAATTAAACTAAAGAGCTTCTGCACGGCAAAAGAAACTACCATCAGAGTGAACAGCCAACCTACAGAATGGGAGAAAATTTTTGCAATCTACCCATCTGACAAAGGGCTAATATCCAGAATCTACAAGGAATGTAAACAAATTTACAAGAAAAAAATCAAACAACCCCATCAACAAGTGGGTGAAGGATATGAACAGACACTTCTCAAAAGAAGACATTTATGCAGCCAACAGACAAATGAAAAAATGCTCATCATCACTGGTCATCAGAGAAATGCAAATCAAAACCACAATGAGGTACCATCTCACACCAGTTAGAATGGCAATCATTAAAAAGTCAGGAAACAACAGGTGCTGGAGAGGATGTGGAGAAATAGGAACACTTTTACCCTGTTAGTGGTAGTGTAAACTAGTTCAACCATTGTGGAAGACAGGAAGGCGATTCCTCAAGGATCTAAACCTAGAAATACCATTTGACCCAGTGATCCCATTACTGGGTATATACCCAAAGGATTATAAATCATGCTACAAAGACACATGCACACGTATGTTTATTGTGGCACTATTCACAATAGCGAAGACTTGGAACTAACCCAAATGTCCATCAATGATAGACTGGATTCAGAAGATGTGGCACGTATACACCATGGAGTACTATGCAGCTATAGAAAAGGATGAGTTCATGTCCTTTGTAGGGACATGGATGAAGCTGGAAGCCATTATTCTGAGCAAATTATTGCAAGGACAGAAAACCAAACACTTCATGTTCTCACTTATAGGTGGGAATTGAACAATGAGAACACTTGGACACAGGAAGGGGAACATCACACACCAGGGCCTGTCATGGGGTGGGGGGAGTGGGGAGGGATGGCATTAGGAGAAATACATAATGTAAATGACGAGTTAATGGGTGCAGCACACCAACATGGCACATGTATACATATGTAACAAACCTGTGCATTTTGCACATGTACCCTAGAACTTAAAGTATAATTAAAAAAAAGAGAAAACAAACAAGACAAAGAAAAGATGTTCAAAGGAACTCATGAACTGTTTCATTTATGACCCATCCCCTTTTTGTTAAAAACTGCATATCTTCCCTTGATGTTGTAAGTCAAAACGATGGCAATTTTGAACATGGCTTATGAAACTGAATACATCTTCCCTGCCCACATGCAAGACCCTTCCCTTTGGAAAGGGATGTGTGTATGTTTGTCTTTTCTACGAGTTGATGATCATTGCCTTAAAGTGTTTGCCATTGTTCAGAATCTAGACTTAATCCTGAGGATTTTGAAACATGATTTGACAGCAAAACTTGATCTTGTCTCAAACAGCAGACTCAAGCAACTAGGCTGTCAAGACTGTTGTATGCAATCAGACTTTACTAATTTGCAAGGGAAATATAATTGCAGAGTAAATGGTGTTACCAAGTCCACTGCCTAATGTAGTTTCTTCCTGCAGATAAGTAACATGAAAACATTATAATGAGAATGCCAGTTGATTGATTTTCAAAGAGAAAAATCTTCTTTTACAGGCACATGTAATGGGAAAAAAATGAGTCTCAGCTTTTTCAAAACATTTGTAACATTGCTGTGTGTTCATTTGGTATCTCAATTCTGCAATGGAAAAGACTATGGGCAATCATACTTCTTATGACATTACAGGCATCTTTTTCTCTGATTGAATGTTTATTGGATTTTTTCACTTATGTTTTATATTTATTGATCTGAATTATATTTGATTCAAAATACTGCTAGAATGAGAAAGTTTAGGTCCTTTTTTCATTAACCAAATCAGCTGGCATGGCATTTTGACCTCTATCTATCTTACATAGAGAGTTTAGATAAAGATAGATCGATTTAGATATGTATCTATATATATATAGCCTATTTTCAGCAAATGAAAGGTTTCCTCAATAATGCTTTTGTTTATTGCATATATTTTATATTCCAGTTCTTTTGATGTCATTCTTGGTAATCTGTGCCTCTTAGGCTATCTATTCTGTCTTGTCTAATATTTTTATTTTCACTATTCAAAATGTCTCTGCATTCTGAAAGTTCTCTTCAAACAATGGCATTCTATTCATTACTGTCTCCTATGTTGATCTGATTCCTTCTATTTAATTATTAATTTTCTTTAATTTTTTCATTACCTCATTTTATTTTTTAATTTTAGCCTCCCCACCTCCCTTTCATCTGGCTCATTTTTAAAATTTCAATCTGTTCTCTTCTTAGGAATCCTTGCTCCTGTGTCATAGAAGCCACTTCTACCTACTGATATGCCAAAGAGACTTTTTTTTCTTCTTTTTGCTTTGATCATTTTCTGAGAATATACTCTTATTCTCTGTCTTCAAGATAATGTGGCCTCTACTACTTTATTGTTTTTATAGCTCTGCCCACAGATTTCATGCTGGATTTGATTATATTTTGCTTCTCTTATTCAAGCAAAGAGAAATATTTATCAAGACCTGAAATTTTGTTACAAACAACAGGAAAGGATCTTTTTTTTCTTTCCCTCAACATGCTGTCATATGGTAACTGATAGAGTTCTGCTCTCAAATATGTAGCTAGAGAATAGGTTTAGAGGATCAGCTACCAGTTTAGAAACTGCTGTGAAATGAGTTGGGATATTTTCTACACCTATTGCCTACTTCCCTGAGGCTTTTTAACATATTGTATGCATATTCATTAGTTGCTGCTTCAAGTGGTTTTTAAGTATTTGTTCAAGATGACAGCAACTTTTATGTAGGTACTACACTTCTTAGGGTACAATATGCTACATTCAGTCCTTCTCTAACTTTGAGTGGTTGAAGAAAGAAGAAAGACTGTGCAGGAAAGAAGGAACACAGCTGTAATCACCTAGAATGTAGTGTTTCTGTTTATAATATCCAAGGAAAGATATATTGCCAGATTTCTGGTTGGCACAGACCTAGCATCCCACATCCTGGAGGCAGATGGTAGAGTAGATCAAAGACTTGCTTGTTTTATTTTAGGTCTTAAAGTCCATACAGTATTAGATGATAAAGAGCATATAACCCACCAGCATACACATTCATAATAAAAATGATTAGGGAATCAGGAATTTTAGGGAAAGGTTTTACTACTAAAAAGTGATTTTCTATAGAAAATTAACATCTAGAAGTGATATAAATAGGTGAACATTAGAAGCATTCCTGGAAAAATCAAGAATGAGACAACAATACACAGTATGGTAGCTTATATTTAAACTGAATTGAAGTCCTCAGTGCAATAATATTGTAAGAAATATTAAACTGGAAAGGAGGAAATTAAAATACCATTAATTGCACGTTTTATGATCATTTACATTGAAAAATATTCTACAAATTGTTACAAATAATAGAATAGTGTAGCAAGCAGACTAGATATAATATGTTTGCTAAAGTCAGTTGTATTTCTATATAACAGTAACAAACTAATAGAAAATTAAAGGGAAGACAACATTTTCAGTAGTCTCAGGGAACCTCAATTATCTAAGAATAAATCTTAAAAAATATGTAGAAAAGCCCTGCAGGGGAAATTATAAAACATTATTATGCAATATTAATGACTACATATGTAAAAAAGTATATCATTTTCATGACTAGGAAGTCAATATCATAGAAGTATCAATTCTTCCAGATCAATATATAAAATAGATATGATTCCAATGTAAAAACATAATTTTTTATGGATGATAATAAAATGATAGTACCATATATACATATATTAAGGGCCATAAATAGGATATTTCTGAAGAAGAGTAACAAATTGGGAGACTTGCTTTTCCGGTTATTAGGACTGTCATGAGGCTATAAAAATTGACAGCTTAGCAATGTTAGAAGGTTACAAACCTAATTGATTAGTGGAATTAAAGAGGGTTCAGAGAAATATATTAAAATACATAGAGGACTTCGGTAAATCACAGAGATGGTATTCCATTTAGGTGGTGAAATGTTCAATAAGTGGATTGGAAAAAATTATTATCTACATATTCAAAAGTGAATTTAAAACCCTACTTCTTATGATATACAAAAATCTACTCCAGCAAGTTAACGGTTCAAATGTTAAAACTTTAAATCACTTGGTGGCCAGGCATAGTGGCTAATGCCTGTAATTCCCCCACTTAGGGAGACAGAGGTGGGGGGATAGCTTGAGCCCAGGAGTTTGGGACCTGCCTGGGCAACATAGCAAGACCCTGTTCTCCACTAAAAGGAAAAAAAAAAAAAAAAGAAGAGAGAGAGAGAAAAAAAGGGCTTGGTAGAAAATATAAGTGAATATCTTTTGGACCTTGGGTAGGTGGTTTCCTTAAATAAGACATGAAACATATTGACAATGACATAAAATATTAATAAATTTGGCAATATTAAAAATAAGAACTTTTGGTCATAAGAAGCTACTTTAAAGAAAGTGAAAGTAAGTTACAAACTGGAAGAATATATTCATGACTCCCACACTACAAAAATTAGGATCAACAATACAAAATAAGAAAAACACAACTAACCTACAGGCAAATGGGCAGGAGAACAGACATTTCACAGAGGTAGAAATCATAGACCATTAAACATATGAAAATATGTTCACTTCATTCATGATTAGGAAAATACAAGTCAAGAAAAAATTAGATGTCATTGTATATGCATCTGATTGGTCACCATTGAAACTCTGTCAATATTAAGCATTGGGGAATATGTTGATCCACTGGTGAGAGTATAAATTGGTGAGTCCACTTTAGAAAACAATTTGGCATAACCTTCTAAAACTGAAGATTAACCTATGACCAATCAATGATCCATCAATTTCAATTCAAACTATGTGCCCAAAATAAACTATTGCACATGTAAAAAAGTTAATTCCTAGCATATTACATAACAATGTAAAACATTTTATGAAGATTACATTGGTATATATGTTTTAAGAAAATATGTAGATGCACTGAACTAAATAAAAGCAAAAAAGCAAGTGATGAGCATGAGATTCAGGAAGATGTTTACCTTGAGTTGGAGAAAGTAAGGAAATGGATGCAGGAATGTTTTCAAAGTCCTAGGCTTTGTTTCGAAAGGAGGATTCACATGTGGGTGTTTATTACATTAGTGAAAATAATTATGTAATTAGCCAAATAAATGAAAATTGGACCAACATGGACAAGTGATAAGATTATGACACTAACCAACGGGTATGATTAATTTAACTTTGTGCCCCCAGATAATCAGAATTTTCTCTTAGAGAAGGAGCTGTATTATATTAGAAAATACTTTAATAAGCAATTAGTACTGAGGTCATGGATTAACAGGTGTCAAAGAAATAAAAGAGATGGCTACATTACTCTAGATTAGAAATGAATAGGGATTTCTTCCTTGTTGGAAACAAGGAGAAAGGAATGAGGATATCACCATTCGAACAGGTTTTGTATTTTTGCAATATTAACTGTGCCTTCCTAAAACTTCAGGAAAAAGCACCAGACTCAAAAATGCCTCCTGTCTGGTGGTTTCTCTGTGGAAACAAAGGAATGACATAGAGTTCCACATCTACCTGTCATAGTTCAAAACAGCTTGAGCACTTGAGGGTAGAAAAGCAAACCATACCCTGACATTCTCCATTGGTAGCAGCAGCAGGAATCTGGAAGTGACCCATGAAAACTCACCTCAGGGTTTTAAAGATATCATGATGATGACATGGACTTTCAAGGGAAATTCAAGGTTTCCCCAATAATGTTTTCTATCAACTACTAATTTCCTTTTATATATTACAGATTACACAATGTATAAAAGCAGCACTCCTCAAGACTCAAAGGTCTTCAAAAATTGCTGCTCACTATAATTTATAAATGATATATTTGTAACATAATTCATAACATAATTTATAAAATTAAATCCTATTGTAAGCTCTGTTTCTAAAAGTACATAAATATACAAAATTTATTATTATATGTTTACGTAGCATCATTTTACTTGCCTTCAATGATTAGCACTTTCTTGTACGTACTGGAGAGGCAGAAATAAATGCATTCAGAAAAATGTATTTGGTTTCAGAAACACCTTAACTTACACAGAATCTCTCATATTTATTTATGTCTACAAATGTTATTTTTAGGATATTAAATATTTCCAAAAGGATAGAAAATTAATAGGCCGAGTAGAAAACTTACGAAATGCTGGCATTTTCTTGAGTCTCGAATGGAGACTTCTCTGTTAACAAATTGAGGAGTACAAACGTTTGTAATGTCATTCCCATATTTTTAAAAACAACAGCAAAAATAGTGTAATCCTAATGGTTTCAACCGATCTGGTCAGTTAAAAAAGTTGCTTTGCGGTGAAAGAAAAAGTAAAATAATGCCGCAATTTTATTTTATTTTAATTTTATGCTGCTAAAATTCAAACAAAGGCTTATAATACTGTGTTTCCAATCAGCTATTGAATGAGAAATATTGCAGATTTCAATGGCCCGCTTGTAATTTACAATGATGTTATTTATCAAACCATATTGATAGCTTCTTCAACAAATTCTCTTGCAAATAATGTGTTGCACAGACTTAAATTTCAGTTAGAAAATATTTACATGAGAATTATCTTTTTTTTAATGAGAATAAATATATTTCACTCATCTGGAGGCCCAAATGAACCAGTGGCTCTCTTGGAAGAGGAATTTTTAATGTCCTCAGGCATGTTCCCATAAAAGTTAATGGAGAGTTGATTAAACTTTGGGGATCTTGGAAATTTATATTTAGATTGGGGATAGTTTTAATTGTAACAGCTTTTCATGTTAACATTGGTTTAGCATATTTCATCTTTAGGGTAGTTATAGGTCATATTTCTTCCTTGCTGCATAACACAAGACACTTTTATCTGATATGGAGGCAGTCTTGGCATAAGTCACACACCATTTCCACGATCATCAGTAGGGTCAAGGAATTAGTAGTAGCATCAGTGGTCTTGTAGTCCTACTTAGTACTTAGCACTGAAGAAATATTAGAATCTAAATTTACTAATATGATTCTGACAGACTGGAATGTACTAGTTTACAAGTTAATAAGGCATTAAATGTATTACATACATAGGATTTCAACTTAAGATTTTGTTTTTCAATACAAAGTTCAGCCTTACCCCCAGACTGCCTATGTCAAAATCTTGATAAACTTGAAATCTCTATAAATATAAATCTTCCCAGATGATTCTAATGATCTTCCAGTTTTAGATACTACTACTATAGAATATTTTCAGACCTATACGATCTCTGTCTTTACTTTATTCTCCCCTTTTAACAAACACATTTAAAAAATGTTCATTTATCTGTGTGATGGATGGGGTGTGGTAGACTGACTTATCTGATTCATGCTCTGCAGAAGCAGCAGAGGGTAAAACAGTATTTCCAAACTTCCCTATACCTACACTTGATTTAGGTTTTGCCTATTGCATAACTTGTGCAATATACTTGTGTAAGACTAGATTTCAAAATGTAAGTAAGTGGTGAGACAGAATGCACACAAGTCATACATTTGCTGTTGAGATTCAGCCCATATGGTGTGGTTTTGGAATCAGTACTTCTGAGCAAAGCTCTCATTTCTAGGCAACAACTAGCAGGATATTTGGGAGCCAGCAGGTGGCAAAGCAGGTTCCTGATTCCCAGCTTCCCAATTATGTAGAGATAACTGTTGCCTTAGCAGGTCAGTTTATGCGGTGGTGTTCTGGGAGTATTCCTGAAAGCTTAGCTCAACCTAAAACCTGCTATTTCAACTATTCCAAGTGTTTTGTAAGCATCTAATTCCCTATATGTTGTCCTGTTTCTGTTAAAAATAGCTAGGGTGGTTTCTGTAATCTTCAACTGATCCCAGATTAGTAACTTCCTTTTATAGCTACCTACCTGTTAATCATTGCTCAATGTACACAGTAATCAGCAGAGATCAGTAAACAAAAAAGATCTTCAAGGAATATAAGAACAAAAAGTTCTTGATTGATTTACAAGTGATAATAACCCATAGTAAACAGATCAGAGGATCTATAGAAAGGACAATTACCATGCATACTCATTGGCATCAGGCTTCCACATATGGCATGGCACAAAACTCTCCTACTCTTGCATTATTAAATCCATCATGCATTTGAACGCTTATTAAAACTATTCTGTGTGCTTTCATTTTAAAGAAAAAACCTAAAAACAGTGAGCCTTAATTTCCTCTTAAACATTAACATGATAGGATTAAAGAAGAGGCTTAGATACCTTTCTCTGGGGATCATATATGTTGCAAAGAGAAGAAAGGTTTGGCTGAAAACTTAGAAAAGATCATATGAACTATAGTCTAAATTCTTATTTTTTGACCCTTTCTGGTTTTCTGTATATTTCTATATTTGTTCATATGTTTGACATTTGTGGAGCACATATCAAGTGGACTTGATACTATGCTAGACGATGGTCGTAGAGCACAATGCATAATAAAATAGATGTTTCAAGGAACTTGTGTTCTTAAGGTAGGAGAAAGATACTAAATGACTGATTACAAAAGTAATTGAAATTATTATATATGTGTAATACATAAATGAAACCATAGGATGACATAACCATGGGGTTTTGACCCAGTTTTCCTTGAGGAAATATTAATTGAACTAAACCCTAAAAGTGAAATTAACCAGGAGGCTGGAGAGAAGAGTTTTCTTGGCCGAGTTGTTGCATATGAATGACCCGAGCAGAAGGAAGGTCCTGGGACTTTTTAATAATAAACCCAAAATATGCAAAAAGTTCTCTCCTCAGTCACTATGTCAGATCTAGAAGCAGGCTAAGAATGGAATATTTAAATAATGGGAGGTAAAAGGAGAAAAAACTGCAGAAAATAGTAGAGAAATGAGAAGGACATTTCTCCAAAATGCTTCTTTTCAAGGGCATGCCATACCTGGAGATTTATCTCCCTCTGACCTAGTCTATATTGCTCAGGCTGGACTGCAGTGGCACAATCAGCTCACTGCAACTTCCACCTCCTGGGTTCAAGCAATTCTCATGCCTCAGCCACCTGAGTAATTAGGACTACAGGCATGTGCCACCACATCCCAGCTAATTTTTGTACTTTCAGTAGAGAAGGGATTTCATCATGTTGCCCAGGCTGGTCTTGAACTCCTGAGCTCAACTGATCTGCCCACCTCTGCCTCTCAAAGTGCTGGGATTACGGGCATGAGCCACCATGCCCGGCCAAGTCTATACTTTCTAAAATGCAATAAGATAAAAGTTACATATCACCAATAGACAGATAATTCACTCATTTTTTCCTACCCCCACACCTCTTCACACCATCAAATTCCATTACTGATATTGCATTTAGCCCTTGCTTGAAGATTGGAATCCTCATCCTTCCTGGGCAGGAGCTGGCTTAGCTGGTTTATTGGTGAGGGTAGGCATGATAAAATGTGTACACATGAACAGACAGGTAAGCCCCTAGGGAATGTCTGTACCATTGCTTCAGCAAAACCAGTTTGTCTGATCTTCCTGAGGAGAGCAAAGATCACCTGGTGGCCATCAAGCAGATCATCCAGAGGCAAAACTCTTTATCAGAGGAATTCAGAAGTAATCAGATTTCCCTATTATCTAAGGCAGGCATCTGGTTGCAGGTTTCTTTCCCCAAAATTTGTAAGTAACTAGAATTTCTATATATCTCCAGAATACATGCGAATCAAAACTTATTATGCAACCCTTGCTGACATTAAGGCGCCAAAATGTCTACAAATGTAATCATTTATCATGACCTAAGTGGCTGATATGATCTAAATTACCCTTAAGTTCCTCCTTTAAGGACCATAAATACTCCTAAGGAAAAATCCACTGCTGCGCACTCAGTCCTCTTTTAGTGAGGTGCCCACTGCACTCTTCTGGAGCATTCTTTCTATCTAATAAAACTTTCTTTTTTAAATCTATACTGTCACCTGTAAATTCTTTTTGCCAACCCTTGAGTTGACCACTTTCTGATGCCAGGGCTCTGACACCTTGCCCAGCATTACCTATTATGGGAGAGACTGTGGGCCAATGGTGCTTTTATTGTGTAATTACATTTCCTTTCCAGCTACAGAGATATTCAATTACTATTTTATTCTTTGTAATTTGGTAAGAAAGAGAACCTCAAGCAGCAAATACTTTGTTATTTAATTTTTGTTGCTGCATAACCTTGGATATCTTACAAGAAATAATGTCATAACCTTGGTTAACTTACTTTGCTCAAAACAATGTTAAAACTTTATTAACACCTTCTATTTTGTTAAAAAGGAAAAATTGTTGTAAAGCAAGGCCAGGAGATTCAGCGTCATGTGAAGATTCTGCCAGGATCTCCTAAAGCAACTTATCTTTCTTTCTTTTATTTCACTACTTTTTAAAAAAAACAAACAAACAGGTCTTTATAATGAATTCTTTACCATTAGTGCCACTAGTTAATAAATAAAGGTAACAACTCTGAGTGAGGAGTCAATCTGTCATAATCTTTCCCTTATGAGACTGTAGATGCGTTTGTATGATAAAAGCCACAGCAAAGTCATAAATTGCTCCCAGGTTTAGAAAGCTTGGAAAAAGCCAGGAGCAGTGGCTCACACCTATAATCTCAGCACTTTGGGAGGCCCAGGAGGGTGGATCACGTGAGGTCAGGGGTTCGAGACCAGCCTAGCCAATATGGTAAAACACCATCTCTACTAAAAATACAAAAATTAGCTGGGCGTGGTGGTGCATGCCTGTAATTCCAGCTACTCTGGTGTCTGAGGCAGGAGAATTGCTTGAACCTGAAAGGTGGAGATTGCAGTGAGCCCAGATCAGGCCACTGCACTCCAGCCTGGGTGACAGAGATAGACTCTGTCAAAAAAAAAAAAAAAAAAAAAAAAAAAGACAGAGAGAGAGAGAAAGGAAAAGAAAGCTTGTAAAAAGATTTGTTAAATGTTAAATCCTTAGCACAACACAGTCTCTGCTTTTTCACTTTATCTTCTATTAAATTCTTCAATAATCAGAGCAAATAAGCTACTATTTGAAAGCAACCATTCTTAGGTATACAGCCATTATATTCTGAATAATGTAAAATAAGTCAAAAATGTCAGTATATGGAGTTATAGAACAGTCGAGTGGCTTTTATTCAACATGGTATTGGAAGTCCTAGCCAGGGCAATTAGACAAGAGAAAGAAATAAAGGGCATCCACACTGCAAAGGAAGAAGTCAAATTGTTATTGTTTGCTGATGACATGATCTCATATTTAGAAAAACCTAAAGACTCTTCCAAAAAAAAAAAAAAGGTTAGAATTGATAAATTCAGCAAAGTTGTAGGATACTAAATCAACGTACAAAAATCAGTAGCATTTCTATATGCCAACAATGAACAATCTAAAAAAGATATCAAGAAGGCAATCCCATCTATAATAGCTACGATAAACAAATACCTAGGAATACACTTAACCAAAAAAGTGAAGGATCTCTACAATGAAAACTATAAAATACTAATGAAATAAAATGAAAAAAAACACACAAAAAGGAAAGATATTGCATGTTCATGAATTAGAAAAATAATATTGTTAAATTGTTCATATTACCCAAAATGATCTACAGATTTAATGCACTCTCTATTAAAATACCAATGACATTCTTCACAGAAAAATAAATCCTAAAATTCATATAGAATTACAAAAGACTCCAAATAGCCAAAGTTATCCTAAGTAAAAAGAACAAAGCAAAAAGAACACATGGAAGCATCACATTACCTGACTTCAAAAGATACTAAAAAGCTATAGTAACAAAAAGTGCATAGTACTGGCATAAAAACAGACACATAGACCAATAGAACTGAATAGAGTACACAGAAAAAGTTTTTATATTTACAGACAACTTATTTTCAACAAAGGTGCCAAGAATATACACTGTGGAAAGGACGGTCACTTCAACAAATGGTGTTGGAAAAACTGGATAACCACATGCAGAA
This sequence comes from Homo sapiens, assembly GCF_000001405.40. Taxonomy (NCBI): domain Eukaryota; kingdom Metazoa; phylum Chordata; class Mammalia; order Primates; family Hominidae; genus Homo; species Homo sapiens. The sequence continues at coordinate 122,775,467 of NC_000006.12, forward strand.
TAATGAAACTAGACCCCTATCTCTCACTGTGTGTGAAAATCCAATTAAAATGAATCATAGACTTATATATAAGACCTGAAACTATGAAACTACTACCAGAAAACATTGGTGAAATACTTCAGGACATTGGTTTGATACAGATTTTTTAGTAAGACCTCAAATGCACAGGCAACCAAAGCAAAAATGGACAAATAGGACTATATCAAGTTGAAAACCTCTTCACAACAACAACAACAACAAAAAAAACAAACAAAAAAATACTAAACAAAGCGGAGAGAAAACCTACAGAATGGAAGAAAATATTTGGAAGCTATCCATCCAGCAAGGGAAGACGTAAGAGATTCAAATGATTGAATAGCAAAAAACAAACAAACAAACAAACAAACAAAAAACAAATTATCTGATTGAAAATTAGCAAAGATCTGAATAGACATTTCTCAAAGAAGAGATAAGAATGGACAACAGGCATATGAAAAATACTCAACACCACTAATTATTAGGGAAATACAAACCAAAACCACAATGAGATATCACCTCATCCCAGTTAAAATGGCTATTATCAAAAAGACAGTAAGAATGTTGATAAAGGGGCAATGCTTATACACTGTTGTTGGGAATGTAGATCAGCCACTATGGAAAACAGTATGGAGATTCCTCAAAAAACTTAAAATAGAACTACCATATGATGCAATAATCCCATTGCAGTGTATATATCCAAAAGAAAGAAAATCAGTATATCAAAGAGTTATCTGTGCTTCCATGTTTATTACAGCACTAGTTACAATAGACAAGATTTGGAATCAACCTGTGTTCATCAATGGATGAATGGATAAAGAAAATGTGGTATGTATACATAATGAAATATTATTCAGCCATAAAAAAGGAAGGAAATCTTATCATTTGCCACAACATGGATGGAGCTGGAGGATATTAAACGAAATAAGCCATGCAGAGAAAGAGAAATATCACTTTTTAACTCATATGTGGGAGCCAAAAAAAATCAATCTCATGAAAGTAGTGAATAGAATGGTGGTTACAAGAGGCTGGGAAGTGTAGTCAGGAACATGGGATGAAGAGGGAATGGTTAATGGGTAGAAAAACACAGTTAGGTGGAATGAATAAATTCTAGCCTTTGATACCACAACAGGTTTACTATAGTTAACAATAATTCATAGCATTTTTCAAAATAGCTAGAAAAGAATATTTAGAATGTTCCCAACAAAAAGAAATGACCAATGAGGTGATAAATATCATAATTACCCAGATTCAATCATTACTCATGTAATGTTTGCATCCAAATATCGTATGTACCTGATAAATATGCACAACTATTATGTATCCATACATGATTAATTAAAAAATAGTCACTTGACTTTTTCTAAAATTTCTGGTACAGATATCTGTATGGCAACATGTATTCTTTTCTGCCTATTACAAGATTAATATGCAACCAAAAAAACCTGCCTCTAAATTGTGGGGCTTTCATGTTTTTGATAAGGTTTAAAGGAATCAGAATTAATGGAATATATGCTCTACGAATAAATATGTCACCATCTCATATTCTTTATCTAGAGAGTGGAAGAAATAAATGGGTATGCACAAATATTTCAGCACTTGTGATCTATAAAGGGCTAAGATGAAGATATCTAATACATGGTTCCTGCTCTCAACAATTTTATGTTCTTAGAATACAAAAGGAAAATGATTTATTATATTTTAGAAAAATACTTACACATCCTACCACTTTAAACGTGTTTTATTAGATGAAACATATAGCAATAATTTGTAACAAAACAACTGTTTGAGAACATTTACTAGAGAAATAGTTTGCCTAGATGAAACAGTCATCGGAATTTTAGCTGTAAACTGGAAATAAAATCCTAAGCACCCCCACATACTGAGCAGACCCCCTTTTGGCCAAGGGATGCCCGCCTCAAAAAAACCCTTAAAACCTGAATTCCTGGCCATAAAAGGAAGGGAAGTCGGACATACTTCTGACTTTTTGGAGTTTAGACACAACTGACAGGCATTCATGTTAAAATAGAGATTATAAAACTGACAAAACAGACTCTTTGTGTCAATAAGACACCAAACTATAAACAAGATCTAAGGTAATGCAAGGCAAGAATTAGGCCATTCATCTTGCCACAGAGCATCCTTTTGTTAATATAAAACATTTATGTCCAGCCTGGGCAACATGGCAAGACCTTGACTCTACTAAAAGTACAAAAAAATAGCCAGGCATAATGGTACATGTCTGTTGTCCCAACTACTCAGAGGGCTGATGTGGGAGGATCACTTGAGTCGTGGAGGTTGCAGTGGGCTGAGATCGCGCCACTGCACTCCAGCCTGGGTGAGAGAGCAAGACCCTTTCTCCAAAAATAAATAAATAAATAAATAAATAAATATAATTTTTTTATGTGCACTCCAAGTTTTAGACAGAGCCTTATTCCTTTAACCAAGTGCAAATTAAAGAATCTCTGAATTCATCTATAAGCTGTAAGCCCTCAGCTTCAAGATATCCCAGCTTTTTGAGCTGAACCAATGTATGCCTTCCATGTATTGATTTACGTTTTTGACTGTACTTCTTGGCTCCCTAAAATGTATAAAACCAAACTGTAATCTGACCACCTTGGGACCACTTTCCCAAGGCTTCTTGGGTTTGTGTTTTCCCTGGGCCTCAGTTGCTCATATTGGTTCAGAGTAAACTTCTGTAAAACATTTTACAGAGTTTGGTTTTTCTGTTAGCAAAGCAAAAGAGATAGGCCTTGACATTAAGTTTGATTTTAGTGGTAAAGTATTAGAAATGATTCAGAGGTTTCTGGCTTGTACAGTTGGGTGCATGGTGGTATCAGTCACAAATAAAGTGAAAATTGGAAGAAAAGCAGTTGTGAAGGAAGACTACAGTTTTTGTTAAACAAGCGCACTTGAGACACCGAAGAAGAATCATGTAGCCGCCACCTAGCGTAGGAGGCCTTCTGAGCCTTCTCTGTTGGATCTGGTGTGGATTGGGTAGAAATGTGCTGGGCTGCAGTTTAATTGGGAGGGGAGAGAGAAGGGCAGGGAATATCAAGTCGGATTCTCCTGCTCTGTCCCCAGGAGAGGCAGGTAAGCTGCTTTCATTGCTGGTCAGCACTAGTAAGTCAGGAAGGAATCTCTTTGGGTGAAGGGGAATTTCAGAGACTTCCTTTAAATACTCTACTTAGAACCCTCAAGGTATTTGCCATTCTTGGGGAACCCTGAGCCAGGGCAAACTGAAACCAAAGCCCTTCTGATTCCTACCGCTCCTCCAGTTCCTGCCCTTCCCCATCACTAACTCCCAACAAATGTACACAGATTGTATTTGTGTAGATGTGGCCTCAGGAAATCAAAAGGTCCTAGAATGCAGGTAATTTAAAGTCTTACTAAATAATCTTCTGTCCAGTTTTTCCACATGGGTTCTATAATCTATTCAAGGAGATCGGGGGGAAAAGCATTCTTTTATTTATTTTTGTACCTCATTAGTAAGTCCTAACCATACTCTTCCTTAGGTCCCTTTTCCAACTCAGTCTCGTTCTCACATTTTTAGAAAGGACAACGGGATCTTTAAATTCTCTCGGTTTGTGTTGGGAAAGGACCCAAATTAGTGTGCTTCCTCATTGACAGTCAGAGTAGCCTTCAAGCAGTATATCCAGGGAAGGCATTTACACCTCCTCCCCGCCCTCTTTTTCAGTTTGGCCTACTCTAGCCTGCATTTCGCTCTCCCTGTAACTATGAGAGAAAATAACACACACTATTCACTCTCCTTTGTCTGCAAAGTCTGGCATTTCAGTGGTTTTCTTTAAGGGGGGTCCTCATTTGTGACCAGCTTTGTCATTAACGGAAATCAATCTGAATGCCCCATTGTGCATCTTTTTTCTTTCCTTGCAGTCTGAGATTGCCTTTGCCAAGTTTTTTCTCACCGAACCTGAAAGCCCTTCTCTCATTTTCCCGTTCCCTGCCTCCAGCCCCATTGAATCCCTGCCGAGCTTTCTCAGGCATAAGGGCTGTAGTGTGAGGATTGGGAGGAACTCGACCTACTCCGCTAACCCAGTGGCCTGAGCCAATCACAAAGAGGATTGGAGCCTCACTCGAGCGCTCCTTCCCTTCTCCTCTCTCTGTGACAGCCTCTTGGAAAGAGGGACACTGGAGGGGTGTGTTTGCAATTTAAATCACTGGATTTTTGCCCACCCTCTTTCCAAATAAGAAGGCAGGAGCTGCTTGCTGAGGTGTAAAGGGTCTTCTGAGCTGCAGTGGCAATTAGACCAGAAGATCCCCGCTCCTGTCTCTAAAGAGGGGAAAGGGCAAGGATGGTGGAGGCTTTCTGTGCTACCTGGAAGCTGACCAACAGTCAGAACTTTGATGAGTACATGAAGGCTCTAGGTAGGTAACAATAAGACCGGCTGTTCTCTTCTCAACGTGCAGCTTTAGATATTTGCAGATTCCATTTTTCACTCATCAGGTCAGCAAGAGGCAAAGACAGATCACATTGCCCTGATCAGATGCTAGGCTATGCATTTTCCACTGAATGGATTTTTAATGTGGCACTTGCTTGCCTTCTTACCCAGGGCCAATAAAAACAGAACATTTGCTATTCCGTGGAGAATATGAAGCTTCTCTGACTTTTTTGGTTTTCTTCTGCATCCACTTATTATCACAGTAGTGTTTTACATGATTAATGGGCTAATCATGTTCTAATGAAACTTACACTTTAGAACGTGGATTCCAGAATCAGAAAGCAGATTCTTGCTTTGTGAGTTATTTTGGAAGTCGCTGCAGACTGTACTGTTCCCTTTGCTATTTTAGGCGTGGGCTTTGCCACTAGGCAGGTGGGAAATGTGACCAAACCAACGGTAATTATCAGTCAAGAAGGAGACAAAGTGGTCATCAGGACTCTCAGCACATTCAAGAACACGGAGATTAGTTTCCAGCTGGGAGAAGAGTTTGATGAAACCACTGCAGATGATAGAAACTGTAAGGTGAGAAACTGCTTCTTCTTCAGAGTGGGGATGGGGAGAGGGGAATAAAGATAAAGATTTCCAATGCATGTTTTTTTTAAGATGTTGGAAAGTGTAGAATATTTTCAGTATTTCAATCCAAGGAGAAATACACCAAAGTTAGTTTAATGTGCATATGTTATATTTTGAACAATGGGTACTTGCTATAGCATAAATCTCAGTTGTATTTGTCTCTTACCATATACTGTTCACATTTTATATCAAACTTGTATTTCAGAAAATATTTAATAAGGTTTGTTTGAAAGAGAGATTGCATTTTGTTTAATTCCCCAGGTTGCCTCAGATTGACTAAATAGACAGTTTGCCTCATTCTAAGGCTTTCTTTAGAGGGACGACTAGCTGCAAAGCACTGGTTTAGGATTTTTGTTTTTAATATATTAAATTTTTGTATTTAGATGTATACTTTTTAATCAAATTATGAATTCAAATTTACATAATAGAAAATCTAGAAGTAATAGAAATAACAATAGGATAATTAACTGATCATGATTTATTCAATTATACAACTCTTTCAAAAATCACATCGTCTTCCGTATCAGAAATCTGAATTGTATTTATTGCTATGTTCTGCATTTTGTTGTTGGTCTCAGTCTGTTGTTAGCCTGGATGGAGACAAACTTGTTCACATACAGAAATGGGATGGCAAAGAAACAAATTTTGTAAGAGAAATTAAGGATGGCAAAATGGTTATGGTAAGTAATGACAATTCTCCATTCTTCCTTGTTTTTTTCTCCTCTCCGCACACCTCTCACCTCCTTCCTTCTTCTTCCCTCCTCCTTCCATTCTTCCTCCTTCCTTCCTTCTTTAATAATACATCACTGGCAAGGTTCTTTAACTATATGTAAAACAGGGGAAACAAAAAGATCCCAGTTAATTTTCTTCTTCAGCTCAACTTCTTTGATTGTAGAAAAAGAGAAAAATTCATGTGTAGTTAAAAAAATAAAAGTTGCCATTGATTTGCCTAAAACTGTGTCAAAAGATTTTTTGTAGGATAACTATGGATGTCTCTCAAATAAAATTTAATATAAAGCCCATAATCACTGAAATATATAAAGATAATTGCTATTATAAGAGAATCTCAGACAGATGACTTTATAGCTCCTGTAATAAGAGATCTTTAAACAGTTTATATTTTAATTTATAAAGTTACACAAGTTCTGGGCAGATAATTTAGAATATAACAGAAAAGTATAACAAAAAAATTAAAATCCCCTCTGATTTCTCATCAGTGATAACCCTTTTTTTTTTTTTTTTTTGAGATAAAGTCTTGCTGTGTCACCCAGACTGGAGTGCAGGGGGTGCATTCTTGGCTCACTGCAACCTCTGCTTCATGGGCTCAAGCGATTCTACAACCTCAGCCTCCTAAGTAGCTGGGACCACAGGTGCAAGCCACCAACGCCGGGCTAATTTTTTTGTATTTTTGTAGAGATGGGATTTCGCCATGTTGCCCAGGCTGGCCTACAGCTCTTGAGCTCAAAGTGATGCTCCCGCCTGCTGCCTCGGCCTCCCAGAGTGCTGGGATTACAGGCCTGAGCCAAGGCTCCCAGCCCCCAAAGAGAACCATTTTGATGTTACTTCTTTCCAGTTTTTTTCTCGAATGCATAATATGCCTTTTAAACATATATATTCAATACTAGGTAGACATGAAAAATATTTTTTTCAATCAGCCTCTTCTTACTTACTAGGAATTATCTGTAAAAGAGGATTTATTAGTGTCCTAAGGCTGCCACAACAAAGTACCACAAACTTGGTGGCTTAAAACAACAGAAATGAATTTTCTCAGTTCTGAAAGCTGGACGCCTGAGATCAAGGCGACCCTAGTGTTGCCATCCTTCTGCGGGCCCCCTCCCTTGCTTCTTCCTACTTCCCGGATGGCTCCTGGCAATCATTGAGGTTGTTGGGCTTACAGTTGTTATTACTCTGATCCATTTCTGACTCCATCTTTACAAGACTTTTTCCTCTGTTTTTGTCCTAAATTGATCAAATATAAAATAATTAACAAATAATTTATCTAATGATGGAGTAGTATCACAAACTAGGAGAAATATTATGCCTTCACCAAGCCTTCCTCAGACACTTTTTGTGTGACCTGCAATGGTATATTGATGATACTGACATAGGTGGGTAGGCTCATTCAATTTTGGAGGAGGGTGTGAGAATGCTTTACATAGTCCTTGTACGATGACAGCAGAGAAAGTTTTGTTGTTTAAGAATGGGGACTCATGTTTCCTTCTCCCCTTGACTACTGCAATCAGCACTGTTCTGCATTGAGATATTCATGTTTCTGTGGAGATGGAGGTGGGGAGCAGAGGGACAGTTTTCCTTTCATGTTAAAGGATATTTGCTCACATTTTTTTGGCAACAATCAATAAAAGAAAGGACTCATTTCTAAAAGATTCGCTCTGAAGTTCTCCTTTATGCTTTTACCTCCATTTTTTCCCAGAACACAGAAAAGTAGATAGCTCAACCGTGGCATGCATGACTATGATCAGGCAAGATTGAGTTCAAAAAGGAAGACTAAAGCAATAGACTACAAGGATATACTATACTCCTGAACATCACATCAATACATGAAAACCATGAGCACCAAAACCCCCTAAGTTCTGTAAAGTGGTTTTATAATAACTCTTCAAGTTAGATTTGACATTAGAGTAATAGAGCTGATGTTCCGCATCCTATCCACCTACCTACCTGCGTTCACATAGGCTAAACCATGACAACCAAAACAAGGAGAATATTTGTACCTTTACATGTTCCTCTTGATTTTGGAACAAGTCATTCCAAATACCATCAGCTCAAATGACTGGATTTTCTAATGGCTATTCAAAATTTATCTAGGTTAAGAATTGAAAACTGTTATGTAAACCTATTATAAAACTCATTCACTTTTAAAGCAGATAGTTGAGAAAACAACGTAGACACTCCATTTCTCACACCTGATCTGCTCAATTACCCTGATAATTTAAGGCTAAAGAAATTCTTTTGACTTGAATCTAAAGTGCTAATCCCAGTGTTTGCTTCATTCTCATTTCAGAGACATAAACTGTATATCAATATAGGGTCTCTTTTCAAGATGTGAAATGCTTATGCAGCATTTAATGTTTGTAAATGTCATTCTTTTGCATAATACTTAGATCACATATATGATGATCTTTAAAATTCGGTGACTGAAGTTCCTGTATAAAAAGATTTGATTATCTTTTGAACCTTGCAGACCCTTACTTTTGGTGATGTGGTTGCTGTTCGCCACTATGAGAAGGCATAAAAATGTTCCTGGTCGGGGCTTGGAAGAGCTCTTCAGTTTTTCTGTTTCCTCAAGTCTCAGTGCTATCCTATTACAACATGGCTGATCATTAATTAGAAGGTTATCCTTGGTGTGGAGGTGGAAAATGGTGATTTAAAAACTTGTTACTCCAAGCAACTTGCCCAATTTTAATCTGAAAATTTATCATGTTTTATAATTTGAATTAAAGTTTTGTCCCCCCCCCCCTTTTTTTTATAAACAAGTGAATACATTTTATAATTTCTTTTGGAATGTAAATCAAATTTGAATAAAAATCTTACACGTGAAATTTTGTTGTTGTTTCTAATATCATTAATCTGGCTAAGAATTCTATATTAGACAATTTTAAGTAAAATAGTCACTCTTATAGCATAAAGTAAGGCTGAAAAAATTAGCACTTTGTTTAAAATACTAATTTAAAAAATAAGCAAAAGCCTTAGAAAATACAGAAATGCCACAGTTTTGGTTGAGCCTTCCATGAAGAATCTGTGATGGTAAAATTCATTTGGCCAGGACCCAGAGAAGCCTTGTATAGTGGGTTGGGCTACGGAAGTGGTGTCGTTTTTTCCTTTTTTTGAGACAAAGTTTCAGTCTTGTTGCCCAGGCTGGAGTGCAGTCATGCGAACTCTGTCTCCCGGGTTCAAGCAATTCTCCTGCCTCAGCCTCCTGAGTAGCTGGGATTACAGGTGCCCACCACCATGCCTGGCTAATTTTTGTATTTTTTAGAGATGGGGTTTCACCGTGTTGACCAGGCTGGTCTTGAACTTCTGACTTCAGGTGATCCACCCGCCTCGGCCTCCCAAAGTGCTGGGATTACAGGCATGAGCCACTGCGCCCGGTGGAAGTAGTGTCTTTAGAAGAAACGGTTTGAAGAAACAAAATGATGTATATCAAAATGTCTTATTAAAAGGTAAATATAATCAAAATATCATGTAATCAAAATTTCTTATTGAAAGGCAATAGAGAAAGGGAGTGAATTTTATCCTGGATTATAAAAAATGTTTCTCCAGACAACTAAACTGAGTTGGATAAAGTCAATGAGAGTGCAAATGGAGTGCTGTGCATAAAGACACTCAAAATTTCGGGGTGGTGGAGCGGGGCGGGGAGAAGAAAGGGAAGGTGATTGAGTTGACCAAACCAAATTAAATACTTGTTTGTATCTGGCTGGGGTCTGAATTTGTGAAATACAAACAAACAAATATTTTACATATTTCATCATTTACAAAATGCTTTTTATACATTTTCTCAACCATACAATGTTTAGCAAGAAGGCAGGTATTATTTATTTTTACTTTACCAATAAGGAAATTGAAGGTTAGATTTGCATGTCCAAGTTCTCATGTGTAGTAAATAATATTGAGAGCTGGAAATCTTGCAATATTTCTCTTTATTTCCTCTCCAAAATTAATATTTCAGCTAACTTTTCTTCTGAAACAAAAACACAAGATTTTATTCTCCCCGATCATTCCTTTTCTTTGTTAGCCTCTTGGGAGGCTAGGGAGGTAAATATATTTCAGCACTTATATGTAATACTGTATTCATTTTTAATCAGCCCTGTGTTTTAGTAAGTTTTTATAAATTAATTCAAAGTTCAATTAACTGGCCAGGCACAGCAGCTCACACCTGTAATCCCAGCACCAGCACTTTGGGAAGCTGAGGCAGGTGGATCACGTGAGGCCAAGAGTTCAAGACCAGCCTGACCAACATGGCAAAACCCTGTCTCTACTAAAAATACAAAAATTAGCCAGGTGTGATGGTGCATTTCTGTAATCCCGGCTACTCAGGAGGCTGAGTTAGAAGAATTGCTTGAGCCGGGAGGTGGAGGTTAAAGTGAGGCAAGACTGTGTCATTGCACTACAGCCTGGGTGACAGAGAGAGACTCTGTCTCAAAAGAAAAAAAAATGTTCAATTAACTTACAGCTATAAGTATGAGAAAATTTTCTTTTTTTTTTTTTTCCTAAGAGATGGGGTCTTGCTTAGCTGCCCAATCTAGTCTCAAACTCCTGTGCTCAAGCAATCCTCCTACTTCAGCCTCCTGAATAGCTGGGACTACTGGCACATACCACTGCACTCAGTTTACCCGTCTTTAAAAGCATGAAACACAACATGAACAGGTTGTTGGCTCCAACTGTTCTGACAGCCACCATCTCTGCTTCTGGTGGAGGGCTGTTTAACAACTGGATTTCAGCCTACACTCTACCAGAAGCCCAGATTCTGGCCTCTCTCTTATTAAAGATACAAAGCCAAAGATAGAGATTTATCTTTAGCTCATTAAAATGAAGCCAAATAACACTGGCACCAGTTTCCATAACAACTGTCTCCCAGAGTGAAGAATGAAAAGGTTTTTGGGTGGCCTAAATGGGAAACAAAGATGCAATGGTCTGAAAGATCAAGGGTTGCAGTGGTAGAACAAATGATTTTAAGAGGGAAGATAATTAACATGTTTGCTTCCTAAGTTTTTCTGGGTAGTCGCAAATCATTTTTCTTCAAACCAAATTCTATTTCACACTGTCAATCTGTCAATGCACTAACTTTTCTGGTTTGCCGTCTTTGTTTTGTTTCTTAACATAGTTAAGAAACATAATTAAAGGAAAGGAAAAATGACCAAGACCAAAGGCAATTTGACCAACAGGCCCTGGAAGAACATTTCTGAAATGATACGAAGGTCTCAATGATACAAACTAAGCTAAGGCTGTTTTGTGAAGCTTCTGCTCTTCTTTCATGTGATTTCCCTCACCCAGATATACACACTCACGATGACATATTTGTACACCTGGCACATGGAGACCTACAAATATATGCCCATGGTTGAGATATGCCTGTAGAGATGTTGGGGCACTGTAGTTTTTTGCTTCTTAGTGAGTATTAAGAAAAAAAAAAAGAAAGTGGAGTGAGTAGAAAGAAGGATGGTGTTTCTACCCACTAATTTTAATATACTGTACTTTTTAGGATTTCAAACATTTCTTAAGTTTCAAAATGTGTATGCCTTGTTTTATGCTTACTGAAAAACTATTTTGCAACCAGTTACTTCCAGTAAAGTATATTGAAATTGGAAAAAAAAAAAAAAGGAGTGAAAAGAGCTATTTTTATAATTTATCCTTTTCCTAGCTTTAAATGTTTGGACTAAAAACTCCTAAGTTGTTTTGTTAATCCTTACAGTCGTTTTCTCTCACCAGCTCACCAGTTTTTTCTGGCTCCATTTTCTCCCATATTCTAGAGGTTGTGAACTGAGAAACTCCAGGGACCATCTTGTCCTCCACTGGAATGCACTTTGGTTCTTGCAAGCTTTTGAATCATCCAAAAGCTGAAGCAGGACTTCGGCTGCCCTGGCAGGACTTGAAACTGTAACACAAAAGTACCTGAGACAGGTCTCAATCAATTTAGGAAGTTTATTTTGCCAAGGTTAAGGATGGGCCAGTGACACAGCCTCAGGAGGTCTTGACATGTGCCCAAGGTGGTCAGGATACAGCTTGCTTTTATACATTTTAGGGAGACATGATACAGCAATCAATACATGTAAGATTTTTACATTGGTTCGATCTAGACGGGCAGGACAACTTGAAGCTGGGCGGGGGGTGGGTGTTTCCAGATCACAGGAAGATTTAAACATGTCCTGATTGGCAATTGGTTGATTGAAAAAGTTATTATCAATAGAAAGGATGTCTGGGTTATGATAAGGGGTTGTTAGACCCAGATTTTGTCACACAGACGAAGCCTCCACGTAGCAGGCTTTAGAGAAAACAGATCTTAAATGTTTCTTATCAGACTTATGGTCTATGTTGATGTTAATTACGCATGTCCAACCCCCCCATCCCCTTTTTCATGGCCTGAACCAGTCTTTCAGGTTAAATTTTAGAGTGCCCTGACTGGGGAAAGAGTCCATACAGATGGTCGTCCATTCAGATGGTTGTGGGGGGCCTTCAAATTTTATTTTTGGTTTACAAAACAGAAAATGGAAGCACCTTGCTTCCCACTTCAAAGCCCGTTTCATGACACACACTCCCATTAAATTACATGGGATACAAAACAAAGCTTTCTATGCTGGGAAAGAAATACACTCTACAACATCTTTTTTGAGGTTAGTAATTATGGAAAGCATTTTCTTCTGCAAAGGAATTCCACGCCCTATAAATTTAAATTATTAGCTTGTCATCTCCAAGAGATCAGCATCCTCATAAACGGTGAGAGAAGGAACACAGAATACAGGATCCAGCACAGTTTCGGGATTCTGGCTTCTTTGCCAGACTTATCTTTGCTTACTTCTTTGTATAGACTTACTTCTTTGCCAGACTTATCTTTGCTTACTTCTTTGTATAGACTTACTTCTTTGCCAGAAGTATATTCAAAAAAGTTCCGTGGAAGCATCAAATCAACCACCTCTACTTATGATTTCCATGCATCTCTGGAATGCATAAAGCATGATTTCAGAACATGTTCTAATTCTAAGACCCTTCTCTTCCCGGCAGTTTAAAAAAAACAAAAAACAAAACGTCGTATCTTTGAGCATTGGTTTTCAAACATCACAATCACTTTAACATGACCTGAAATGCTTGTGAAAACACAAACTGCTGGGCTCCAGCAGGTTTCTGACTCAACAGGTCTAGGGTGGTGCCTGGGAATTTGCATTTCTAACTAGAGTTCCCAGGTGGTGCTAATGTTCCCAGTTCAGAGACTTCAATTCGAGATCCACTGCAGTATCCATAACTTTTGCTGATTTCCTTCAAATCATGATACTTCAGGGCTCTCTGCATCACCTCTACTGAGGAGCCCTACCCATTAAAGCTGGGGTAGGTTGGCCCAAGAATGGAACCGGGATCGTTGAGATTTCAGCACCCCAGCATTTTTTAGTGACTGAAATAATGAAAATTCTGATCAGGCTCCTGCTTGCTTGCACATTTTAACCACTCGCTTTTTGCCCAATATTCTCCTTGTTTCCACAATATAATTATAAACTGCTGAGGTACTGCTTCCTCGTCAAGAACAAAGAGGTTAACTTCAGGGTCACAAAAATGTTTGCAGAAGGGATGAATACCTCCAAGGGCTTTGCAACCAGCTGCGGATGCCTGGACGTCTAATTGCTCAAAGGTGTTATCTGAGACTGAAGAAACAGACTTTTCCCCTGGATTCTTTGAAAATCCCCCTCTCTTATTCTCTAGCAGAATAAAAACTCCCTGCTTTTTCCTTTTTACACACGGATTTGAGAGATCTTGTTCTCCCTCCTTCTGGCTTTTACTAAATTGAATGTCTTTCTCTATCCCCAAGCACCAGTATGTCAGTGTTTGACATCAACTGCACCACTGATACACGAGTCGGAATTTGAGCTTCTACAAGTACATTCCTTCCTAGGCCAAACACTGACGCTAAGAAATACGAGAACAGATCATCGCTAAACAGCAGCTGAAGGTCAGGCGAACTGACTCGCTGCGGAATCTGCCTTTGCACGTGATCAGTCGGACGTCTACACCCGCAGCCGTCTTCTGTCTCCGCCTCACCCTCAGGCCTGACGGTCCGAGTGGAGCTGCGGGACAGCCCGAACCTCCAGGTCAGCCCCGCGGCCCTCCATGGCGCTGGTGCGCGCACTCGTCTGCTGCCTGCTGACTGCCTGGCACTGCCGCTCCGGCCTCGGGCTGCCCGTGGCGCCCGCAGGCGGCAGGAATCCTCCTCCGGCGATAGGTGAGTTGTCCGCGACCCTTCTCTTCCCAGCCGGCAAAGAGCGCGGAGCGGCGGCGCCTGCGCACAGCAGGAGAAAGTGCGTGGGGGCAGCTGCCCCCGGCAGAGGCTCGGGCTAGCGGGGCCCCTGACGCGTCCGGCGTTGACCACGGCTGGTGGGCGCGGGGAGGGCGACCAAGGGACTACAGCGTTAGGGCGTCCAGCCGGGAGGCCGGGGCTGGGCGGGGGAAATGCCCTCGCCGGTGGGGGCGCTCCAAGGGCGCGTCGGCCGGATTTCGCCAGCCTGGCTTTTGTTTACATCCTGCATCTCAGTTGTTTTGTTCCTTGGGGAAGGAAGGAAAAGCTGCGGGACTCAAGGGAAGAGGAAGCTGGGAGTCCGATGTCCAGCACAGCAAGAGGCCCCTAATCGGTCCTGAATGGAGGGGGACTGCAGTTTCCCCACCAGCTCAGGGAAGTAAATTTCAGCGTGACTCACACTATCTTCTGTCTTGCTCGACCGAGATCAGTGGCTTTTTCTGCCACTCACCCAGCCAGAGCGCGAAAGCACCCTCGGGTAGACTCACCCCTTAGTCTACCGTGGAACTCACGGGGACTTCATTTCACCTGGATGTCCACTAGGTTTCCTGCGGGCGGGACCCATTTTATTCACTCCCAGCACTTAACACAGTGCCCGTTACAGTAGTGATTCTCTTAAGTGTGCCCTGGACCGGTGGCAGCAGCCGCCGCACTTAAAATTGTTAGCATTGCAAATTTCCAGCCCATCCCAGACCTACTGAATCTGAAACGCCGGCGTTGGGCTTCCACAGTATGCTGTTTAACCCACCCTCCGCATGATTCCTTTCGGCTAAGTTTGAGACTCACTGGTCCAGAATAGATACATTTTGGTGGGAGATTGTACAATGCCATCCGAGCCTCCAGTTCCAAAAATCAAGGTGCCCTCACCTCCTCAACTCCCTTTAAAAATAATTGCACTGTTAAGAGGAAAAACAAAATTAGAGAAGTGGGGTTCTGTTTTCTTTTAGGGGAGAGTTGTCCCTGAGACTCGGTAGCAGCACCTAGTGCTGAAACCTCTTTCGCTCCCTCTGTGCTTTCTCAGGACTTGGGAGCGCTCTAGGGCAAATATCTTCTCTTTGAAGGCCAAGTCCTCACGACTCAGCTGTCAGGTCTGAAGCAAAAACTGTAAATCTGGTTTCCGAACTGTGGCAAATGTCAGTCATTACAAGAAATTTCCCCAAAATGTTTATGTATACTGGTTTCTGCTTTTATTACGGCTTAGCTTGTGTTCCTTTAATTATGTGACCGGTTAGGGTTTTGAAATAAAATGTCTCACGTTGCTTGAGGCCACACAATGGCAAATTCACCTGTGTTTTAAAGAGGCCTGAATGAGCGCTTTCTGGGGACTCTGTGAGTCTTCACACCTCCTGTTTGGGAAACTGCAAGGTTGAATCCCCTCCTACTAAAGGGGAAGGAAGAGGGGTTACTGGAGTTCAGTGGTCTGAAGTGTTACTGGAGTCACTGGAGTTCGAAAGTCTGAAGTGTTACTGGAGTTCAAAGGTCTGAAGTGTTCACTCAGCAGTTTCACAATTCTCCTTGTTTGTAATATTTTGCGTATTTTCCACTTGATGTGACAACTCTCCTGCCTCCTCTCAGCCCCACATGCTTGGACTTCCTTTCAGCATCCACCCTGCCTGGCTACTGCTTTCTTGTTTTGTGTTTTTGCGTTTAAATTCCCAGTCTTAGTTTTCTGCCCTGTCAAGTCCTGGTGGTCGGACGACAGAAGTTCTAGGAAGCTTCACCTGTGTGTTTTTGGCTACAGTTCTTTAGATTGAGTAGGCTGGGACTGGCTTGTGTATTGGTACTGTTAAAGCAAACTAAATACGGCCTGAGAAGGACTCCTTACTTCTATATTTGAATCCTTGTGAATGAACTGTAACCTAGCTTAATAGTCAGATGAGACTGAAAACCTAACTTAAGAGTATGCACTGGTAACAATAGCTAAGTTTGGCCAATCCCAGCAGCCATACTTCAACCATTCATATACTGCTGAGTGTTCAAACTATGTTCAAATAAGGCATAAGGCGAGCTGAATTATGTCTGAACTATGGTTCATTGGATTCTTGAGAAGTTATAAAATATTTTGGATTAAAAGATTTTCTGGTATAATTTTGAGAGTTTTTCTAGATTTGCTGAACACACACACATATTTTTGGAAGTCTTTTTAAAAATTTATTTTATTATTTTATTTTATTTTTTATTTTGAGACAGTCTCGCCCTGTCACCCAGGCTGGACTGCAGTGGCGCAATCTCGGCTCACTGCAAACTCCGCCTCCCGGGTTCACGCCATTCTCCTGCCTCAGCCTCCCGAGTAGCTGGGACTACAGGCGCCCGCCACCATGCCTGGCTAATTTTTTGTACTTTTAGTAGAGACGGGGTTTCACCGTGTTAGCCAGGATGGTCTCAATTTCCTGACCTCGTGATCTGCCCATCTCAGCCTCCCAAAGTGCTGGGATTACAGGCATGAGCCACCGCGCCCGACTTGGAAATCTTTTTAAAGATAGTCTGCAGAACAGGAAAACGTGCTGTAGTAAACAGAACTTTGGACTTTGAACTAGGAAACATGGATTGGAGTGTGGGCTCTGCCACAGGCCAGGCCTTGGAAACACACATAGGCACACAGTTTCGTTAGGAGAGGGACATGAGGCTTCCAGATGTTCATTATTCATGAGTCCCAGGTTAAGAACCTGTCAGAGCTCTGTTCTTGGCTTCTGTTTAAAGACATCTTTCAGTGAATTTAAATGATTATCCCCTAATTTATCTGTCTGGAATGCCATGCAGTAGAAAGATCACTAGACTAGAAGTCTGGAGAGACTGGTTCCAGTTAAGCTTTCATTACTGAGTCATCTGTGATCTTGAGGATATCATGAAATTTGCCTTTGCCTAAATGTCATCATATATAAATTAAAGAATGTTTGTTGAAGGGCTACTATAAGTCATGCATATTCTAGATGCTGGCGATATAAATCTAGGTACTAAATTATATCAGAGGGGTGTACTCTTAATGCATTTCAGGTTTGGGTTTACTGAAACAGATGCTGAATATGTTTATAGTCTCTTTTCCCCTAATCTTCACAGTATCTCGAGTGTAGATATTGTCGTTATCTGTTTTCTTTCTTCTTCTTCCCCTTTTTTTTTTTTTTTTAGAGACAGGGTCTCTGTCACCCAGGGTGGAGTGCCTTGGCCCAATCTTGGCTCACTGCAGCCTCAAGCTCCCTGGCTCAAGAGATCCTTCCTAAGTTTTGTATTTTTTGTAGGCATGGGGTTTCACCATGTTGCCCAGGCTGGTCTCAAAATCCTGAGCTCAAGCGATCTTCCTGCCTCAGCCTCCCAAAGTGCTGAGATTACAGGCATGAGTACCCGTTTTCATTATCTGTTTTCATGTGAGGCAAGTGAGATTGGAGATATTTGAATGTGAAAACACAGAGAGGAATTGTATGTGGATAAGGGCAATGTGGACTCTGGAGTCAGATTTCCTGAATTCATAGTTTAGCCCTGTTGCAGATGATAGTTTAGATCTGTTGCAGATGATGCATGTAACTTGAATTTAATCTCTGTGTGCTTCAGTTTCTTATCTGTAAAATGGAGTATACATAATAATGAGCTCATACATGTGAAGCATAAAAAATAGTACTAAACATGTAATAAGTACTTGAATTTTAAGTATTACTTGGAAATGGGGTTTGAAGTTAAAAAAATAACAGTAAAACTAACATTGAGCTTACTTGGTTCCATACACCTTCTAAGGGCTTTACTTCTACTAAGTCACTTAACTCTCACAGTAGGCACTATTATTATTCCCATTTCATCAATGAAATAGGCCAAGATCACATAGCAAGATTAGTGGGTGGTGGAGCTTGGGTTGGAAGTCAAACAGTCTGACTCTGGCCTCCACTCTTAACCACGACACTGTATTGTTTCATGTTCATTTACTATACCCTTACATTCTCGAAATAATACAAATACATGTTCACGTTAAAATGATTCTCTGGGATGACTCTGAGCTATTTGCCATCTTTACTTTTTGTGCTGGGTAAAGTATATCTAAGATGGAAATAAAGATTGGGGTATTTTCTGCATTATGGAATAAAATAAAATTGCTTTTGTCAGATGTTTTCAAATAGTGACTAAGTGCCAAGTAATTGACCATACTACTACTTTCTTCTGGATCTTTTGTCTACCATTTCTTAGTTGTGAACATAAATATGTCATGGAATTATAATGACAACTATGTTGGGAAGAAACAACCACCAAAAGATAACTCACCCCTTTCACCTTAACGTATCAACTGTTTCACCTTATTATCCCAGCTTTGGGTTTTATTCAGTTGTAACATATTGGTAGAGTTTAAAGTTTGCATCCTACCTGTTTACTCTGTGCTTCTGGTGTAGTACATGCTACTTTGTCACTTCTGATGTGTTTCTAGTCATAATCAGAGTAAACTCAAAAACCCAAAAGTGTGGAAAAAAATCTCTTTATTAAAACAATTTGAACATGGTTTATAAGGATCATTGAATATATATATATATAAATGATGTATAAACAAACTTGGAAGCCCTTCAGTATGGGAGTTCAGATTTATTAGCTGTGTATACTTTAACAAATTTTCTATTTGACCCAGCACTGGTTTTTCAATTCTAAAATGAGGACCATAATTCCCAGTTCGGAGAGCAGTTTTGAGAATCAAATGACATAGTATATTTAAATTGCTTATCACAGTGCCTGGCACATAGAAAATACTTAATAAAGAGAGATACCACTGTGATTATTTGTTCTAGTATTACCTTCAATAAAGGAAACTTTCTTGGCCGGGTGTGGTGGCTCACGCCTGTAATCCCAGCACTTTAGGAGGCTGGGGCGGGCACATCACGAGGTCAGGAAATCGAGACCATCCTGGCTAACATGGTGAAACCCCGTCTCTACTAAAAATACAAAAAATTAGCTGGGTGTGGTGGCGTGCACCTGTAATCCCAGCTACTCAGAAGGCTGAGGCAGAAGAATCGCTTGAACCCGGGAGGTGGAGGTGGCAGTGAGCCAAGATCACGCCATTGCACTCCAGCACTGGAGACAGTGTGAGACTCCATCTCAAAAAAAACACACACAAAAAAAAACTTTCTTAAGATGATTTCCAAGTAAGGGTGCTATCAAATGGGCTTGGCTGCTTCCTAAAAACCCAATGGAAGCATCCTTTTTAACAACTGCTTCCCTTAATTTTATTAACATTTTATATGAGTATATGATAGAAGATGTACCTCTATTAAATAGCTTTTAAGAAGCTTTGGGAATTCCTATTTTTGGCTTAAAGCTTGTATTAGAGATTTATGTTCTTTGAATTAATGTTGAGAGGCAAGGTTTATAAGAAAGTAAGAGTGATATATAGTTCCTGGTTCTGCAGTCTACCTACTCACTGTGTAACCCTAACAAACGACATCATATTTATACGTCAATTTTTCTACAAGAAGAATGTAAATAATTTGTAAAATCTTAAACTCTTAAAGGAGACATGCTATTAAGACACAAGATGATGTCATCATTGGCCTCTCCGAAGGGTATTTTCATACATTTTATTATGGAAACATAGCTTTGCTAAATATTCTTTGTTAGGTTATCATGCTGATACTAATACTGAGCTCATCGGTTCTTTTTTTTTGAGACGGAGTCTTGCTCTGTCGCCCAGGCTGGAGTACAGTGGCACGATCTCAGCTTACCACAACCTCCACCTCCCGGGTTTAAGTGATTCTCCTGCGTCAGCTTCCCAAATAGCTGGGATTACAGGCGTGTGCCACCACACTTGGCTAATTTTTTATATTTTTGGTAGAGATGGGGTTTCACCATGTTGGCCAGGTTGGTCTCGAACTCCTGACCTCAAGGGATCCACCTGCTTCAGCCTCCCAAATTGCTGAGATTACAGGCATGAGCCACCGCGCCCGGCCTGAGCTCATCAGTTCTGACACACTTAAGTAGTAAATTGTTCCTACAGTTCCTTGAAGCTCATCTTCTCACAGAGAAGGACTGTATTTAACTTCGAGGCTTATGAACATTTAAATTACCAAGGCTTTCCTCCATCACAGGGAGGAACAACCGTCTCTAGTCTTAATATAAATATTTTTATGAGAATTCCAAAAGAGAACAAGTAGATTTATCTGCATTTTTTGTGTAATCAACAGGACAGTTTTGGCATGTGACTGACTTACACTTAGACCCTACTTACCACATCACAGATGACCACACAAAAGTGTGTGCTTCATCTAAAGGTGCAAATGCCTCCAACCCTGGCCCTTTTGGAGATGTTCTGTGTGATTCTCCATATCAACTTATTTTGTCAGCATTTGATTTTATTAAAAATTCTGGACAAGAAGCATCTTTCATGATATGGACAGGGTAAGTGATTATACAAGTACCATTAATTACTCAATATTTATTTACAGTGTCCTAAGCTTCATAAGAGTGCTGAATTCCATAATAAGATTAGTTACATTTTAAGAGTTATTTGAGTTAAAAAAACACTAGGTCAAACTAATCAACATTATTAGAGGTAAGAACAATTTTAGAAGTGTTTTTTTTTGGAATACAGATTTCAGAAATATGTCAGTGTTAACTAAGAGATGAATCCATAAACAGCACACTTGCATCAATATCTTGAGGTGTTGATATTAGGTCTTCATGAAATTATCAAAGACAAAAGGCAATAATGGAAGTTTACCTGTCATGACAATTTTGTAAAGCATCATCTTCTGGCAGTATAACTAACTGGTTCCCTTCATCATTATAGGGTGAAGAGGCCCATATTTCTTTACCTGGAATAATGACCATGGCTAATACTTGTAGAATATTTACTTGGGGCTTGGCACTGTTTTAATTAACTTATACATTGTAACTTATTTAATTTTTACAATGGATATTATTATTCCCATTTTACAGATGAGGAAATGAAGGCACTGAACATCTAAGTAACTTACGAGTATACACAACTAGTAATTGGCAAAGCTGGGATTTGAAATAGGCATTTGGGCTCTGGTTCAATTGGCATCTGCTTTTAATTATTGCAGTTTTTAGCCTCTTATAAATCTTCAGTCAGGTAGTGAAATAGGCTGGGATTTCCAGCTTATTTTTTGTATTATATTTTGTTAATTTTCTTTTATAGGATTATCTGTAGGGTAGAGGTAAGTGAAGAGTAGTCTATCAACTCTTTAGCTGTAATCTGCTGTTTTAAAATGGAAGTCTGCAGTGATAGGTATAGCAACGCATCATGCATAAGTCTAGTAACTCTTTATGAAACTGATTTTGTTCTTTACAATCTCTCTCTTTTTTCAGGGATAGCCCACCTCATGTTCCTGTACCTGAACTCTCAACAGACACTGTTATAAATGTGATCACTAATATGACAACCACCATCCAGAGTCTCTTTCCAAATCTCCAGGTTTTCCCTGCGCTGGGTAATCATGACTATTGGCCACAGGTAAATTTGATAGACTTTCAGAAATGCTTAAAGAATTTTTCCTATTAGTAGTGTCAAAATTGTGACAATAACTAGCTAGTGATAGGGCATGGGAATGGGTCTTATAGAGGGAGAATATGGTCTTAATCCTAACCATCAAGAAAGGCAAAGACAAGTACTTCGGGGACTGTAAAAGTAATCTTTTAATACTTCATGAGAAGTTGTATCAATAGTGAGTTTTCAGAATAAAATTATCCAGTTTGTGGATGATTAATTTATGTTTTCCTTCATAATCTTCTTCAATTTCTCTTTTCTTTTGAGTAATGTTCTGGTTCATTTGCATGTCCATGACAAGGTTAGCAAGTAAGGTTAATATTGATAAATATTTACTTTTTCCAGAATTCTTATTAGACCTACAAGGATGTGCATACCCTGATGTAAGCTAGACTGTAAATAAAAACAAAAACTTACAAATTGCCATAAGAAGCAAAGAGGAAGGAGGTCCATGTTCAAGTCATAGTTTATCTAATTAAGACATGATTCAAGGCAGAAACCATGTTCAGAGCATTTAATGCCTGAGATACCCCCGGCTCAACAGGTTTTTATTTGAGAACCAACCTGTGCATAACAGCAAGATGGCCGTCCGGTTTACAGCATCCTATTGTAGTAGTGTAAAATCTTAGATTTGTACCCAGAGATTTTTGTTTAAGTCCAGGGCTGGGCAATTGTCTCCTGTGGTACAAATTCAGCCTGTTGCTTGTTTTTGTAAATAAAGTTTTATTGGAACACAGCTATGTTTCCATTCATTCTACATTGCTTTTGATTGTTTCATGTTTCAGAATAGAGCAGTTGAAATGGATAGAAAAAGTTTGCTGACCCCTGGTCTAGACCTACCCTTCATTTTGTAGGTGAGAAAATGAAGGCTCAGAAATGTGAATTACTTGTCCAAGTGCTCCACATCCCTTGGGAGCAGAGCCCATACGCTAGATCTTTTTACCTCAGATCTGTGTTCGCTTAAACCAACATCCTTTTGCACATCCCTTGCCTTGCCTGATTAACATACTCAATATTTCCCAAACATATCTACTTTCACGCCTCTCTGTGTCCACATTTTTCTCTTTGCTTAGAATATCTTCCATCTCATGTCAAATGAATGCTGAACGGGGGTTTTGATTATTTTTAGTTAATCGAACCTGAATACAGTAATTTTGATGAGTTGTATTCTAGAATAAGCTTAAGTTTCCAGTGACTTCTTGTCCCTGGCCTACTATCTTGAGATGAGTAATATGTGAGTCCTTTTGAGTCAGCCTGTCAACGAGCATTTGTTCCTGTTGATATGTTAGACCACACAGTGAAGAGGCTTGGGAACAAATGAGCTCCAGCAGCCCAAGGTCACACACATTGTGTTTATATGCCTTAGGTGGCAGGAAGACTGGAATATTGGAAAACACAGGTGTTCATAGTCACTAGAATGTAAATCTTTAACCAGCCCTGCTTTCCACTCCCTCCCTCTCCGCCACCACACCTCCCTCCCAGCCCTGCTTTTAATAGCTTGGCCAACTCGGGTGATTCACTTAACCTCGCTGATGCAGAGATCACTCATTTGTACATAGAAGCTAGAAATACCTACCTTGCAAAGCTTTTGTGAGCATTGGTGATATGAAAAAGGCATAGCTTACTATCTGGCACAGCATCAGCCCTCAGTAAGTGGGCTGGTGGTGATTGTCACATTAAGTGGTGACAGGGGATACATGTTTGTAACTCCTTTGAGGATTTGTTTGATTTTATTTTTATCTCTGTCCTCTTTTTGTCAAGTCAGATCTTACAATTCAAAGACAGAAATGCTACCTAACTTCTATAACATATCCTATTATATTAATATATACAGCTAGGGTAAATTGGGCAGCCTACATACCTTTAACAGTTAATTTTTTTTCTCTTTCTAGCTTATGATCTTATATCTAAAAATGTTCTTTCTGTTATTCTACTACCATCTTTCCACCTCACAGTTTCGGAAATGTCAAATGTAACATGAAAGCTCCACAACAAAATTTCTTAGAGGCTGATGTCTGAGATCTAACTCTGGAGAATGTTAGAAACAAATAAATTTCATAAGTGCTATTTTTCCACTGAAATTCTATGTTCATGCAGCATAGCTACATAAATATACATATACAGATGCATGTCCCCACCCATGACATCAGAAGTAGGTATCAGTGTGGACATCCTGGAGAATTCTTCCTGTTGCCACCCAAGGAAGGGTCCCCATTTACTCCTACACTGGCAAGACTGGTGCCACCGAATTTGTGGGTAGGTCACTTTCCATTAGGCTTCATTTCTCAGCAGTGGTTATGTCACAGCCAAAAAGGACTGGGAAGGAAACATGGTGCAATAGACAATTGACTGTGAGAGTAATCATGGGATTTAGACCAGCCCTGAGACTGACACCTATCCCTGGATAAGCCATCTAACTTCTCTGGTGCTTGTGTTTCTCATGTTTAAAATAGAGAAGAAAGTCTAAGTGATTTTTACATAATTCTAAGCTTCTCCATCACCACACCATACTTGGCATCCATCCCAAAGTAAATAAATGGCCAAGACTTTATGGCTTTTTATTATATGATGATAACGATGCGTACCAATTTTCAATCAGAATCTAGATTGGCCTAAGCTGTTGTGTAATTCTCAGACAGGCGACCCTGATCTTGGACACAAACTGAAAATACATGTTTAGTCCAATTAAAACAAGTCATTTGGTTATTACTTGCCCTATATGTATCTATATGTTCATCATGTATTAGACGCATGTATCAAGAACTACTAGGACTTGGGCATCTTCTTGAAAAATAACTTTTGATAAACTCCTCTCAGAAATAGGTCTATTTTACCAATGTACAGAAGTAAATGAAGAGAGTGAAGAAGGGGTTTCAGTCATTTAACATAATTTTTTAAAACAAAATTAAAAACAATTATCCAATTCACAAATGATTTATGGGTTTTTATTCAGTATTTACTTTTTTTTTTTTTTTTTTTTGAAACAGGGTCTTTTTCTGTTGCCCAGGCTGGAGTGCAGTGCAGTGGCACAATCATAGATAAATGCAGCCTCGCCCTCTGGGGCTCAAGCTGTCCTCCTGGCTTAGCCTTTCAAAGTGCTGAGATTACAGGCATGAATCACCATGCCCTGCTTCAGTATTTAACTTTCTTAAAGTTTTGTTTGTTTGTTTTCCTCCAGGCGAGGCTCCCCATTTACTTCTACACTAGAGCTTATGTCATCCTGAAGATACTTTATGATAATAAAAATGTTTTGTACTTAAAATGTGTTATTTAAAAAATCAAAATATTTTGATATAATTTATGCTGCCCTAAAGAGACTTCTCCAAATCAAAAGCATGTGGTTGTAAATCTTTATTCAAAGAGTTAAGAAGCTTATAATAGTTTGAACAGTTCAGAAGACTTTGTTAAATTCTAAAACATGATGTTTTCCCGTTCCCTCGGCATGCTGCATCGGGCAGTGCATGTGCAGGCTCAAACCTGCCTTTGGCATCTCTTTAATGAGCACACTCCCACATCCTTCCCATATCCTAGCCATGCTAAAACATGAGCTTTTCTCTGTACATGGTACACACCTATGGAACTCTGTGCTTTTGCCTGTGCCTATGCCTATGCCTATGTTTGTATCTGGGCCATTGCATTTGCTTTGATGCCCTTTTGTTAAGTTGATAAAGTCCTTATTTAAGGCCTGGCTTAAATAGTCTCTTCACTCTCTAATTCCCTGGGCTACACCTTTTTTGTTTGTTTGTTTGTTTGTTTTTTTGTTTTTTGAGCCAGAGCCTCACTCAGTTGCCCAGGCTGAAGTGCAGTGGTGCGATCTTGGCTCACTGCAACCTTCGCCTCACGGATTCCAGTGATTTTCCTGCCTCAGCCTCCCAAGTAGCTATGATTATGGGTGCTCACCACCATGCCTGGGTAATTTTTGTGTTTGTAGTAGAGATGGGGTTTCACCATATTGGCCAGACACTTCTTGAACTTCTGACCTCAAGTGATCCGCCTGCCTTGGCCTCCCAAAGTGCTGGGATTATAGGCATGAGCCACTGCACCTGGCCCTTGGCTACACTTGATTGTTCTTGCTTCTAGGCTCCCCGGACCTCTGGGTAGTGCCCAGCACATTGTCTTATAGTTAATTGGTTACATTTTATCCCCCAGTCTCCAACTAAGTTATAATTCCTTGAAGATGAAGTCTATCTAATAATCATCCTTGCATCTCTAGATGCCTAACGTAGTAGTCAGTGCTCAAGTAGTGTTTACATTAATTCAGCTGTGTATCTTTAAATTTCAATGGTGGATTATATTGTTTGTGGCCAGGATCAACTGCCTGTAGTCACCAGTAAAGTGTACAATGCAGTAGCAAACCTCTGGAAACCATGGCTAGATGAAGAAGCTATTAGTACTTTAAGGAAAGGTAAGTGAAAGACTTAGTTATTCCTATTTTGCCTCAATTTTTATTCATGTTATTTAGACTTAAATTTTTAATGTTTGCTTGAGTGTGCCACTTCTGGAGCACAGCCCCCAGTTTTTGTGGAGGACAGTGAGTAGTAATGCTGCCTGTGACACAGGTCGTGAACCTGTTTATCTTGCAGGGAGCTCTTCCTGTTTTTCTTCTATTCTTTTTTCTTCTTCTACTCTTAATTAGGTAGGTATGTTCCCCATGGAGCAAAAGCTGAACTTTGGATTTGAATGTAAATAAAAGTGTATGTTTCTAATTGGAAAATTGATTGAGAAGAGAGAATGGACACTAACTTCTAACCAAGCAGCACAATTTTATAAAACAAAGAGCTGGTAAAGTGAGGATAACTAAGCTTTTAACATGGACTTTGAGGTGCTTGGGAAAGTAATGCATAATTAGTGCATAGTAAGGCCTTCCCTGGGTCATGTCTAAAGGCCCTCTGCTCCACTGGCTCTTGACACATCATTATGTAAATCCCTGACATTTTGTGAGCTTAACTGAGGTGTGCAGCTGTTAAACTAAGACTTTGGTGTTTTCA
Organism: Homo sapiens; assembly: GCF_000001405.40. Classification (NCBI taxonomy): domain Eukaryota; kingdom Metazoa; phylum Chordata; class Mammalia; order Primates; family Hominidae; genus Homo; species Homo sapiens. Next base: position 122,801,990 of record NC_000006.12, read on the forward strand.
GAATGTTGAGACAAATATTAAGTTAATGGCTAGACTTCTCTCAGTTAAAATACTTCTTTCGGTATTTTTGTTAACCCTTTGGCTTTTGCCACTATTTTGTTATTGTTTTTGCTAGCATGCAGCAAATCATAGTATATATGAATTTGAGACATGATAGCTTAGAATTAGACTATGGTTCTGATTAATCTAGGGAACTATATCTAGTCTTTTTTTTTTTTTTTTTTTTATTAAGATGGAGTTCCACTCTTGTTGCCCAGGCTGGAGTGCAATGGCATGGTCTTGGCTCACAGCAACCTCTGCCTCCTGGTTTCAAGCGATTCTCCTGCTGCAGCCTCCTGAGTAGCTGGGATTACAGGCACCTGCCACCACACCTGGCTAATTTTTGTATTTTTAGTAGAGATAGGGTTTCACTATGTTGGTCAGGCTGGTCTCGGGCTTCTGACCTCAGGAGATCCACCTGCCTCAGCCTCCCAAAGTGCTGGGATTACAGGCATGAGCCACCGTGCCCGGCCTATGTCTAGTCTTACACTTCACATCCTACAAGACACGTGGAGAGCTTATGCAGGTTGAAGGGAGAGCCATAAAGAATGATCAAGATCCCTAAAGAAATGCTCTGCCTTCTAAGGAGACTCAGCATAAAGCAGGGGAGGCAGAAAAAAGCTGAGAAGTGGAATGCAGGCCCTAAGAAAAAGCCATATGAGTTTCATAATGATATCCATTCCAATGATAGCCCTCAAAGATCCAGTTAAACACTGGAGTATAATATTAAGTTAAAAATCATAGAAGCCATCCTGAGAAAGTCTTAAAGGCAAAAGTGATTTGGGGCAGAGATGTCTTGCATGAGGGGCCTCAAACTTTGTCATCCCAGAGGCCCTAGTGAGACCTGTTGTCATTTTCTACTACTTGGACATGAAAGCAGCTTCTCAAAAATAACTTCTGACAAATTCAAACCCAACTGACCTGCTAGTACCATAATAAAAATAATAAGGTGTTGTGACTACAAGAAAGAATAGAGAAAATTAAAGGGGCAGTGATCCATCATGATTGAAAGCTAGGGAAAGCCGTGCATAGTGAGTAGGCTCAGGGCAAAGAAAGCTGGGCCAGATCTTAGTGCCCAGCTCTGAAAGTGCCATTGCAACAGACCCTTGGGTGTCCCACCACCAGTGGTTCAGAGGCGTGGGTGGAATGATGCCTTTAAACCTCCTCTCCCCTGAGATTGTAGCAGCTGTGGTTTGTCTGACCTTTTTTTCCGAGTAGTCTCTAGCAAGATCCATATGTGTTACCATTTTTTGGATTTTATATTTCACAATGTCTCTCATCTTAAGCCCCTAATCATAAAAGTAGAAGTTGATGTGTAAATCTTTCTTTCATAAAACTCAATCTCATTGCTTACTGCCGAAACACTTATTTATCTTTTCATGTGAATATTGGATACAGCTGTTGTTATCTCAATATGTTGGAAGCGATAGCACGGGGCCTGGCACCATAGCAGGTTTGCAGTAAATGCTTGCTAAATCTGATTCTTATCTAATGACAGCCTATCTATGTGCAAACTAAACAATGAGAAATAAGCACCAACCTCCTGACTGGATTGTAAACCTCAGGAATTTGCTTTCACAATGTTTGTGTGTATGTGTATGTTTTCCTAAATGTGTTTTAAAATTGTTTTTATAGGTGGTTTTTATTCACAGAAAGTTACAACTAATCCAAACCTTAGGATCATCAGTCTAAACACAAACTTGTACTACGGCCCAAATATAATGACACTGAACAAGACTGACCCAGCCAACCAGTTTGAATGGCTAGAAAGTACATTGAACAACTCTCAGCAGAATAAGGAGAAGGTAGATCCCATAGACCAAAACCATCTGGGAATAAACGGAAGGCAAAATTTGTATGTTTATTAAACTCGGGGTAGACTCCAGTATCAATAAAAGTATTATAATTTGAAGATTTTTTTTGCATAAACACTTTACAACTCATGGATTTTCTTTCTTTTTTTTTTTTTTAAATTTCGAGATGGAGTCTTACTCTGTTGCCCAGGCTGGAGTGCAATGGCGTGGTCTCGGCTCACTGCAACCTCTACCTCCTAGGCTGAAGCGATTCTCCTGCCTCTGCCTCCCCAGTTGCTGGGATTACAGGCACCCACCACCACGCCTGGCTAATTTTTGTATTTTTAGCAGAGACGGGGTTTTACCATGTTGGCCAGGTTGGTCTTGAACTACTGACCTAGGTGATCCACCCACCTCGGCCTTCCAAAGTGCTGGGATTACAGGTGTGAGCCACTATGCCTGGCCAACTCATTTTAGTTTTAAATTTTTTTTTTTTTCAGAGACAGGGGTCTCACTCTGTTGCCCAGGCTAGAGTGCAGTGGTGTGATCATGGCTCACTGCAGCTTCAGCCTCCTGGGCTCAAGTGATTCTCCCACCTCAGACTCCTAAGTAAGTGGGACTACAGGTGTGCGCCACCACTCCTGGCTAATTTTTTTTTCTATTATTTTTTGTAGAGACAAGATTTCACCATGATGCCCAGGTTGGTCTCGAACTCTGGGGGGCTCGAACTCTGCTTTGGCATCCCAAAGTGCTGGGATTACAGGCCTGAGCCACCTTGCGTAGCAAGTTTTATTTTGTTTTGCTTTTACTGCTTTTAGGATTAGTGGACATCTATTGGTATAAAAAGAGGCCAATTCAAAAAATTGTGACTGAAGTCACAGTTGCCTTATATCATCAACAGTGTACAAATATAGTGACCCTAATAGTTTTATAATTTCATCTCTTTTTCTTATAAATAGAAGAGATGATATATTTGCTTTCTAAATTTTAATTAATATACTTTCAATCTTGGGTATCCAAATGTCATTTAGTTATGATGAATGTGCAGAAAGATTCTCATGAGGCCTTTTTGTGTTTCTTTTTCCAGGTGTATATCATAGCACATGTTCCAGTGGGGTATCTGCCATCTTCACAGAACATCACAGCAATGAGAGAATACTATAATGAGAAATTGATAGATATTTTTCAAAAATACAGTGATGTCATTGCAGGACAATTTTATGGACACACTCACAGAGACAGCATTATGGTTCTTTCAGATAAAAAAGGTAATGTAATGCTGTGTTTGCATCTCCCCAGTCTAAGAGTCTAGAGCAAAGCGGTGAATATCCAGTAAATTTGCTGATTTAGTAAATTAAACGTTTTATTTAAAAATCTGCCAGCATTAGCCTTTTCTGAATTATCCTCAATGGTTGTATGATGAGTGTCCAAATCACAACATTAGGCCTGCAGCTGGATTTCTTCAACGTAAGCTCCTATTAGCTCCACAGGGCCAGCGTTACTTATTTGCTGTCAACACAAAAGCCTCAGAAACCCTCAGCTCACTCAAATGTTCTTTTAAATCTTCGAGTTTAAAGAAATATCACTCTATTTTAACTGCTACACTCAAGTTTCTTTTGATGCTACATGTTTTATTTCTCAGAATTTAGAAAGCAAAGCACAATTTACACAACGGCTTAAAATAAAATATATTAAGCTCTTACTTGCAAGTTCTTATTGATACATATATAAGCAGAGAGAATGATACAAACAAACCTCCTATGTACTCAACACTCACATTCAACATCTATCAAGATTTTTCAGTTTTTTTGTTTTGTTGTTGAGACGGAGCCTCGCTCTGTTGCCAGGCTGGAGCGCACCCTGCGATCTCGGCTCACTGCAACCTCTGCCTCCCTGGTTCAAGTGATTATCCTGCCTCAGCCTCCCGAGTAGCTGGGACTACATGTGTGTCACCACGCCCAGCTAATTTCACCATGTTGGCCAGGAAGGTCTCGATCTCTTGACCTAGTGATCTGCCCGCCTCGGCCTCCCAAAGTGCTGGGATTACAGGCATGAGCCACTGCACCTGGCCTTATATTCTTTTAATTTTTTGCTGGAGTATTTGAAAGTGAATCTCAAACACTGGATCCATTTTGGCACTACATATTCTATATTCATTGCTAAAATATATGGATAATTTACATAACCACAAACTTAGTTAACAAAATCAACAATAATTATCTGGTATCAATAACAAAAATGTCCCTATTTTCTCCAAATTGTCTCTTTACAGTTGTTTCAAGTCAGTATCCATTAGTGATCACATATCACTTGGTTATGTCTGTTAATCTCTTAATCTGGAAACTTTATATTTTTAATATAGTTAAACTCTTATTTAAAAATGTATGTTTATGTGCATACGTTTTGTTCAGGAAGTCCAGTAAATTCTTTGTTTGTGGCTCCTGCTGTTACACCAGTGAAGAGTGTTTTAGAAAAACAGACCAACAATCCTGGTATCAGACTGTTTCAGTATGATCCTCGTGATTATAAATTATTGGTAAGTTGGCAGATTTCAGAGCTGACCCCATATTTATGCATATCTTTGCAGTTTTCATTAATTTAGTTGAATTTTTCTCAGGACAGTCATGTGAGATGTATTTTATGTTGAAATCTCCTGGCATCCTTCTTCTTTTTTATACTTGCAATGTTATCAGGACTTACTAAGTGTGAGCTGATGAAGTTAGTCTTTGGAAGGCTGTTTCTGTTCTGTTCTTCTAAGGACTTCACATTTATTTAGATGCTTTCATTGGTTAGTGCCATGTTTGTGGACTTGTATACGTACTGAAATGTTTCACTAAGCCATGTTCATTCTTCTTCTCCAGAATATAAGTATCAAGAAGAGTGTAGGCTCTGTTACCATTCCCTCTCATGAGCCATTATTTCTAAACTTTTCTGTGTCCCAGTCTATTTCTCCATGAAATGGGAATTAAAATATTATTTAATTCACTGAGTTGCTATGAGGATTGCATGAACAAATCTATGTAAAGCACTTAGAAAAACGCTTGGCTCATACTAAATGCTTAATAAATGTTAACAAACAAGATTTTATTTTCAAGTTCTTGTTCTGTTACTCAGGCTGGAGTGTAGTGGTGCGATCATAGCTTACAGCAGCCTCAAACTCCTGGGCTCAAGTGATCCTCCCACCTCAGCTTCCCATGTAGGCGGGACTACAGGCATGTACCACCAAGCCCAGCTAATTTTTATAATCCTATTGTAGAGATGGGGGGGGGGGGTCTCCCTATGTTGCCCAGGCTGGTCTTGAACTCTTGGGCTCAAGTGATCCTCCCACATTGGCCTTCCAAATTGCTGGTATTACAGATGTGAGCCACTGGGCACACCCAAAAAATTTTTTTAAAGGAAAAAAATGGTAGCTCACGCCTGTAATCCCAGCACTTTGGGAGGCCGAGTTGGGTGGATCACGAGGTCAGGAAATCGAGACCATATTGGCTGACACGGTGAAACCCCGTCTCCACTAAAAATACAAAAAAGTTAGCTCGGCGTGGCGGCGGGTGCCTGTAGTCCCAGCTACTCGGGAGGCTGAGGCAGGAGAATGGCGTGAACCTGGGAGGCAGAGCTTGCAGTGAGCCGAGATTGCGCCACTGCACTCCAGCCTGGGCGACAGAGCGAGACTCCGTCTCAAAATAAAATAAAATAAAGGGAAAAAAATTGAATTGGATATTTGGGACAAAAGTTCTTTGGAGCAGCTTCATGGCTCCTTGCTTTAGAACAATTTAGCACAAAAGACTGGCCATTTAGCTTATGGGTACTTCAGTTTGGGTAACTTCCCCTTTCTACAAACATAATTTGAAAATAATTCACTTCAATTAAAGCCATTATTGGTATAACTGCTTTTTTTTTTCTGGATGAATTTAAATAGGAGATGGTTCTGTTATTCCCCAGAATAACAGGGAGGAGGTATGGTGGCAGAAATCTGGTTTTATTCATAAATATTTGATTAAATGGGAAAATGAAACAATTGTGTGATAAATTAGTCCAAAAGAATTTTTTCTACAACTTTCAGTTGCCTAATTTTGGATCTGAACCTCAGATATATACATCCACACACACACGTATATATCCATCTATATATGTGTTTATGTATCTAATACACAGCATCTGAGGTTCAGACTCCAATGTATATTTACGTGTGTACATATGTACTGATGTAGGAAGATTCTCCTGATATAGCACTAAATAATTTCTAAAAATATAAAAATAATTTCTTATATAATTTCTAAATAATTTCTTAAAACACAACAACATATATAGTAAGACTCCATTTTTTTGAAAAAGCCAAAAATGTAAATAAGTATGCACATTCCAAATATTTATCTTTGTTTTGATCTAAAGCCTAGATCACCACGCATACAATGGAGTACTGACAAATGTTTAACAACTATTCACTGAGGGGAAATGTGCCTTAATTGGTAGTGTTTGCCAATTTCCATGACAGAAATACTCACATCATGGACAATTTCAAGCTACCAAAGTGCCACAGATTGACTAGCAACATTCTTAAAAATTTGACAGTCGGCTTTTGTGAGCTGGTACGAGCTGCCTTCAGCACACCACTGATACACACAACCATTAGTGATGGTTACCTCTGAGGATGTGTGAATTGAAGGTTTTTTATTTTGTTCACCTCTCTTTATAGTTTGGATTACATGCTATTATGTTCTTTCATCATTTTTAAAATTGAAAAAGTGATACAGGTTTTTTATTGAGCCTCCCTTCCTCCCTCCCTCCCTCCCTTCCTTCCTTCCTTCCTTCCTTCCTTCCTTCCCCCCCTCCTCCCCCCTCCCTCCCTCTCCTTCTTTCTTATTTATTTATTGAGACAAAGTCTTGCTCTGTCACCCAGGCTGGAGTGCAGTGGCGCAATCTCGCAATCCCGGCTCACCGCAACCTCCGCCTCCCGGGTTCAAGCGATTCTTCTGCCCCAGCCTCCTGAGTAGCTGGGATTACAGGCACCCACCACTATGCCCAGCTAATTTTTTTTTTCTTTTTTGTATTTTTGGTAGAGATGGGGTTTCACCATGTTGGTCAGGCTGGTCTCAAACTCCTGACCTCAGGTAACCCACCTGCCTCAGCCTCTCAAAGTGCTAGGATTACAGGCGTGAGCCACAGCGCCAAGCCTAAAATGTCACAGAAATTTAAACATGAACGCTTCTTGTTGTACAATGCCTTATGTGCCAAAAAGTGAACCAGGTTTTGTTACTGTTCTTAACTGCAGGATATGTTGCAGTATTACTTGAATCTGACAGAGGCGAATCTAAAGGGAGAGTCCATCTGGAAGCTGGAGTATATCCTGACCCAGACCTACGACATTGAAGATTTGCAGCCGGAAAGTTTATATGGATTAGCTAAACAATTTACAATCCTAGACAGTAAGCAGTTTATAAAATACTACAATTACTTCTTTGTGAGTTATGACAGCAGTGTAACATGTGATAAGACATGTAAGGCCTTTCAGATTTGTGCAATTATGAATCTTGATAATATTTCCTATGCAGATTGCCTCAAACAGCTTTATATAAAGCACAATTACTAGTATTTCACAGTTTTTGCTAATAGAAAATGCTGATTCTGATTCTGAGATCAATTTGTGGGAATTTTACATAAATCTTTGTTAATTACTGAGTGGGCAAGTAGACTTCCTGTCTTTGCTTTCTTTTTTTTTTTCTTTTTGATGCCTTAATGTAGATATCTTTATCATTCTGAATTGTATTATATATTTAAAGTGCTCATTAATAGAATGATGGATGTAAATTGGATGTAAATATTCAGTTTATATAATTATATCTAATTTGTACCCTTGTTGAAATTGTCATTTATACAATAAAGCGAATTCTTTATCTCTAAATATGATGAAGTTTTCTTAACATGATAATTTTTAGTTAAAATCTGTGTATTAACTGAGGTCCAAATTGTTTACCTCTCATATGTAAACAGATGTTACCACTGTTTACATGCACTATCTACTCTTGGGAAAATACCATGGTCATTAGGAGCATGCTGAAACATCACAGGGCATGTATTGCCTAGCTTTCTTCATTCTGAGTCTTTGGCATTGCTAACTTTTAAGGATGAGAATGTCACACATACTTATTGTATCTGCAGTACTAGCACAAGGCCTGGGTCCTAGTCCAGTGCCTGGCACCTAGTAAATAATTGTTGAAATGAATTGAAAGCTGTGAATATTTTTCAAAGAAACGTCCTAGATTACAGTGGTGGCATTTTCTTTGTCACAGTATTCCAGGATAGGATAAAAATGAGCCTTTTATTTAATGGGATTGTTTTTAGGACTCCAATGGCTCAAGCTGTTTTCTGCTTTCAGGTTAAGTAGGAGAATTAAAGTAGAAATGGAAGGGAGAGTGGGAGGGACTGGGGGATTTAAAGGAAGAGAAGATTGTATATCCCAACACTGGCATAGTGGAGAAGACTGTTAAAGAAAAAAAGCTCATCATGACACTTGTTAAAGATGTTAAGGCAGATGTTATCCAAGGTAGGCCATAGTGGTAGGTATAGGGACCACTGCAATGGAATCCTGCAGTGAGGGAGAGAGAGTGGACTCAGTTCTGACTTCAACAAGGCTGAGTGGGGATTTATAACCAAGGAGCAGAGTGGGGATCAGTGAATGGAAAATTACCAGGAGGAAAAACATCAAAGGTAAGAGGTTTCTGGCTATTACCAGGAGGAAAAACATCAAAGGTAAGACGTTTCTGGCTATACCAACTTGATAGGATTATTGCCGAAGGCAGGCCAGTGTGATAGGATATCAAGGGCGGTCAGATACCAAGGGTGGGGCATTCTCCCTAAGCCAACTTAACAGGATTCTTGCTCAAACTGGATCCTGCAAGAACAAAGGAAGCCCAATGTTGGCCTAGTCAAGCAGAGGAATTGGAGGAGCCTGACTAAAGTTTTGGTCAAAAGAGAGAGTCTTTGTCAAGACATAAAATGAGCAACCTTAGATTGAGGAGAATGGAACTCATCATCCTTGTGACTGGCTTGACTTCATGTATTAAAATGACTTTTTGATGTAACATTGCATAATAATGAAACCAAATTATCCTGATTTCCAGAGAGCTAATAAAATAAGTATTACAAAACAAAGATATCATATCTAGGAAACAATCATGATTCATTAGGTAAACTTTCTTTTAAAATTTTTACTTTTTAGTTTTCAACAAACAAATTAGTATGTTTTAAAAGTGAGAATGCTGAAACAAAGCAAATTTTGTTATAAAGTAGTCACATCATTTAGAAAACTTCATGCCTGCAATAATATTTAAAGTTGGTATTTTCAGATGACTAGATTGTGTATTCATACTTTTTTAATTTTTAATTTTCCTGAGTACATAGTAGGTGTATATATTTATGGGGTACATGAGATATTTTGATACAGGCATGCAATGCGTAATAATCACATGAAAAATGGGGTATCTATACTCTCAAGCATTTATCCTTTGTGTTACAAACAATCCAATTATACTATTTTAGTTAGTTAGAAATATACAATCTTCATCTATTCTTATACTTACGGACAGAGGTTCTAAGAAAACAAATTTGCAACATGTAGGAAAATTTAGAAACAGTGAAAAGCAGATATGGTTTTAGCTGACTTGGAAAATGAGTCCGAGCACTGGAAATGGTTGCAGCGTTATTGTGGAGAAAATTTCTGCATCTGTTGGGGGTTTGGGGCAGTGAATATTTAGGGTCTATCCTACTTTATTCTAGAGTTTTTACATTTTTAATTACACATTTTTGTATTCAGTTTACTTTCCTCTTGAAATATAAATGATTTTAAAATCTGAGTGACATTTAGGGACATTATCAACAGTTAAATTGATGTTTCCATTGTAAAACCAGAGCATGTTACAATTATTTATTGTGGTTTATTTCAGATTATGTTCAAATAAATTATGAATTTTATTATGTCCACAGTAAAACTTATCTTAATTTGCCTCTGTTTATTGGTGGTGCTTTGGCAAATTCATAAACTGTATCCTGTTTAGATATAGACACTGCTACTTTGAAGATGGTTTTGAATGAACATTAACCATATATTGGTAGGAAAAAAGGGGGCCGGGAGCGGTGGCTCACACTTGTAAGCCCAGCACTTTGGGAGGCTGAGGCGGGCAGATCACGAGGTCATGAGATCGAGACCATCCTGGCTAACACGGTGAACCCTCATCTCTACTAAAAACACAAAAAATCACCTGGGCGTGGTGGCGGGTGCCTGTAGTCCCAGCTACTTGGGAGGCTGAGGCAGGAGAATGGCATGAACCCAGGAGGCGGAGTTTGCAGTGAGCCAAGATCCTGCCACTGCACTCCAGCCTGGGCAACAGAGGGAGACTCCCTCTCAAAAAAAAAAAAAGTGGGGGGAGTTGGGGGAGTAAAAGTGAAGAGAATAGGAAAGAGTCTTTAAATGAGGCACTGTTTTAGGTGAGTAGGAAGATTTAAGGGCAAACTATACCTTATTTATACACTCTGTCACACAGAGAGAAATATCTATTTGAATAAATTTTTTCCATTCATAATGGCTATACTCTCCCATAGTATGAACGGATTGGTTAAATTGAGCAGGCACCCCCACTTCTTAATATGCAGTAGAGGCATCTGCTTAATAAACTCAGCTGCTCTTCTGGTGGTGCCTAGCCTAGGACACAACTTGAACTTGTGTACAGACCTCTAACAGAGCATTCGGTTTCTCTGTATTCTTGGAAGATGAGCTGAATCCTTGTCACATCTGTCTGGAGTGACACTTTTAGGCAATGAGCTTTATGCCAAAAGGAGAAAGCTGGAACTTCATTAGGCTAATAGTATAGGTAATTTGACTATTTCTGGACCTGCCTGCTGAATAAAATCTATGAGACTTGCTTTCATTGTTAAACTCATCAGATAACAAAATTATAAGGGAAGAAGGGAATAACCTTCACTTTCCTCTTGCTATTGGAGCTACCTATAAATTTCAAAATAACCAAATAAGTGCAAATAGCTACATTAGGTCAGTTCTACAATGTTGAGTTGAGGATTAAACTTGCTATTGCTTAGCAATTTCATGCTAGGGATATACTAAAGTGTAAGCTTTCAAAAATATGCAGTAATAATCATGTATAAAATACCTGGGTTAGCACTGTTTGTAATAACAATAATAACAACAACAAAACATATAAACCTACATCAACAGGAAAATGGATCAGTGAAGTATTGTTTATTCAGAACGTGGAATATTATACAGAAGCAAAAATGAACGAGAATAAATGTCACAAGCATAATAATGAGATAAAAACAAATTGCCAAAGAATAAATACAATAAAATATCATTTACACCAAACTTTAAAAATGCAAAAATAATATATATTGCTTAGAGATAGATTTAGACAACCAAAAGAAGTATGTTAGTAAAATAAATATCAAGTACAGGTTAGTTGGAAGATGATGAACAGCATAGTTAATTGGGAAGAGACACATAAGGAGATTTAAATGTGTAGTAGCTATATAGATGTCTGCTCTATTTTTCTTAAATATGTGTATTCAGTATTATATAATCATTTGTTTTAAGGGTAAACAGAGGTCCATCCTTTAAAAATGATTAATTTCACTCTTGTAGGGAGAACGATTTGTTGGGAAAGCTTGGAGACATTGGAGAGTTTAATGAAATCTAGCTGAGAGCAGATTGTAGTTGGGCTGAGGAGGTGGCAGTGGAGACAGATAGTTCGGTTTATGATATATTTTGGAATTAGAAGCAGTGGGATCTGTTGCTGACATAGATGTACAAAATGAAATACAGAGAGAAATAAAGTTTGACTGTTGGATTTTTTGCTGGAGCAACTGGTAGATAGTGGTATCATGAGGGAGTTAAGATTACTAGAAGGATTCCTGGGGAGAGTGTGAAGGGCAGAGTGAAAGACTGAGGGTCTTATTGTGTGTTACAGCTAACCCAGACTACCCAAGAATCTTTCTAGTTCTTTAAATGCTTTGCTATTCTAATTATCTCTAAGTGGGAGGCTTTCTTTTAAAAGTTTCTTTTAAAAAATAAATCACTATCTTATAAAAGAAGCCTAACCAACCCAGCCTCAGTCTACTATGATTGTTTCTACAATATTTAAAATTTGTGCCGAGCACGATGGCTCACACCTGTAATCCCAGCACTTTGGGAGGCCGAGGTGGGTGGATCACCTGAGGTCAGGAGTTTGAGACTAGCCTGGCCTACGTGGTGAAATCCTGTCTCTACTAAAAATACAAGAATTAGCTGGGCATGGTGGCGGGCATCTGTAATAACAGCTACTCAGGAGGCTGAGGCAGGAGAATTGCTTGAACCCGGGAGGAGGAGGCTGCAGTGAGCCGAGATTTTGCCACTCCACTCCAGCCTGGGTGACAAGAGAGAGACTCCCTCTCAAAAAAGCAGAAAAAAAAAATTGTTACAGATAAACATGACTTACTTTATAGAAGTGTACCGTCTGCCCCATCCCTTCTGGTACTGCCTAAACCACGCTAGACAAATGCTGAGGAGATAAAGGAAAGGACAGATAAGATGTTTGTGTTTTTAAAATTTGTTTTAATTTTAATTATTATGGATACATAACAGTTATAGAGTACATGTGATAGTGTAATGCAAGCAGACAATGTGTAATGATCAGATCAGGGTAACTGGGATACCCATCACCTTAAGCAGGTATTATTTCTTTGTGTTAGGAACATTCCACTTCTACTCTTTTAGTTATTCGGAAATACACAACAAACTATTATCAACTATAGTTGCCCTATTTTGCTACCAAACACTAGATCTCATTTCTTCTATCCAACTGTATTTTTGTACCCATAAACAAAATGGGTACAAAATTTTGTACCCTCTTCATTCTGTCCCACCCCACCAACTACACTTCCCAGCCTCTGGTAACCATCATTCTACTCCCCACCTCCACGAATTCCAATTTTTTTAGCTCTCACATATGAGTGGGAACATGCTGTATTTGTCTTTCTCTGCCTGACTTGTTTCACTTAACATAATGTCCTCCACTTTCATCTATGTTGTTGCGAATCACAAGGTTTCATATTTTTATGTTTGAATAATATTCCATTGTTTATATGTACCACGTTTTCTTTATCCATTCATCCACTGAGAAACAGTTTGATTTCTTATCTTGGCTACCGTGAATAGTGCTGTAATAAACATGGGAGTACAGATATCTCTTTGATGCATCAATTTGCTTTCTTTTGGGTAAATACCTAGCAGTGGGATTGCTGGATCATATGGTAGTTCTATTTGTAGGTTTTTTTTTTTTTTTTAGAAACCTCAATACCGTTCTCCATAGTGGCTGTACTAATTTACATTCCCATCAACAGTGTACAAGCGTTTTATATATATGAATGAAACCTCTCTCTGTGTGTGTGGGTGTGTGTATATATATATATATAGAGAGAGAGAGAGATAGCTAGATATGCAAAGGACCTGAAATTATACATATGTATTATATATTTATTATAAATGTAAATAGAATATATTATATATTTATATAAAATATGCATGTTATATAAATATATCATATATTATACAAATAGATATCATATATTATATATAAATAGATATCATATATTATATATTATATAAATATATCTTATATTACATATTATATAAATAGATATCATATATTATATATTATATAAATATATCTTATATTACATATTATATAAATAGATATCATATATTATATGATATAATTATTATATATTTATATAGAGCCTCTCTCTATAGATGTTTATATATATTTATATATTATATTGATATATATTTATATATTATATTGATATATACATATTTATATATCTATATATTATATTGATATATACATATTTATATATTATATATATTTTTATATTTATATCTAAATATTTATATATTTATATCTTTATATATTTATATATAATATTTATATATTAATATAATATATATTTATATATAAAAATATATATATAATATAATTTTATATAAATATTTATATATTATATTTATATATACATATTTATATATTATATAGAGGCTCTCTCTGTATAAATATATGTGTATATGTAGAGAGAAGTTTTATATATATAAATTATATATAGTGAAAGGTTTTATATATATAAACATATATATTTTATAGATATAACTCCCCTTTTTCTCTCTATATATATGTGTGTGTATATATTTATATATGGAACCTCTCTTTCTCTCTCTCTACATATATATAATGTATATTATATATTGATATATCTCTGCATATACAAATGTATTTATATATTTTTCTATATATAAAATATATTTATATATGGGGGAGTTTTATATATATAAAATATAATATATAAGGGGGTTTATATGTATTAATGCATGTATTATTTTATATTATACTAATAATATATAATTATATGTTATTAAATTTTATATATAGCGAGAAAGAGATGGGGTTCTCTTGAACTCCTGGACTCAAGTGATCCTCCCACCTCAGCCTGCTGAGTAGCTGGGACTACAGGTGCATACCACCACACCTTGCTAGAAATAGTTTTAATTAAATTATTGATGAGCTATCTAATTTTTTTGGTGGAAAATGGGTTCCCCTCTCATTTAGAGTCCCCTACTTCGATTAGTTCTCCTTGGAGCAATTATATCAATTAGCATAATGTGGGTAATCACTCCATGGAACACTGGACAAAATAATGAAAAGATAAGGATCATATCTATTCTATGACTTCGATTTTCTAAGATATACCTAAAGTTTCTATTATACAAAATTATCCTTATTAAAAGTCAGCATGATTCAGCATCCTTACTCATTAATAGAATGAATTTCTTTCTATAATATGTATTAGTTCTTTAATTTAAAAAATTTAAATCAGTATAAACTTTTTATCTTTTATTGTAAAACTCCAGATCCTTTGCATGCTGTTCTATATATAATGCATTTCCTTTTGAAAGTTTGGTGTCCCCAAACTTTTAAGAACGAATGATTCAGGAAGATGGCTGTGAATATCCCCTGACCATTGCCTTGTAGGCCTGGAGGACTCCTTTTCATACAAGACCAGGGAATGATATGGCTCTATTGGTTTCTGTAGCTTTTTTTTTCTTTTTCAATGCAGATTCCTTCATCTCCCATCACCACCCATATTCTAATTAATTGAAACAGATTGTCAGTTTCTAAACACAAATGCAATACCCATATCTTTACCTTTTCTCATATTATTCCTTTTCCCAGTCTAAACTACCTTATTTCTTCCTCTCCCAAACTACTATTTTTTTCTAGAAGACCCAACATAAAATTTACCTCTATTGTTAAGACTTATCTAACGTTTTTAGGTAGAATTAATCTTTTCTTCTCGAGGCCATCGTAGCACTTTACTTACAATCAGTAGTGCCACTGATCACACCTCCTCTTCTCTATCTTCCTCACCGCCATTAATTCTGAGCAAATAAGGGCTCTGCTTTACTCGATTTTGTATCCCTACTGTCTAACACAGTGCTTGACAAATAGGTAAGGAAGTGTATTAGTCTGCCTGGCACCACAATAAAATGCCATGGACTGGGTGGTTTAAACAAGACAAATTTCTCACAGTTCTGGACATGCCAAGATCTAGGTGCCAGCAGGGTCAGTTTCTGGTGGGGCCTCTCCTCTTGGATTGCAGACAGCTGTCTTCTCTTGGTGTCCCCACATAGCCTTTCCTCTGTGTGTTCTCAGAGAGAGAGCACGTAAGCCCAGAAGTGAGTGAGCTCTTGTCTTTTTCTCTTCTTATAAGGACACCAGCCCTATCAAATTAGGGGCCCGCTGTTATAGCCTCATTTAACCTTAATTACTTCTTTAAAGACCCTATCTGTAAATGGAGTCACATTGTGGGTCAGGGCCTCAGCATATGAATTTTCAAGGGGGCAAATTTCATTCTGTAACGGTAAACTTTATAATAAAATGTGTTGGATGAATGACATTATTCTTATTTTCAGAAATGTTTTCCTCAACTACTTGCAGATGTCTAAGTTCCTTTAGAAACAGATTAAACTTTGAGCAGCAGAGATGAATGGTTTAAGATAGAAATGTTTGGATGAGGCAATTTATTGAAAATCATTTACTCTAAAGTGTAATGAGTTGATTAGTCACCATCCTACGTGACTGAGTGCACCTCGTTCCAGTTCACACAGAGAGGATGGATTCTGGCATTGGAGGGTTGGGGAAAGTGAACTGTAACGAGAAAGATGGGGTAGTGAGTTATTAGAAAAGAAAATACAAAATATTATCTCATGTTCTGATAGTGATGAAGACTTAGTGACTAGGAGGTCATTTGGAGGTGATATAATAAAGCTATCATGGCCAGAACTTCTAGTTAGAGGCATATGAGACTGATCCCAGCTCCTCCAATTTTTTCAATTGCAGCCAAGTTATTTACCTATCTGTAATTCAATCTGTCTCATCAAATAAATGAGGATTATAATATCACCTAATTTACAACTTTGCAGTGGTGGTTAAATAAAAATATATAGTGCACATTCCAGTTTCTGGACATAGTTAGCATTATGAGAAGTTAGAAATATTAAGACTATTTTTAATATTGTTAGATGCTCAAAGGAGGTGTTAGTGTTACAGCACTGAGCATAATAGACAAAGATTCCTGCTCAGGTAGAGCTTGCTCTAGTGCAACATCTGTGCATGTGTGTGTCTGTGTGTCTGTGTGTCTGCTTGTGTACAGCTTCGAAATAACACTGATTGTCTTTGAACCACACCACACATAATAAAAATGATTTAATAATTAATGTCTTCTTACAGGGTCACCTTCAGTGTAATGGACTTCATTCCCAGAGCACTAATTAATAGGGGCTGTGATTGTCAAGGCACAAAACAAAAATGCTGGAAATACTGTCAACTGTATTACAAAGATGTCCACTTGAGTTTTAAATATTTGGGAAGAATGATGAAAAGTTACTAAAATAACTACTTTGTCTAAAACCATGTAATTATATAAACATGGAAATGATTATCATAACATAGAAGAAAAATCTATTTTCTAATTACTTTCATTGGCAGATTTTATTATTTCGCTGATCAGTGTTGAGGTACCTGTCTGATACTTACAAAATCCCTTTTTATGGATGTGCTTCAAAGCATTTATTCTCAGATCACTCAGACTGCAAATGGAATTGTGCTTGGAACAATGACTAGTGTTATGTGGAGCATTTTGCTATAGTGTTCATTTGTCTTCTTTCCTGTTAAGCCCTTAAATCGCTGCCAAGTGGTGTCAAAGAACCATAGCAACAATAGGAGTTAGTTTCTATTCACCTGAAAATTCATTAATCACAATTTCCCTTCAAATCTAGCTAGAATCTTTAGCTGAAATTTATGTAGTTTTTTATAATCTTTTGTTTGGGAAGGGTTGGTAGTAATTATCTTAGAATATATAAATATTAAATCCTTTGAATATAAAAAATGACTTTAAAAATTCCAAATACCATTTACTAATTATTTATATTTTAATCAATATGTTTGTTTCACCAGAAAGAACCAAAATCTTTCATTTGAAATCTTTGTGCTTTGGAAGCAAAACAAGATTACTTCAATAAGTGCACATTTAAGATTCCTATTTATATTCTTCAATGGGTGTCTGTAAGCCACAGATAATTAAATTGGTGGTTCCTTTGTTCAGAGGCTACAAATGTGTTTATTTAAGTTACTCATATGTTCAACAACTGTTTTTGTAAAAAGGAGGAGTGGGCTCATACATTTATTCATCAAGCATTTTCTTGGAGCCTGTTATGTGCAGGGCCTGAGCTAGGTAGGGAGTACAAAGATAATTAAAATATGAAACAAAAGGGAAGATAAATACATATGTAGACAAATAAAAAGAATATATAGTAGAGAAATTATGTTGATTGAGCTGGCACATTTTGCTCAGTTCTTTGTAGTTGTGGTGTTTTGTAGTTTTGATTTGCAGTTTTCTGCATTCAATTGAGGATTTTAATAAGTTTCTTTAATTTAGTTTTGGTTCTCATGATGAATTATTTTAGAAATATAGTACCCCTGTGAGTCTTAAGGCAGTGTTTTCTTTCCTTTTGTTGTTAGTTTTCTATAATATTCATGGCGGACCTTTTCTGTCAGCCAGCTTCAAATGATGTACGCCTATTTCTGTATTTTACCAAGAGAAACAAAAGAGTGTTTTCCATTTGTGAAGTAGAAATAGTAATAGTACTTCACATAGAGTGGTGTTGTGATGATTAGAGTTAATTGTTTAAAAGCGTAACAATGTCTGGCACATACTAAGTGCTACAAAATGTAGTTAAATAAAATAAATAAAATAAAATATACCTTATTCCCCATTCCAGTCATTGTCTACCTGGTGGTTGTGGTTGACCTAAATCAACTTACTCTTTCTTTTTGGTAGAAATGGTAGCCATCCCAAAATTCTTGGGTTTCAAGTAAAAGTGAAAGCAAACTTCAGCTGAATTATACCACATATACAGACATTTATTAACTAAATATTGATTAGTAAGAGAACATATAAAACAAAAATTGAAACAAATATTTTGTACAACTCATTTTATAGTTTCTAGATAGCTCCAGTTCTCCAGCCATGAAGTGCTTTGAGCACTAACCTGAATGAAAGATTTGCTAGAACCAAATGGCAAAATTCTAGAGACAAGACATTTCAGCTTTGTAGACTCTCAGATGCTCAGAATCAGGGTAGTGAGGCACATATCACAGGTGCAAAATTTAAGTAAGTGCCAAAAACTCAGTAATCAGGAGTAGTAATATTTCTAAAAATAATTCTTTTTTAAAAAAGAATTTATTTATTTAGAGACCGGGTTATGAGACTGGCTAATTTTTGTATTTTTGGTAGAGACAGGGTTTCACCATATTGCCAAGACTGGTCTCAAACTCCTGGCCTCAAGTGATCCACCTGCCTCAGCCTCCCAAAGTTCTGGGATTACAGGCATGAGCCACTGCACCCCACCAGGAGTGTATTTTAAGGCAGGATTGAAAAAAAAATACAAAACAAAAATCATAAAGAAAATATCAAAATGTTACATAATGGGAGGCTGTTGTTTGTTTTATGTCTCTGGGTTACTGTGCAACAAGAAAAGTTATATCCAAGTAACCAATGGTTCTGGGGCTGCCAGATGGCTTTATAGGGGTTGACAATGGCATGCAATCCCCTTGGGCAACACAGAGGATAATGTGGAGATTTATATATAGCCATGTTCTTTCATTGTAGAGATGTTATTAACTTTTTTCACTTAGTTCAAAATACGGGAGAATATTTTTGTAAATATATATAGGGGCACACTTCTTTTCTTTGCTGAACTCAGATTCCAGTATGGCTTGATGGGGCACTACTTAGATCCCTCAAGAGTTCACTTCTGGAGGTAGGAGGGGGTAGAGATTTAGTCCAAGGCATTATCCCTAAAGGCAAGACTTCTGGCCTTTCAGCGTTCTTCTACTTTGTCATGCATATTAGGAGGAGTGAGTGTCTCTGTAAAACAAACAAACAAACAACCCAAAAAACCCAAAACTACATACTTCAGGTATTTTAAATTTCATCATTGAGAGTTTCATCATGCTACATGCTAATCCACAGGCCATTATTTCCACCAATAAAAACCCATTTCTGAGATCCAATATGCTAATTAGCAAAGAGTAACAGTTCCTGATTAGAGCTCTCACTGACTGCCTATGGGCCCTGCATTCTTGATGGTAAATTATGTGACCACTCCCAAATGTGAAATTTGGATTACAGTGAAACTGACCCTAGATTTGAGTTGGTATCTTCTTTTGTCTCTACTGTTTGGTTGTCTGAGATGCTAAAACATCAGAATTACGGGAAAATCCGTAATTTCCCACATGGAGTAGTATTGGGCTCATCTTGACTCCATACATACATATAATTTTATTTAAGGAGACTACATCTCCCAGAGTTCTACAAACATTTCTCCTCTATAATTCTTGCCCAGTTCTTTTCTAGGAATTGTAGTCACTAATTTTACATAGAAAGAGATAGACTTACTGAGGATGCAGGGAGACCAACACATAGGTTTCTGCACTCTGTCTGGTGAGAGGTATATGCCTTGATTTCTGGCTGGGTATTATAAATGCCTTGTATTTCTGTGCCAGTGGCAGATAGAGGGGTAAAGACAAAGCATTTTCTTTTTCTTTCAAGGCAGCAGATTTTCATTGTTTGAGTGTATATTGTGCAGGGGTCAGTAATTGTCTCCCCACCCAACTGCCAGTTGTAATTCTTTTCAGATTCTGGCAACAATATGACTCTTAGTCCTGGTCAGTTAACTTATTCTTTCATCAAATGTTTATGGAATTTTTCCTACATACTAGGTGCTATTTTAGGCACTGGGAACACAGATAAAATAAGCCTGCCTTTATAAAGCTTAAATTCTTGTTTTGCCTCTTCATCTCATTCTGTGAATTCATGGATAGGAATAAGAAGAGCTGCTAGATAGATATCATTTGACACTGAAGCCCAACCTAAAACACTTTGGCATATCTAGTGAATTTCAAATATTAGGGTAATCAGTTTGATCTTTTCTCATATCCATAAATTACTCATTAAGGAAATTTAAATTGTTAAATAAAGTTGCACAGCATTTTATATATCTTCTACATGGACTTTTAACATAATTCATTTAGTATTTTAATGTTTCAGAAGCATTTCAGTCCATCCACCACATTATTTATGGGCAGAGTTGGCTCAGAAAGATTAAATTAACTGCTTAAGGGATATTCCTAATTAAGTAAAGAAGCTGAAACTCAAACCCAAGACTTCTGACTTCAAGTTCAGTGATAATTCCATTATACTAGTCAAATATGCAGTTTCCAGCACTTTCCATGTTGATGAATAATTCATTAAATTCACAGGGCAATAGATAATAAACACTTCTACTAAAACAATTTCAGTTTTTTTCTTTCTTTTTTTTTGAGATGGAGTCTCGCTCTGTTGCCCAGGCTGGAGTGCAGTGGCGCGATCTCGGCTCACAGCAAGCTCCGCCTCCTGGGTTCACGCCATTTCCCTGCCTCAGCCTCCCGAGTAGCTGGGACTACAGGCGCCCGCCACCATGCCCGGCAATTTTTTTTTTGTATTTTTAGTAGAGACGGGGTTTCACCGTGTTAGCCAGGATGGTCTTGATCTCTTGACCTCGTGATCCGCCCGCCTTGGCCCCCGAAAGTGCTGGGATTACCACGCCCGGCCAGTTGTTTTTTTCACAACTGAATTAAGCCATGGATTTTTTCCAAGATTGCCTGTCAGTAGTTCAAAATGCTGTGTGTATTCAGTAAGCCTCTTGCTTCTTTGACCTGTTAGAGTCTGCTTGTTCTGAGTGCTCAGTATCAAACACTCTTCTGATGCTACAGGCCTCCTTATGAGGACATACTCATTTCGTTGTTATCAGTGAGTTGAAAACACAACTGACACTAAGGCCACATGATGTTTCTTGGTCAGCTTCTATTGCATTAAAGTTCCCATTTTATATTTTGGTTTCCTTTTTCTTCTGATCAAGATATAATTTAGGAACCATACAAGAAAGAGCCCATCTTTTTTCCATTACCTCAGAGAAGGTAAAATATATCTTTTCAAGTTTTAGATTTTTTTCAATCTTGATTTTCATATATTAAATGCATAATGACTCTCAAGTATGTTGCTAGAAAGCTTTATCTTCTAACAGCCCATTACATATTTAATGAGGCTCAGTCAGTTGCACATTTAACATGGTCTAGTAAGCATCCATTTTAAGGAAGGCGCACAGTTAGTTCCTACAGGCTCGATTGCTCCAGTTTATGGAATAGTTTTCAAGTTTCTGCATTGGTACTAGATTATCAAGGTCCCCAGAGCATCTGATATTAAAAGATGCCTTGGACACCCATCCACCAATCCCTTCGTTAAGAAAAGAAAAAAAAAATCCTACAATTGCATGTCAAGAACAATAATTATATTAGGAAAAACACACTGATACATGGTTTATATCATGCCCCAGAACCTTCTCTGAATAGAAGAAATTTGAATAATAACTGCTGCACACACACACACACACACACATATACTTAGACACACATTAAGGTACTCTTACAAGAGGAAAGGCTTTTCACTCAAAGATACATGAATGGGAAAGAAATATTTCTCTATTTCTCAAAAAGTCAATTAAATTTTATGTTTGATCAAATTGCCCAAGTATCTCTTAATACATATCTAAAGGCATAAAAGTGAGAAATGACACAACCCAAAACTCTTTTCTTAGTTTCTACTAATATAGTTTTTTCAAAAGATATTAAAATGATTTTTCAACCTACAGAGTAATAATTATTTCAAGCAAGTATCATCAATGTTTGCTAAAACTATAGAATGAAAATCTGAATAAGAACAGTATATTGTATTATCCCAAAGTCTCTTTCTACAGCTCACAAACCAATTACAAAAATTGAAACAGTGATTTTCCAGTAGAGAAACATGGCAGATGCCACCTTAACCAAGTATTCATAGTTAACATAGCTAATAATGGGACAAACAGCTGATCCTCCTGTTGTGATGCACGAATGATATACCATTCCTGCCTAAAATACGTAAAATGAACATACAGTTAAGGAAACATCAGACAAATTCACATCGAGGGACATTTTACAAAACAACTGGCCTGTAATCTTCATAAGGGTCAATGTCATGAAAGAAAAAGAAAGAAAGATGGAGGAATCATTTCGGGTCAAGAGAGACTAAAGAGACCTGACAAGTAAATGCAAAGCATGATCTTGGATTGACACAAAAAATTTCATAAAGGATGTTATCGGGATAATTGGTGAAAACTGAAAATCAGCTGTGTGTAGTATAATATTACATTAATGTTAAGTCTCCTGAGTTTGATAAAACTAGTGTATGAATACACAAATACATGTTTGCATATACATGCATATATATATATATATACAAATATATATGCATTAAAATAAAAAGTTGAAATGTAAAATATGAAAAAGTTAATTCAAGAAAAACATTGTACCTAAAAAAAAAAATAAAACAAAGCAAAGCAAAAGGGAACAAAAATTATTGAGACTACAATTGTTGTTATTCCTTCTGTCTGTGTCTTGGAAATAATGAAATAATTTAACCAAGTTATAAAGATGAGGAACAAAATTTGTGAGACTTGTTTTATTTACAGTCCTTTTGCTATGGCAAGCTCTCTGAAATACCTTTTTGTTTTTGTTTGAGTGTCATAAACTACTTCTTAATTGTTTTGGGTAGCTTATAAAATTTCATATAGAGTGCAGCTTAATTATGTTTTCTTGAAGCTTTTTTCTCTCTCTTGCTATATTCACCATTGAAGCAAACGTTTGTTGCTATAAAACAAGGAACCATTGGATTTTATACAGCCATGTCCCTGGTGCCTTTATGTAATCTACATTCACACTCTGCATATTTAGCATCGCTTGTAATGAGGCTTCCTGAACCATGGTAACCCTTGTAACTCAGTAAATAATGGAAATTAGATGGATCATTCTTTCTAGTGGCATGTTGTGAGGTAATCGGCTTTCATTACAGGCTTTCTTGCAGAGGTGATTGGGATTAGATGCTGTAAACACAGAGCAGAATATATTCGTTTTCCCAAAAAGCCAAGTTCAAGATTTGTATGAATCACTGTCGCTACTTTCCCACAGCCATTTTCAGCTTCTTCCTGAGCCTGTAAATGGACAACCTTGCTTAACATGTCTGCTTTCCATTTTCTTTTTCTTTTTTTTGAAACGGAGTTTCACTCTTGTTGCCCAGGCTGGAGTGCAATGGCATGATCTCAGCTCACTGCAACTTCTGCCTCTGGGTTCAAGCAATTCTCCTCCCTCAGCCTCCCGAGTAGCTGGGATTACAGGTGTGTGGCACCACACCCGGCTAATTTTGTATTTTTAGTAGAGATGGGGTTTCTCCATATTGGCCAGGCTGGTCTCGAACTCCCGACCTCAGGTGATCTGCCCGCCTCGGCCTCCCAAAGTGCTGGGATTACAGGCATGAGACACCGCGCCCTGCCTCCATTTTCAACATCTCTTTAAGGGATTCTGGTCCCTCTGTAGAAATCATCCGGAAGAAAATATTTCTTTCTTTCGTATATTAATTTTGCAATGAGTAGTCTCTATAACGGTAAGCCACATTTTCCTGCAGAAAAGGGACTGCTTCTCTTAGCTTACCTTGGAAGCTTAGAAGAGAAAAATATAAAGCTTTATTTTGTGTATGTGGTTGTGATGACCTACTGTCTTATGCAAAATCAATTAAATATATTCATTTATACTTTCAAAATTTTCAAAGTTACGAAATGGCAGGTTACAATGAAGGAGCTTACCCAGCACTTGTATAGAGCACAGCTGCCCCTTGATATCTGTGAACAACATGGGTTTGAACTTTATGGGTTTATTTTTTTATTTTATTTATTTATTTATTTTGAGATGGAGTTCCGCTCTTGTTGCCCAGGCTGGAGTGCAGTGGCGCGATCTCGGCTCACTGCAACCCCTGCCTCCCGGGTTCAAGCGATTCTCCTGCCTCAGCCTCCTGAGTAGCTGGGACTACCTGCTCCCGTCACCACACCTGGTTAATTTTTTTTGTATTTTTAGTATAGACAGGGTTTCACCATGTTGGCCAGGCTGGTCTTGAACTCCTGATCTCAGGTGATCCACCAGCCTTGGCTTCCCAAAGTGCTGGGATTACAGGTGTGAGCTACCATGTCCGGACATATAGGTCCGTGTATACACAGGTTTTCTTCTGCCTCTGCCACTCCCAAGACAGCAAGACCATCCCTCCTCGGGCTACTCAGCATGAAGATGATGAGGATGAAGATGACAATCCATTTGCACTTAATGAATAGTAAATATGTTTTCCTTATAATTTTCTTAATAGCATTTTATTTTCTCTAACTTACTTTATTGTAAAAATAGAACATATACTACATATAACATACAAAATATGTGATAATCAACTGTTTATGTTATCAGTAAGGCTTCCAGTCAACACTAAGCTATTAGTACGTAAGTTTTGGGGGAGTCAAAAGCTATACACAGATTTTCAACTGTCCGGGGATCGGTGACCTCTGTGTTGTTTGAGTCAACTGTATTTTCATAATATCAGTGACCTGGGATTGTCATCAGTTTCTGGTGCTTCTTCCTGCTATTAAGTCATCATTAAGTGAAACGTGCTTTTCAGTATCAGGGGATTTTGTTGTAAGGCACACTTTGTCCTACTGTGTCTCTTTTACTATTAAAGTTACTACAAGCATGTTTCTCTTTGACTGTATTTCTCTTTGAAGCATTTTGAATTGATAATTAAATAATGTAGTCCTCCCTTATCCATGGGGATAAGTTCCAAGACCCTCGAGTGGATACCTGAAACCACAGATACCGAACCCTATATATATTATGTTTTTCCTAAGTGAGCATATCTATGATAAAGTTTAATTTATAAATTAGAAACAGTAAGAGACTAACAACTTCTCTTTGACATATGTTTGGGTTTCTTTTGGTATATCCAAGTTGTCAGCATCACTACTCTTGCACTTTATTAATTAAAATAAGGGTTACTTGAACACAGCACTGCCATAGCAAGACAATCAATCTGATAACCAAGATGGCTATTGAGTGACTAATGGATGAATAGTGCATATCGTGTGAATCTGCTGGACAAAGGGATAATCTACCTCCCAGGCAGGACGGCATGAGATTTCTTCACTTTACTCAGAATGGTGCATAATTTAAAACTTACGAATTATTTATTTTTGGAATTTTGCATTTAATATTTTTGAACTGCAGTTGGGGAATTGAAATCACAGAAAGCAAAACTGCAGATAAGTGGGGGCTGCTATAGTGGTTTGCACTATTATATTTGGAAGAGGAAAGGTCTAAACATTTGGCTTTTGTTGCAAATGAAGAAATTTTTTTGGGTAGGAGTAATCACCTAAAAACCTTAATAAGTTGTGATCTTGCTCGAAAACCCAAGAAGTGTTTCTTTTTTTGTTTTTGTTTTGCATATGTAGCATTATTTGTGTTTGTTTGCCTGATTATAGATGAAAGTGCTTGATGAAATTCCCAATATTTATTCTATCTCTAGGATAATGTGAACATAGCAATTAAAGCTTATAAACAGTGGAGTTTCATGCCCAGATAATTATGGCAAGAATTTTTCAGGTGCACGCTTTCTAAAATTTATATGCTTAAGGAAGCACTTATGATTGAAAGCACGAGGACGATTCTTTTTCACTGCCCCATTCATAACCATTTTTTTCTCCCATTTTACATAGAAAGGCTTTCTGCTTATCTATTTAGGATCTTTATATGATTGATGATCTCACCATGTAGAAATTTCTCAGATTCAAAATAAAGGGACACTAGAAATATTACAGTGTTGAGAAGGTGAATACTCTAATGACTGTTAGGCAAATCCTTTTGAAAGCCAGGTGACTTCTAATTCTTTGCTATCAATATATAGAGATAGATTATTTAAAATAATTTGGATGATTGATCACTACAGGAGTTTGCAGTTAACTTGGAAACAATTCAAATAATGGATTGGCTGCATGCTCATGCCTATATCCCAACATTTTGGAGAGGCTGAGGCAGGCAGATTGCTTGAGCCCAGGAGTTTAAGACCAGCCGGTGCAATATGAGGAGACCTTATCTCTACAGATAATTTAAAAATTAGCCAGATGTGGTGGCACGTGCCTGTAGTCCCAGCTACTCAGGAGGCTGAGGTGGGAGGATTACCTGAGCTAGGGTGACAGAGCAGGACGCTGTCTCAAAAAACAAGAAAAAGAAAGAATAGATGGATATTTCAATACTAATATTACGTTCGCCCCAACTATTATTTATGTAAATGTTTCTCAGTACATATGTCCACGAAAAAAAATTTTTAAGGGAGAAAATAAATTCTCACATCTGTCTTATTCTAGCAATATGACATATCTACAATACGTAAACTAATTGGAAAGAAAAAAATCCCACAGTACCATCAATACCCTTAACAGATGCCATGGTAAACTATGTTATTGGCCTCGATTCTTTACTTTTTCCATTCTTTGCCTTGAAGCTTTGCAGTTCTCCTCACAAAAGTAGCAGATTATGTTTCTGAGTAGGAAAATCTCTTTTTATACTCTCATAACACTCTCAATACATCATTTCTGACACCAGATGTGTGGATTTTTTTCTACACAGACCAATTTTTGATACCAGCAGAGTGTTCTTTAATTTAATTAAATGTTGACACTGTCTACCTGGAGACAGCATTAGATCCACAGGTTAGGTCCCACTAGAAAGGCCCCTTGTCTGACGTCAATCGTTAAGTCCAGGTTGTCACTTCTGAGTAACCCACTGTAGAGATTCCCATTGTCCCTTCCTCGGGTTAGGTCATTTGCTAGAAGAGCTCACAGAACTCAAGAAAACAGTTTACTTGGTAGATTAGAATTTATTGTAGAAGGATGCAACTCTAGAATAGCCAGACGGAAGAGATGGATAGGGCAAAGTCAATGGGAAGGGGCACAGCTTCCACAGCCTCTCCAGGCTTGCCACCCTGTTGTACCTCAATGTGTTCACCAGCCTGAAAGCTCTCTAAACCGCATTCTTTTAGGTTTTTATGGAGGCTTCATTACATAGGTATAATTGATTAAGCCATCAGCCATTGATGATCAAGTGAATCTCTAGTCCTTTTTCCCTCCCTGGAGGAAGGTGTAGGAGGGTGAGGCTGAGATTTCTAGCCCTCTAATCACCTGGATGGTTCCCCTAGCAACCAGTCCCCACCCTTAGGGACTTTCCAAAAGTCACTTCATTAACATAAACTCAGGTGTGGTTGAAGGGGCTTGCTATGAATAACAAAAAATGGTCCTTTCACCTTTATCACTTGGAAAATTCCAAGGGTTTTAGAAGCCTGTGCCAGGAACTGGGATGAAGACTAAGTATATGCCTCTTATTATAAATTACCATATCACAATTTCCCAATCCCTCGCTTCTGGGTTTGACTTTGAGACTTGCTTTAGCTAATAGAATTGGCTGGAAGAGACAGTGTGCCAGTTCTGGGTATAGTCCTCAATAGACCTTACATGTTTCTGCTTTCTTTCTCCTGCATCTGCCAGAGCTGTGGCAAAGAAGTGACCAGGCTAGGCAGCTTGTGGAAAGAGAGGATGAGAGACAATGTGAAGTAGAGTTATCCCAGATGATCTGCCCCAGCCGAAACCAGCCAGAAGAGCGCTGACTCCCCTCTGCCCCACAGACACATAAATTAGAATAACTAGTAAACTGAATCTACTGAGTTTTGGATAGCAGCAATTGCTAACCCACATAGATATTTAATAGTTAACAATGTATTATTCTTGTAATTTTGATCACTTGCTTACTATTAATACTAAAAATAAGAAGAACATCCGTAAGACATATTTTAATACATGTCTTAGAGCATTATGGCCACAGACAACTAAAAAATTATTTTAGGTACCTATTTTTGTTGAAGAGAAGTATTAATGGGTGGTCACATTTGGGTAAAACAAAAATGTAATTCATTTGAATGAAAATGCAATAAGCATGTGAATACAAGAAATGAAAAAGAATGAAAAAAAAAGATGATTTTTTTTTTTTTTTTTGAGACAGAGTCTTGCTTTGTTGCCCAGGCTGGAGTGCAGTGGTGCGATCTCGGCTCACTGAAATTTCCATCTCCTGTGTTTTTTAAGTGATTCTCCTGGCTCAGCCTCCTGAGTAGCTTGGATTACAGGCGCTCACCACCATGCCCAGCTAATTTTTTTATTTTTAGTAGAGACGGGGTTTTGCCATGTTGGCCAGGCTGGTCTTGAACTCCTGACCTCAAGTGATCTGCCTGCCTCAGTCTCCCAAAGTGCTGGGATTACAAGCATAGGCCAACATGCCTGGCCTAGATGGTGTATTTTTAAGATCAGTAATGGTGGGTATCAATTCGCTATGGTGCTTAGGTTTCAATCAGAGATGCAAAACCATTAGGGAGGTCTCTATCTATCCATCTATCTATCTATCTATCAATTGATTAGTTGGTTAATCAATGTATCTATTTTTGTAAAAGAAAGGATTTGTTGCAAAGATTTGATTTTATGCCATTTTGGGATCTGGTTAAAAAGTCTCTGTAAGGTGGTAGCTTCTGCATCTGATGCTGAAACTTCAAGTCCACAAGGCAGACAGTCTGGAAGGGGAACTAAATGTAAAGTCAGAGTTAGAACAAGCTGGATCCCTTAAGCATGAGCTTAATCAAGAACAGACTGAGATCCACATTAGTTCTCACTGCCCCCAACCATAATGATGTGGAGATGCTGCAGGAGAGGCTGGTGCTCTTCATCAAAGAGCTATACACACATTCGTTCCAGGAATTAGAGAACCTGAAGGAAGATCCAGGGACAGGTAGAGCAGTTGCAGATCAGGCAGCTGATCCATGCCAACAAGGTGAGCAGGCAGAGAAGCAACAAAATATATGAGCTACAAAGTGGCCACCACTTCTATCCTGCAATTTCCCACAAGGTTCTCTTGTGTGGCCACCCTTACCAGAAGCATACGGTAAGGAGAATTCTAGAAAAAATAGTTTGGCCTAATCTCATGGACACATTAGAGTGATAATACTTTTAAAGAGTTTTTCACAGATCTATTTTAAAATGCTGATGGGGTTCACAACATGTTACCCCCAAAATATGGCACCTTGGCATTTGAGAAAATGGTGGAAGCCAGAAGGTCACTCTCCCCTTCCTCTTGCCCTTCTCTGAAGCAAGTCATAAAATCTAGAAAGGTCAATCTCTGACCTTTTTCCACCTTTCTACCCTGAAGCAGGTCATAGGACCTTCGTTCCAGAAGGGCCCTGCCCATGCCCAGAAGAAAGAACTTCCTTATCTCTGAAGGCACAGGGACACAGAGAAGAATCTGAGCAAACAAGTCTCACTAGGTTTTCCCCAGGTGTTAACCATTAGATTATACCTACTTTGTCTGATCATACTTCTCAACCTTCCACTTCATCATAGCTAGCATAAGAAACACACAGTTTTACCTGTTTTATTAAGCCTTCACTTCAGAAGGCCCTAGATCATAGAAAAGTATAAAATAAATGTATATGTAATCTGTCTTTGTTATAGGAGCCTTTTAATTAAAAAAAAAAACCCTCAGGAGTTAAAACATCTTGAAAGGGACTGATAGAAAATCTTAAATATACTTTAATACAAAATGGCATAATACATTGTCTGACATAGAGATTAAGAACTCAACTTCTAGATTTAGACAGCTACAGTTTAAATCTCATCTTTACTACTAGTTAGTCATAGGAATTTGGCAGTTTTCTGGGCTTCAGTTTCCTTACCCATAAAATTGTTACCTGACAAAAAGTGAGGACTACCTAACTGTAAATTATATTATTAAATAAATGAGGTGAACTCCGCGCAAGTGTGAACTAATTTCTTACCTTTTTAAATTCTAAGTGTCATTCTAAAACCCTGTATATCTCACATTCAAATTATAGTAGGCTCAATGTTTTCATTATTCTGTTTACTCAGTTAGAAGGAAATTGACATTTGCGTGCTATCAACTTGGAGTTCAGCAGCTTCCATATATGGATCTACCAAAAGTGTCCTTTTGAAAAAGTATCACAAAAGGATGTGACTTGGTATTGTTGAAGTCTTTTAAGAAGAGGGAGGTGATGACAGAGGTAAATACAATGAAGAAATTAGTGAGCTCCTTGGTGAGTGCTGAATGGGTAGAAAGATGCATACGTAGGGATGGGGAGCAAGTGTAGAGACGAGGTTAATAGATAAGTAAAGAGAAAAGGCTCAGATCTCAGGGCCACATTAAGTCAGAGCTGGTATATTCTTGTACAATCCATTTGTGAGATCTCCAATGATGTCATTGTAATTAATTTATAAAGGATTAACTAACCGTCTGCCCAGGGAGAACAGATGTATTATAGTTAATCCATATTTTAGATATCATTTGATGATCTTTAGTCACTGTTACCATTTTTAAAGTGTTTCCAAACAAAAGTCATTTGTACTTTCAAGAAATGACTCTTCCTACTGCTTACATTAAAAAATAAATGACATGCAAACTATATGTAAACTATAAATTCACAAAAATTCTGCTTGGAAATAATTAATTGAGTTCACCAGAAGCCTAATATGCAACAGACATCACCAGTCCCTGGTGTTACCACACTGACACTGCATTTCCTTCTTATTTTTATATCTGTCTTTTTATTTGTTTATTTTGTAACTTACACTTTCCTCCCACTCCTGATGTTAAACATGCAGCTTCGCCCAAGTGTGAACTTCAGAGAGTATTCCATCAGTTACTCTCCCTCTGTGGTCTGCACAATGCCCCAACAGACTGGTATGAATGTTGAAAGCCTTTTCCTTCTCCGGGCAGCAGCCTCAGGGGCTTCTTTTCTTTCCTGCTTTAGGGATGCTTTGTCAGCCTGTGAATGTTGCCTCTTTGGTTGGCTTTGTGGAGACAGCTTGTGCTCAGATGTGATTTAGTTGTAAGCTGATTGCTGCTCCATATGCGAAAAGAAAGAGAGAGTGACCAGTTCTGAGGCAGCCAGTCAGTGTGCCCCAGACCATTACGTCAGTATCGCATGATGGTGAACCGCGCAGTGCCAAACAATCTCTTCTTGGTGCCCTTTCTTTCTTTTTTCTTTTCTTTTTTTTTTTGGTCTTTCAAAGAAAGGTAAGAAAGCCTGGGAAAAGAGCAAGAGATACAAGATACACTTGCCTTTCCTTGAGAATTTCTAAATGCTATTTATTATCAAATACATTTTTCTTTTAAATTGAGATTCTGTAATGGAGGAGGGGAGTAAAGAAGGATAGAATCTTGAGGAAGAAATAATTTATAGTATATTGAAACTCGGGTGCGGTATATCAGTTTTATCTGTTTTGGTACTTTATTGATTTCCCCCTGCCCCCAACTTGCTCCTAGGTTTTTGTAGTGGTTATATTAATTTTTATCTAGAAATATGTATGTACATTAACAGAGCAGTGGCAGAAAATAATACTTCTTTCAGTTGGGAGGAAGGTTAATCAACATAATTAGAATGTTTCTTCTGTTATCTTAATGTTCTGGTTATTCTCCCTCAGACTTCATTGCTTAAAAGAGACTATATGCTTTAAAACCATAGTAGGCTAGTACCCATATGTCTCATCAATATCACATATTGTTCAGGGGAGGCTTATTTGAAAGTAATGTGGCACATTGGTTTTACCAGTGTTGTTTCTGAGGACTGTACCATGGAGATTCCATATGCCTTGCGGAAGCAGTTTTAGTTGGTGTTGATAACCCATTTTCACAATAGGTTTCATGGCAATCAACAGTGTTTTGACCCTCAGTTTGAACATCTGATCAAGAAGGTTTTTAAAATAAGAGCCTCATTCTACTGAGGTCCACTAACTTCTCTGTAACATGTGAACCAAACCCTAAAAGCATTTCTTGCTGCTTATCTACAATAGAATTGCAGATTATTTGTTTGATCACATGGGGCTAACAATGGTACCCCTCCTGATACTACTTTTTTTTCACAAATTAAAGGAAAGAGGAATTTGTGTTAAAAATAAAGGAAGGAGGAATTTGTGTTAAAAATAATAAAGTATGTTTTCTTATTCTTCTGGGAAGAGAGATAACTTTCTGAGAAAATTTATTCTAGTTATGAAGCAGAGGCACCGAATCACACACTTCAAATCTTTGTCACTTTTAACAAAGCTGATTGATTATGTGAGTTTATGCCTGTCACCTTTCCTTTGGTAAAGGAAGCCTTAGCTTTGTCTTTAATGTCTGAAATGTTAACAAGAATATCTTTATGTATTATTTAATAAATTTTTTATTTGATAAGTAAAGTAGCATTGTCACTGTAAAAAAATTAGAAAATGCAGAAAACATGAAGGAGAAAAATCATTCCATTATTCTATTACATAAAGGGAACCTCTCTTATTATTAAGTGATTGATAGGCTGACAGGTTATTTGCTAAAAGGAAAGCATCCAACTATCCAAGTTAGTTCTGGCACTTTTCTTTTTTAGTACTTGTTGCAGCTGAAATGATCTAATCCAGGGGTGTTCAATCTTTTGGCTTCTCTGGGCCACCTTGGAAAAAGAAGAATTGTCTTGGGCCACACATCAAATACAGTAACACTAATGATAGCTGATAAGCTTAAAAAAATTGCAGAAGAGATCTCATAATGTTTTAACAAAGTTTATGAATTTGTGTTCAGCCACATTCAAAGCCATCCTGGGCTGCATGCAGCCCATGGGCCATGGGTTGGACAAGCTTGATCTAGTCCTTTGTGAAATTTTTATTTTTATTTTTGGCTATCTCTCCACAACAAATATATAAGCTCCATGAGGACAGGTGTTGTTTTCTATGTTGTTCACTGTCGTGTCCCCAATACTATTAAGAACAATGTCTGACACTAGAAGCCATTCAGTATTTGTTAAATATTGCATTAATGAACAAGCATGAGTTACCTTTCAAGAGTCCTTGCCCAGTTGAACCTATCCTGTCTAAGCAATTTTTTCTCTTGATACTTAAATTAGCATTACAGAAAGAATCTTTCCCTAAGCTTTACATAATGTTGCAAAATCAGAAGCTAAGACTGTTGAACACTATGGGTTTGCACGGTTAGGGCAGGTTCCTTTATGTTTGTTATTAAATGATTGTTCTATTACTGGACTTCTTGGGTTGTTCAAGCTACTTTTCTTTGGTTTTCACTGAACGGAATGGCATGGATGGATGGCCATGCCTTCCTTCAATTCCTTCTGGCCTCACTGGCCTTTTGAACCTGCCAAACTCTTGTGCAGGACCTTCGCATGAGCTGTTCCCGTGCCTAGAAATCTCTTCTATGCTCTTCAGGGGACAGTTCTTTCAACTCTGTACTTGGCTGTCAGTTTCCCAGAGCAGACCCCTGACATTGTAGAGGTGTCTGTGTACACACACTTATCACTGTCTGATATGATATCACAATTGCTTAACTATTCATACATATGACATTTGTATCTATTACCTCTGTTCCCCCATCTTGCACTAGAATGTTTTCATGAGAGCATGAAATGTTTTTTGTTTACTGCAGTATCCTATAGACAGACTAAAGTAGCCAAAGCTTTATCCAAGAAACCTTACATTTACATGATATGTGCTAAGTACTAGGAATTTTAAGATGACTATGAGACTATCCCGGAGCCTCTGCTATGAACAGGCATTGTGAGCATTGCCAAGGATACAACCTTGAAGGAAGTGAGGTGAGGCAGGGTGATGCAGATAGATAATTAGAAAAATACAAATCTATCTAGGTGGTGCAGATAGATAATTAGAAAAATACAAATCGTTAAATAATTACAGTTTTGATAAGTGCTGCAAAGGAAGTCCCAGGTACTAGAATATAGCTGGGATCTGGCTTGCATGACTTTGTTACAGTAGGTGGCTAGTCAGGCATGAATGGGGCAAGAGAGGGCTCCCCCATCACCCCATCAGAAAAGTCGGGTGACCATCAGGTGATGGTCAGACAGTTGTCACACTGCCTCTAAAATAATAATTGGTCGCAGCCAGTGCCAGGGAAAGGCAGTTTCCCTATAGACAGGAAAAAACTGAAACTGGTGATCAGCAGCTTCCTGATGAGATCTTAGGAGCTGGGCAAGTGGGCTCACACATGTGCACTAAGAGGCAAAACGGTGGAATTTAACTGGTATATGACCTTCCGCGCCCATTCCACGGCAAAAGGGAAGAATGCCTCAGGTGAGCATGCGTACAACTCCAGTAAACACACCGTGCATGCTCCCCTCCCAAGCACTAGCAGGCCACTGTGTATGTGGACAACCCACACCAAGAGAAGAATCAGGGGAGAAGGAACGCAAGACCCAGAATCACGCCAACATATAAAACCCCAAGTCGGGCCGGGTGCAGTGGCTCACGCCTGTAATCCAGGCACTTTGGCAGGCCGAGGCGGATGGATCACGAGGTTAGGAGTTCAAGACCTGCCTGGCCAACATGATGAAACCTTGTCTCTACTAAAAATACAAAAATTAGCCAGGCGTGGTGGCGGGCACCTGTAATCTCAGTTACTCAGGAGGCTGAGACAGATAATTGCTTGAACCCGGGAGGCGGAGGTTGCAGTGAGCCCAGATCGCACCACTGCACTCAAGCCTGGGTGACAGAGCAAGACTCTGTCACCAAAACAAAAACAAAAAACAAACAAAACAAAAACAAAAAAACAAAACCCAAGTCAAAAGGTCAAACCCTGCACTTGTCCTTCAAAGTCGCTTGCTTGGGCCTCTTCCAAATGTACTTTTTTTTTCTTTTGTTCCTGCTCCAAAGCTTTTTTTTTTCTTTCCTTTTCTTTCTTCCTTTCTTTCTTTTTTCTTTTTCTTTTCTTTTCTTTTCTTTTTTTTTTTAAGACAGGGTCTCACTTTGTCACCCAGGCTGGAGTGTAATAGCGTGATCTTGGCTCACTGCACCATCCACCTCCCAGGCTCAAGCAATCCTCCCACCTCAGCCTCCTAAGTAGTTTTTTAAAAAATTTTTTTGTAGAGATGAGGTTTCACTATGTTGCCCAGGCTGAGCTCAGATGATCCACCTGCCTCAGCCTCCCAAAGTGCTGAGATTACAGGCATAAGCCACTGAGCCGTGCCCCTGCTCTCAAATTTTTAAGTCAACTTTCACTCATGCTCTAAAACTTGCCTCAATCTGTTCTTCTGCATTATGCCCCTCAGTCGAATTTTTTCTTCTTTGAAGACAATAATTGAGGTGGCTGCAGACCCGTATGGACTCACTGCTTGTAACTCAGATACTCACCACTGCTAACAGTTTGATTCATTCCAGGTACCCTATCTAATATTGCTCAGAACATTAGACAGAAAGACAGAGGAGTTTACTTAGTGCTCTTCAGATGCACGGTGTGGATGCTTTCTTTCTCCATTTCTCTAGCAGCCCTGTACATTTCCAACCAGAGACACCCACACATACCTATAGAGTTAGGACAAAGACACAAGGCTCCTAGGTTGGTTTTTACTTTAAGTAAAATTCTGTGAAACAGGGATGTGAATTAAATATTCTGAAATAAGTCAAATATTTGGATTAAGAATTGCCCTAAAATAGAAATCACCAACCCCATACCAGAGATGGATTTAATTAAAGTCACTTAAATACCTGATCCTGATAAAATCATTATGATTTTCGCTGGTTGCGGGCTTCATATGCAATGGTAAAATGCAATTTGGGGAGTATTTATTTTGAGATGCCATGTTAAGTCAATGCCCAAACTAATCTCCACAAGCCCTTTGATGACACTTTAATTCAAGCCAACAAAATGGTGTGTGAATTTTATTAGGGGCAATACAATATACAAATAAATTAGTTTAAACTATAATTTTTCTCTGTCATACAAATACTTTATTGACCAGAGAGCAACTCTTTACTGCCATCCCCTGATCTGTTGTGGAAATACTGCTTCTACTGGAGAAAACTAAATTATTCTATGATAGTACTAAGAAAAGAAAATTTAGTCTTTTAATCCCATGGATAAAGTTAAATGGCTTCTTTTCTAGGATGCAATATTGCCTGGATTTCAAATTGCTGTACATTAGCTTCTCCCCAAAAGTAATAAGAAACTATAGCATTTAGTTGATGCTATCTTAGAGCCCCGGGATCTCTTAAGTGGTGCTAACTTTTCTTCTCTTTCCGGAAATATTACTCATTCTCATTAAAAAAATAGATGTGGGAATAACTAAATTGAGTCAAGCTCACTCACTGATATAGCTTTACTTCACACAAAAGGGCCTTTCTATTGAACCTGTGGGTATTTAACTGAATTCCAGTAGCTCAAATACAATTTTATGAGAAATTCGTTGCCCCTTTCTTCCAGCCTGAATATGAAATTAAAATAGGCAGGAGAAGTTGAGAGGGTGTCCTGTTTAAGCAGGGTGGTTAGACCATTTACATTCAAGTTTAATATTGATACATGAGGTTTCGATCCTATCACGATATTGTTAGCTGTTTGCTTTGTAGTTTCTGCTGTGTTTTTGCTTTCTGGGGTCTGGGGGCTTTGTACTTCAGTGTGATTTCTGTTTGTTTTAGAATCATGGAATGTTAGAACCAGAAGTAAATGAGAGTCAACAAATCAGGTGCTAGCCCTTTGTGATAGTTAATACTGAGTGTCAACTTGATTGGATTGGAGAATACAAAATATTGATTCCAGGTGTGTCTGTGAGGGTGTTGCCCAAGGAGATTGACATTTGAGTCAGTGAGCTGGGAAAGGCAGGCCCACCCTTAATCTGGGTGGGCACAATCTAATCAGCTGTCAGCATGGCTAGAATATAAGCAGACAGAAAAATGTGAAAAGAGACTAGCTTAGCCTTCCCAGCGTGTATCTTTCTCCCCTGCTGGATGCTTCCTGTCCCCGAACATTGGACTCCAAATTCTTCAGTTTTGGAACTCTGACTGGCTCTCCTTCCTCCTCAGCTTGCAGACAGCCCATTGTGGGACCTTGTGAACGTGTGAGTTAATATTTAATAAACTCCCCTTTTTATATATATATATATATATATATATATATATATATATATATATATTCCATTAGTTCTGTCCCTCTAGAGAAACTAATACGCCCTTGCTGAAACCAAGGTCCAGAGAGTGAAGTGATGTTCAAGGTCACATAGCAAAACAGAGGTTGATTCTGCTACCCCTGATATCCTCTTCCACATAGGCTCTTCATGGTCTGAGTTTGGAAAACTCATCTTGTCTGTGTGCACCTGGGTTGTGATAGCTTCCCCAGCTTTCATCAAACCCTTAATTCTGTTGTGCTGCCCCCTGGTGACAAGGATTATCTACTACAGCTACAGAATTTGGCCCAAGCATGCTCCTCCCTCTGTATTCATTCAGTTGACAAATATTTATTGAGATCTACACTATGCCAGTCACCTTCTAGACACTGGAGCTTCAGTAGTAAAAAAGCAACGCACTATCTCTGTCAAACACATTAAATAACACACAAGGCTATGGAGATGATATATCAGAGAAGGGACAGGCATAGTGGCTGGAGAATTGCAAGTTTAAATCATGTGTTCCTAGGTTGACCTCTCTGGAAATAAGACGTTTGAGACAAGATTTGAAGGAAGTGAGGGCATAAGCCGTGCTGGGGCCAGGGGAAGCATGGCCTGGGCAGCAGAAATGTGAAGATGCCAAGGATCAAGAGGGCATCTGCTGGTTCTGAGGAACGGTAAAGAGGCCATTGTGCTCTGAGCTGAGTGAGATGCAGAGAATAGAGACAAGCACAGTGCCATGCAAAGGCAGAGAAGGGAAGGACCAGTGGGGCCTGCAGGCTGGAGCAAGAGTTTGGTTTTTCTCTGGATATGGGGACTGTTGGTGCCGTGACTCGGATCGGGGGACCTCCCTTGGGAGATCAATCCCCTGTCCTCCTGTTCTTTGCTCCGTGAGAAAGATCCACCTACGACCTCAGGTCCTCAGACCGACCAGCCCAAGGAACATCTCACCAATTTTAAATCGGGTAAGTGGCCTCTTCTTACTCTTCTCCAACCTCTCTCACTGTCCCTCAACCACTTTCTCCTTTCCACTCTTCAATCTCTCCCTTCTCTTAATTTCAATTCCTTTCATTTTCTGGGAGAGACAAAGGAGACACGTTTTATCAGTGGACCCAAAACTCTGGCACTGGTCACGGACTGGGAAGGCAGCCTTCCCTTGGTGTTTAATCATTGCAGGGACGCCTCTGATTATACACCCACGTTTCAAGGGTGTCAGACCACGCAGGGACGCCTGCCTTGGTCCTTCACCCTTAGCAGCAAGTCCCGCTTTTCTGGGGAAGGGGCAAGTACCTCAACCCCTTCTCTCCTTGTCTCTACCCCTTCTCTGCTTTTCCAGGGACAGGGCAAGTACCCCAACCCCTTCTCTCCTTGTCTCTACCCCTTCTCTGTTTTTCTGGGAGAGGGGCAAGTACCCCTCAACCCCTTCTCCTTCACTCTTAGCGGCAAGTCCCGCTTTTCTAGAGGAGGGGCAAGTACCCCAACCTCATACCTCTGTGCCCCAATCCCTTATTTCTGCACCCCAACCTCTTATCTGTGTGCCCCAATCCCTTATTTCTGTGCCCCAACCCCTTATTTCTGCACCCCATCCCTTATTTCCGTGCCCCGACCTCTTATCTCTGCGCCCCAACCCATTTTCCCACTTTTCTGGAAGGTAAGAACCCCCGAACCCCTTCTCTCCATTTCTCTACTCTCTCTTTATGGGCAACCTTCTACCCTCCATTCCTCCTCCTACTCCCTTGGCCTGTGTTCTCAAAAACTTAAAACCTCTTTAACACCTGACCTAAAACCTAAATGCCTTATTTTCTTCTGCAATGCCGCTTGACCCCAATACAAACTTGACAGTAGTTCCAAATAGCCAGAAAATGGCACTTTGAATTTTTCCATCCTGCAATATCTAAATAATTCTTGTCTTAAAATAGGCAAACAGTCTGAGGTGCCTGACGTCCAGGCATTCTTTTACACATCAGTCCCTTCCTAGTCTCTGTGCCCAGTGCAACTCGTCCCAAATCTTCCTTCTTTCCCTCCCACCTGTCCCCTCAGTTCCAACCCCAAGCGTCACTGAGTCTTTCTAATCTTCCTTTTCTACAGACCCATCTGACCTCTCCCTTCCTCCCCAGGCTGCTCCTCGCCAGGCCGAGCTAGGTCCCAATTCTTCCTCAGCCTCCGCTCCTCCACCCTATAATCCTTTATCACCTCCCCTCCTCACACCTGGTCCGGCTTAGTTTCGTTCCGTGACTAGCCCTCCCCCTCCCGCCCAGCAATTTACTCTTAAAAAGGTGGCTGGAGCTAAAGGCATAGTCAAGGTTAATGCTCCTTTTTCTTTATCCCAAATCAGATAGCGTTTAGGCTCTTTTTCATCAAATATAAAAATCCAGCCCAGTTCATGGCTCGTTTGGCAGCAACCCTGAGACACTTTACAGCCCTAGACCCTAAAAGGTCAAAAGGCTGTCTTATTCTCAAAATACATTTTATTACCCAATCTGCTCCTGACATTAAAACTCCAAAAATTAAATTCCAGCCCTCAAACCCCACAACAGGATTTAATTAACCTCGCCTTCAAGGTGTACAATAATAGAAAAAAGTTGCAATTCCTTGCCTCCACTGTGAGACAAACCCCAGCCACATCTCCAGCGCACAAGAACTTCCAAATGCCTGAACGGCAGTGGCCAGGCGTTCCTCCAGAACCTCCTCCCACAGGAGCTTGCTACACATGCCGGAAATCTGGCCACTGGGCCAAGGAATGCCCGCAGCCCGGGATTCCTCCTAAGCCGCGTCCCATCTGTGTGGGACCCCACTGAAAATTGGACTGTTCAACTCACCTGGCAGCCACTCCCACAGCCCATGGAACTCTGGCCCAAGGCTCTTTGACTGACTCCTTCCCAGATCTTCTCGGCTTAGCAGCTGAAGACTGACACTGCCCGATCTCCTCGGAAGCCCCCTAGACCATCACGGACACCGAGCTTCGGGTAACTCTCACAGTGGAAGGTAAGCCCGTCCCCTTCTTAATCAATACGGAGGCTACCCACTGCACATTACCTTTTTTTCAAGGGCCTGTTTCCCTTGCCTCCATAACTGTTGTGGGTATTGATGGCCAGGCTTCTAAACCTCTTAAAACTCCCCAACTCTGGTGCCAACTTAGACAATACTCTTTTAAGCACTCCTTTTTAGTTATCCCCACCTGCCCAGTTCCCTTATTAGGCTGAGACACTTTAATTATCTGCTTCCCTGACTATTCCTGGACTACAGCTATATCTCATTGCCGCCCTTCTTCCCAATCCAAAGCCTCCTTTGCATCCTCCTCTTGTATCCCCCCAACCTTAACCCACAAGTATAAGATACCTCTACTCCCTCTTAGGCAACCGATCATGCACCCCTTACCATCTCATTAAAACCTAATCACCTTTACCCTACTCAACGCCAATATTCCATCCCGCAGCACACTTTAAAAAGATTAAAGCCTGTTATCACTCGCCTGCTACAGCATGGCCTTTTAAAGCCTATAAACTCTCCTTACAATTCCCCCATTTTACCTGTCCTAAAACCAGACAAGCCTTACAAGTTAGTTCAGGATCTGCACCTTATCAACCAAATTGTTTTGCCTATCCACCCGGTGGTGCCAAACCCATACACTCTCCTATCCTCAATACCTGCCTCTACAACCCATTATTCTGTTCTAGATCTCAAACATGCTTTCTTTACTATTCCTTTGCACCCTCAATCCCAGCCTCTCTTCGCTTTCACTTGGACTGACCCTGACACCCATTAAGCTCAGCAAATTACCTAGGCTGTACTGCCGCAAAGCTTCACAGACAGCCCCCATTACTTCAATCAAGCCCAAATTTCTTCCTCATCTGTTACCTATCTCGGCATAATTCTCATAAAAACACACGTGCTCTTCCTGCC
This sequence comes from Homo sapiens, assembly GCF_000001405.40. Lineage (NCBI taxonomy): Eukaryota > Metazoa > Chordata > Mammalia > Primates > Hominidae > Homo > Homo sapiens. Next base: position 122,843,296 of record NC_000006.12, read on the forward strand.
AATCGTGTCCGACTGATCTCTCAAACCCCAGCACCTTCTACAAAACAACAACTTCTTTCCTTCCTAGGCATGGTTAGCACGGTCAGAATTCTTACACAAGAGCCAGGACCACACCCTGTAGCCTTTCTGTCCAAACAACTTGACCTTACTGTTTTAGCCTAGCCCTCACGTCTGCATGCAGCAGCTGCCGCTGCTTTAATACTTTTAGAGGCCCTCAAAATCACAAACTATGCTCAACTCACTCTCTACAGTTCTCATAACTTCCAAAATCTATTTTCTTCCTCATACCTGACGCATATACTTTCTGCTCCCCGGCTCCTTCAGCTGTAGTCACTCTTTAAGTCCCACAATTACCATTGTTCCTGGCCTGGACTTCAATCTGGCCTCCCATGTTATTCCTGATACCACACCTGACCCCCATGACTGTATCTCTCTGATCCACCTGATATTCACCCCATTTCCCCATATTTCCTTCTTTCCTGTTCCTCACCCTGATCACGCTTGATTTATTGATGGCGGTTCCACCAGGCCTAATCGCCACACACCAGCAAAGGCAGGTTATGCTATAGTACAAGCCACTAGCCCGCCTCTTAGAACCTCTCATTTCCTTTCCATCGTGGAAATCTATCCTCAAGGAAATAACTTCTCAGTGTTCCATCTGCTATTCTACTGCTCCTCAGGGATTATTCAGGTCCCCTCCCTTCCCTACACATCAAGCTCGAGGATTTGCCCCACCCAGGACTGGCAAATTAGCTTTACTCAACATGCCCTGAGTCGGATAACTAAAATACCTCTTAGTCTAGGTAGATACTTTCACTGGATAGGTAGAGGCCTTTCCTACAGGGTCTGAGAAGGCCACCGCAGTCATTTCTTCCGTTCTGTCAGACATAATTCCTCAGTTTAGCCTTCCCACCTCAATACAGTCTGATAACAGATGAGCCTTTATTAGTCAAATCAGCCAAGCAGTTTTTCAGGCTCTTAGTATTCAGTGAAACCTTTATATCCCTTACGGTCCTCCGTCTTCAAGAAAAGTAGAATGGACTAAAGGTCTTTTAAAAACACACCTCACCAAGCTCAGCCACCGAAAAGGACTGGACAATACTTTTACCACTTTCCCTTCTCAGAATTCAGGCCTGTCCTCGGAATGCTACAGGGTACAGCCCATTTAAGCTCCTGTATAGACGCTCCTTTTTATTAGGCCCCAGTCTCATTCCAGACACCAGACCAACTTAGACTGTGCCCCCCAAAAAACTTGTCATCCCTACTATCTTCTGTCTAGTCATACTCCTATTCACCGTTCTCAACTACTCATACATGCCCTGCTCTTGTTTACACTGCCGGTTTACACTGTTTTTCCAAGCCATCACAGCTGATATCTCCTGGTGCTATCCCCAAACTGCCACTCCTAACTCTTGAAGTAAATAAATAATCTTTGCTGGCAGGACTATGCTGAATCTCCTTAGGCACTCTCTAATCAGATATCCTGAGTCGTCCCAATTCTTAGAACTTTTATACCTGTTTTTCTCCTTCTGTTATTCCATTTAGTTTCTCAATTCATCCAAAACCGTGTCCAGGCCATCACCAATCATTCTATACGACAAACTTTTCTTCTAACATCCCCACAATATCACCCCTTACCACAAGACCTCCCTTCAGCTTAATCTCTCCCACTCTAGGTTCCCACGCCGCCCCAATCCCGCTTGAAGCAGCCCTGAGAAACATCGCCCATTCTCTCTCCGTACCACCCCCCAAAAATTTTCGCTGCCCCAACACTTCAACACTATTTTGTTTTATTTTTCTTATTAATATAAGAGGGCAGGAATGTCAGGCCTCTGAGCCCAAGCCAAGCCATCGCATCCCCTGTGACTTGCACGTATAAGCCCAGATGGCCTGAAGTAACTGAAGAATCACAAAAGAAGTGAATATGCCCTGCCCCACCTTAACTGATGACATTCCACCACAAAAGAAGTGTAAATGGCCGGTCCTTGCCTTAAGTGATGACATTACCTTGTGAAAGTCCTTTTCCTGGCTCATCCTGGCTCAAAAACACCCCCACTGAGCACCTTGCGACCCCCACTCCTGCCCGCCAGAGAACAAACCCCCTTTGACTGTAATTTTCCTTTACCTGCCCAAATCCTATAAAACGGCCCCACTCTTATCTCCCTTTGCTGACTCTCTTTTCGGACTCAGCCCGCCTGCACCCAGGTGAAATAAACAGCCATGTTGCTCACACAAAGCCTGTTTGGTGGTCTCTTCATACGGACGCGCATGAAAGGGACCACTGGCCTTTCGTGAGTAGAGGTATGACATGAACCTTCGGAAGCCTTTGGAGTCAGTCCTCTGACTGCTGCATTGCGAATACACAGGAGTGGGGGCCACAGTGGAAGTAGAGAGGCCTAGCATGAGGCCATTGCAATAACAGAGACAAAACGATGGCAGTGAGTAGTGGGGAGACAGCTGTGAGGCAAGACCCTGTACATGTCCTGAAGTTAGAGCCATTAGCCTTTGCTGATGATGTGATGTAGGAGGTGTGGGAAAGAGACACATCAATGTTGACCCCCAAATGTTCTACCTGAACATGAAAGAATGGAGTGGCCATTAAATGTGATAAGAAAAGGCTGAGTGAGAAGCAGATTCTCAGAAGAAGATGAGGAGCTCAGTTTAGAACGTGTCAATGTTTCTATTTATTTACATATTGATTACTTACAGTGCTCTTCCTTCCCTCATGTAGATCCAAATTAGCATCTGGTATAATTTTCCTTCTATCAGAAGAACTTCCTTTAACATTTCTTTTAGTCCACATCTGCTGGTGACTAATCCCCTCAGCATTTTCTGAAAACATCTTCATTTTACTTTCAATTTTGAAAGATATTTTCACTGGATATGGAATTCTGGGTCAGCAGTTCCTGCCTCCCCCCACCTCCTACCCCTACCCCAATCAATAACTTTGGTTGCTTCAATGTCTTCTGACTTTTATAGTTTCTGACAAGAATTCTTTTGTCATACTGATCTTTGTCCTTTGAATTTAATATACTTTTCTTTCCTGGTTGAGCTGAAACTGTTTGCTTCGTCATGTGTTTTCAGCAATTTGATTATGGTATGCCTTGGTGTGGTGCCCTGTATGTAAGTCCTAATAAACTCATCTAGTTGTCAAGCTGGACTTGTCTGAGTCATTCTCTGGTCTCTCAGCACCTTCCTTGTTTGTGGGGGGAGAATGTTATAGTCCTAAGTTTTTCTCATAACGGTAGTTTCACTTGATATGCTGGAGGGTATTGCCAATAGGCAAAGGAAATCTTTTTTCTCTCCTTTCCATTTTATAGGGCTTATCACTGGAACCCAGTATTTTCTTTCTTTTAAAATTATATGCATACATATACATAAATTATGCACATACATGTGTGTGTGTGTGTGTGTGTGTATATATATGTGTATATATATATATATATATGTAGTCTGTGACAAAGCTTCAGGAGGTCCTGAGAACATGTGCCCCTGGTGTGGTTTTCTTTGTGTTTCTTCTGTTTGGGGTTCTTAGAGGTTCTGGGATATGTGGGTTTATGTTTTCATCAAATTAAGAACATTTTTTATCATTTTTTTTAAGGGTTTTTTTTCTGTCAATTCTCTTTACTGAGTCTTCAACTACATGCTGTTAGATTGCTTGATAGTGTCAAACAGTATCATTGATAAGGTCATGATGCTTTGTTCATTTTTTAAAAAGTCTTTTTTTCTCTGCGCTTTATCTAGGACATTTTCTATTGCTTTAAGTTTACTTTAATATTTTTAAGTTCACTGATCTTCAATTTTGTAGGGTTTAATCTGTTGTTAATCTTTTCCATTATATTTTTAATTTCTGATATTGTATTTTTATCAGTGCAAACTATGTGTAATTCTTTTTATAATATTTCTACCACTTCTTCCCTCATAATGTTAATATTTTCTTCCACTTCCCTGATTGTATGGAGTATAATTATAGTAGAATTTGAAATTTTCTGTCTGCTAATTTCATCATCTCTGTAAATCTGGTTCTGTTGCTATTGAGTGACTTTCCTTTTGGTTATGGGTCATATATCCTCCTTCTTTGATGTCTGTTATTATTATTGTTTTTAAAATTATTATTTTTTTTGAGACAGAGTCTCACCCAGGCTGTCACCCAGGCTGGAGTGCAATGGCATGATCTTGGCTCACTGCAACCTCTGCCTCCCAGGTTCAATCCATTCTCCTGTCTCAGCCTCCCAAGTAGCTGGGACTACAGGCATGTACCACCACACCTGGCTAATTTTTGTATTTTTAGTAGAAATGGGGTTTCACCATGTTGGCCAGGCTGGTCTTGAACTCCTGACCTCAAGTGATACGACCGCCTTGGCCTCCCAAAGTGCTGGGATTACAGGCATGAGCCACTGCATCTGGCTTGATGTCTGTTATTTTTTATTTGAAGACAGACATTATACATTTTGTGTTGTCAGGGGCTATATTTTGTATTCTTTTTTTTTTTTTTTAAATTTATTTTTTTATTGATAATTCTTGGGTGTTTCTCACAGAGGGGGATTTGGCAGGGTCATGGGACAATAGTGGAGGGAAGGTCAGCAGATAAACAAGTGAACAAAGGTCTCTGGTTTTCCTAGGCAGAGGACCCTGCGGCCTTCCGCAGTGTTTGTGTCCCTGATTACTTGAGATTAGGGATTGGTGATGATTCTTAACGAGCATGCTGCCTTCAAGCATCTGTTTAACAAAGCACATCTTGCACCGCCCTTAATCCATTTAACCCTGAGTGGACACAGCACATGTTTCAGAGAGCACAGGGTTGGGGGTAAGGTCACAGATCAACAGGATCCCAAGGCAGAGGAATTTTTCTTAGTGCAGAACAAAATGAAAAGTCTCCCATGTCTACTTCTTTCTACACAGACACGGCAACCATCCGATTTCTCAATCTTTTCCCCACCTTTCCTGCCTTTCTATTCCACAAAGCCGCCATTGTCATCCTGGCCCGTTCTCAATGAGCTGTTGGGCACACCTCCCAGACGGGGTGGTGGCCGGGCAGAGGGGCTCCTCACTTCCCAGTAGGGGCGGCCGGGCAGAGGCGCCCCTCACCTCCCGGACGGGGCGGCTGGCCGGGCGGGGGGGCTGACCCCCCCCACCTCCCTCCCGGACGGGGCGGCTGGCCGGGCAGAGGGGCTCCTCACTTCCCAGTAGGGGCGGCTGGGCAGAGGCGCCCCTCACCTCCCGGACGGGGCGGCTGGCCGGGCAGGGGGGCTGACCCCCCCCACCTCCCTCCGGGACGGGGCGGCTGGCCGGGCAGAGGGGCTCCTCACTTCCCAGTAGGGGCGGCCGGGCAGAGGCGCCCCTCACCTCCCGGACGGGGCGGCTGGCCGGGCGGAGGGCTGACCCCCCCACCTCCCTCCCGGACAGGGCGGCCGGCCGGGCGGGGGGCTGACCCCCCCCACCTCCCTCCCGGACGGGGCGGCTGGCCGGGCAGAGGGGCTCCTCACTTCCCAGTAGGGGCGGCCGGGCAGCGGCGCCCCTCACCTCCCAGACGGGGCGGCTGGCCGGGCGGAGGGCTGACCCCCCCCCACCTCCCTCCCGGACAGGGCGGCTGGCCAGGCGGGGGGCTGACCCCCCCCACCTCCCTCCCGGACAGGGCGGCCGGCCGGGCGGGGGGCTGACCCCCCCCACCTCCCTCCCGGACGGGGCGGCTGGCCGGGCAGAGGGGCTCCTCACTTCCCAGTAGGGGCGGCCGGGCAGAGGCGCCCCTCACCTCCCGGACGGGGCGGCTGGCCGGGCGGAGGGCTGACCCCCCCACCTCCCTTCCTGACGGGGCGGCTGGCCAGGCGGGGGGCTTACCCCCCCACCTCCCTCCCGGACGGGGCGGCTGGCCGGGTGGGGGGGCTGACCCCCCCATCTCCCTCCCGGACGGGGTGGCTGGCCGGGCTGAGGGGCTCCTCACTTCCCAGTAGGGGCGGCCGGGCAGAGGCACCCCTCACCTCCCGGACGGGGCGGCTGGCCGGGCGGGGGGCTGACCCCCCCACCTCCCTCCCGGATGGCACGGCTGGCCGGTCGGGGGGGCTGACCCCCCACCTCCCTCCCAGATGGGGCGGCTGGCCGGGCGGGGGGTTGACCCCCTCCCACCTCCCTCCCGGACGGGGTGGCTGCTGGGCGGAGATGCTCCTCACTTCCCAGATGGGGTGGCTGCCGGGCGGAGAGGCTCCTCACTTCTCAGACGGGGCAGCTGCCGGGCGGAGGGGCTCCTCACTTCTCAGACGGGGTGGTTGCCAGGCAGAGGGTCTCCTCACTTCTCAGACGGGGCGGCCGGGCAGAGACGCTCCTCACCTCCCAGACGGGGTCTCAGCCGGGCAGAGGCACTCCTCACATCCCAGATGGGGCGGCGGGGCAGAGGCGCTCCCCACATCTCAGACGATGGGCGGCCGGGCAGAGACGCTCCTCACTTCCTAGATGTGATGGCGGCTGGGAAGAGGCGCTCCTCACTTCCTAGATGGGATGGCGGCCGGGCGGAGACGCTCCTCACTTTCCAGACTGGGCAGCCAGGCAGAGGGGCTCCTCACATCCCAGACGATGGGCGGCCAGGCAGAGAGGCTCCTCACTTCCCAGACGGGGTGGCGGCCGGGCAGAGGCTGCAATCTCGGCACTTTGGGAGGCCAAGGCAGGCGGCTGGGAGGTGTAGGTTGTAGTGAGCCGAGATCACGCCACTGCACTCCAGCCTGGGCACCATTGAGCACTGAGTGAACGAGACTCCGTCTGCAATCCCGGCACCTCGGGAGGCTGAGGTTGGCGGGATCACTCGCGGTTAGGGGCTGGAGACCGGCCCGGCCAACACAGCGAAACCCCGTCTCCACCAAAACCAGTCAGGCGTGGCGGCGCCATTGCAGGCACTGGGCAGGCTGAGGCAGGAGAATCAGGCAGGGAGGTTGCAGTGAGCCGAGATGGCAGCAGTACAGTCCAGCTTCGGCTCCGCATGAGAGGGAGACCGTGGGGAGAGGGAGACAGAGGGAGAGGGAGAGCCGGAAAAGTTTCTTGTATAGCCCCGGCTCTTAGAGCCAGGCTGGCAACCTTTGATATGTAAATGCAAGCCATTAGAAACTAGGTCCACCCAAACATGGTGATTCCCCTGCCTTCTTGCCCTTTCCCCACCTATTTTGTATTCTTTTAAATAGTGCTGAACATTGTTCTGGCATGCAGTTAGTTAAGTTGCTTGGATTCAGTTTGATCCTTCTGAGGCCTGCCTTAAGCTTTTTTAGGGTGAATCCAGGGTACCTTTTGGTTCAAATTTAACTTATGCCCAATACTAAGCGGACACTCTTCTGAGGATTTTACCCAATGCTCTATGTATTTCAAGGTCTTTCTCCTTTGGTTGGTGGAAACATTGAGTATTTTCCACCCTGTGTGAGTGTTTAGAATTTTTCTGTCTGCTGTTTTTTAAAGGGGTTTTCTCCAGTCTCAGATAGTTTTCTGTCGCGTATGCTCACATCAGTACTCAGACAATGACTGAGGTGCTCCTCTGCAGTTCTTGAATCCTCTCTGTGTAGCTCCCTCCTCTCTGCCTCACAGATTCTAGCTGTTTTGGCCTTTCTCAACTCAGATCTCTTCTTCTCTACTCTGTGAGATACCTTGGCTCTGGGTTTCTTCTGTCTCCTCTACAGCCTGGAAACTGTCCAAACAGTAAGCTGATAGTAAGGATAGAGCTCATCTTGCTCATTTTTTTTCTTCTCTTGGGGAATCACTGTGCACACTACCAATGTCCAATGGCTGAAAATTATTGTTTCATATATGTTGTCTGATTCGGTAGATGTAAAAGCCTAGGATGCTGCTGGTGGTGGTTAAATCCAATTTCTGTTATTCCAAACTGGTAGAAAGCAGAAACTCTTAGGGCATTTTAATTTGGGGATATGTCTGTTGAACATGCAAGTAGTGTTGTCATGTAGGCATTTAGATATATGTGTTTGGAGATCCGGAAAGAGTTCCAGATTAGAGATACACATTTGTTATATACATTTAATCACATATTGCCTTGGAAAATTTCTTTCCAATGGCCCCATCCCTCTTATCAGAACTAAACTGTTACACATTCTATCTTATCAGGTGTCACTAAGGAGATAGGCTAAATAAAATAAGGTAATAGTGTCATTGAGTCACTCTTTCCAGGTACATGTTTATCCGTTAATAGGGCCTACCCAAGTCAATATTCTTGCCAACCAAACACAAATAAATTTTACCTGAATTGCCAATTCTTTTCCATTAATAGTGGCTCCCTGAAGTGCTATGTACAGAAGAAATCTGAGGCCATGTCCAGGCAAAGAGTGCCATGGCTGATTACTTATTTCTGTTGTGGAAGCGGGAAGGAGAATAGGGATAACTGTACCATGTGTTATGCTGCCTGTTTTGACATAGAACAATAAATGGATATATTTGGGGCAAGTGATATACAAACAACACAATATAGACTATCAACTATTTTGCTTTTATTGAGAAAGATATTACTAGTTATTTCTGTAGAATAACTCATAAGCATATATTCCCAGCCCCAAATTAGTTAATAACACAAATTCATGTTGGATTTTTTTCTAGCACAATGTGGTTGGAAAATAGAACCTCTCCTTATGCAACTCATAGGTGGTTGTAGTGTGACAGGTCCCTCACCAGGATACCTAAGGGCATATGTCTGCCACCTGAACCCTGAAGGCTGGGTGGTGAGCCAAGGCCATAGTGCCCAACCCAGGTGTCCCTGAGAAACCAAACATCCTGGAGAATATCTGAGAACATACCAAGAAAAACAGTCTCATTGTTCAAACACAGTCAGCAAAGAGCCAAAAAATTAGCTTAATAGCATGCCGCCATCCAGGAATGCCCTGTATGTAAGTCAAAATAAATCACCTACTCATCAATCTGGACTTGTCTGAACCATTCTTTGGTCTCTTGGCACCTTCCTAGTTTGAAAGGGGGGAACGTTACAGCCCCAAGTTTTTCTCTTAACAGTGGCTTCATTCAATATATTGGAGGGTGTTGGCAACAGGCAAAGGAAATCTCTTCTCTCTCTTTTTCATGTCATAGGGCTTATCACTGGAGCCCAGCTGTCTTTCCTATATAAGGGGAAATCTAGAAGAAAAAAAAAATCGTATTTTTTAAACTAGAAGTTAAGAAAAGCTCTACTTGGAACATCAGAGCTAAACCTTCTTTAGATTATATTGAATTGTATTTTCAAGTTTATTTGAATGATATTTGGAATATAGTAGGCTTTCAATAAACAATTTGTGAATGCATTAAGTGACTTTTCTATTTTCAACCTTGAATGGATATTGTATTAGTCCATTCTTACACTGCTATAAAGAAATACCTGAGACGGGGTAATTTATAAAGAAAAGAGGTTTAATTGACTCACACTTCCACAGGCTGTACAGGAAGCATGACTGAGGCAGGGGGACCCAGGAAATGTACAATCATGGCAGAAGATGAAGAGAAAGGAGGAACGTTTTACATGGCCAGAGAAGGAGGAAGAGAGCGAAACGGGAGGTGCTACACAGTTTTAAACAACCAGATCTCTTGAGAACTCACTCACTATCATGAGAAAAGCAAGGGGGTAATCTGCCCCCATGATACAGTTACCTCCCACCAGTTTCCTTCTCCAACACTGGGGTTATAATTCGACATGAGATTTGGGTGAGGACACAAATCCAAACCATATCAAATACCTAGGCTTATTGCTGAGACCTTTCCTTGTAGCCAAATGTTGACACTCTGGGATCACAAAACACCTCAGGCAAGTCTTGAAAGACCTCAGCCACATAAAAGATACTAATTGTGGCTGATCAATACCTTCAAAAGTGTGAATTTAATCCAGATAACAGGGTCATGATACTTAATTTTATGTGTCAACCTGACTGGGTTAAGGAATGCCCAGATAGCTGGTAAAACATTGTTTTTACGTTTTTATAGGGGTGTTTGTGGGGGTGTTTCTGGAAGACATTAGTATTTGAATCAGTGAATTGAGTAAAGAAGATCCTCTCTACTAATGTGGGCAGGCATCATTCAATCCATTGAATGCCAAGACAATAAAAAAGTGGAGGAAGGGCAAATTCTCTCTCTCTTTCCCATTGAATTGGCACACCCATCTTTGCCTGCTCTTGGATGGCAGAGTTCTTGGACTCTGGGACTTACACCACCACCCTCATCTCTGCTTCCCTGGTTTTCAGACTGGGAGTTTTGCCACTCAGTTTCCTGGTGTTATTAGTCAGCCTTCTCCCAACGGACAGAATCAATAGGATATATGTATATATAAAAGGAAGTTTATTACAGAGATTTGGCTCACACATTTACGTGGTGAAGTCCCATATTAGGCTGTCTGCAGGCTGGGGAAAGAGAGAAGCCGGTAGAGGCTCAGTCTAAGTCTGAAAGCCTCAAAACTAAGGAAGCTGACAATGCAGCCTTCAGTCTGTGGCCCAAAAGTCTGTGGCCCAAAAGTCCCCAGGAAGCTGCGGGTGCAAGTCTTAGAGTTCAAAGACCAAAGAACCCGGAGCCTGATCTCAAAGGACAGGGGAAGTGAAAGCACGCATCTGGCACAGGAAGAACAGAGAGCCAGGAGACTTGGTAGGCAAACCTATCCCACCTTCTTCCACCTGCTTTGTTCTAGCAGTGCTGGCAGCCAATTGGATGGTGCCCACCCATACTGAAAGCAGGTCTTCCTTTCCCAGACCACTGACTCAAATGTCAGTCTCCTCTGACAACACCCTCACAGACACACCCAGGAATAATACTTTACCAGCCATCTAGGCATTCCTCAATCCAATCAAGTGACACCTAATATTAACCATCATGCCGGGGTCTCCAGTTGCAGATGTCAGACTGTGGGACTTCTGGACCTTCATAATTGCTGAGTCAATTCCCATAACATATCTCCTCTAATATAGAATTTATATGCATCCTATTGGTTCTGTCTTTCTGGAGATCCCTGACTAATACAAGGGCCCAACGTGAGGTGCAGTTTCCATCTTTCCACACCAGTTACCCATCATGATTTCTCTTCAGTTGACTCAAGCAGAGTTAGTTGCACCTGGGAAGTTTGTTTGCACTTCTCATTTAATTCAGTTTGACAAGCATTTAACAAGACCTTACTCTGTAGCAAGGTTTCTCAACCTTGCCACTCTTGACATTTTGCCTTGACATTTTGTTGTCTAATTCTATGCTGTGCTGTGCTGTCCTGCACATTGTAGGATGTTTAGCAATATTCCTGGCATTCACTCACTAGATGCCAGGGGTACGCTCAACCCCCCTTAGTCTTGATAATGTCTCCAGACATCAACAGATGTCCCAAGAGTAAAACTACTGTTACTTGAGAAGCACTGCCCTAAACTCTCACCTTTGTAAATAAACCTTCCTTGAATTATCGTATTTTAAGTATGACATCTGTATCCTGTTGGAATTAGTGACTGATACAGAGTGTATGCAAAGCTAAATGAATTTGAAGTTCATTTTGAAGTGCACAAGGAGAAATAACATGGTTGGTCTTAGACTATTTGGTTATCTTATACAGTAATTAAAAGTAAATAACTTTGGCTAGTGGAAAGAGTGAAGTGTTTGATCTAGAATTGGTAGAATGCCTAGACAGGTGATGATGAGGGCCTAAGTCAAGGCTTCCCTACTGAATGAATGGAGAATAGCTGTACAGGAACATGGACCCCCTCACCCCTCAGGATGGTTGAAGGATTCTGAGTCTTGTTTCCAGTAACTTATACAATCAGATTTTTGTCCAGGCACAGTGGCTCACACCTGTAACCCCAGCACTTCGGGGGGCTGAGGCAGGTGGATCACCTGAGGTCAGGAATTTGAGAGCAGCCTGACCAACATGGCAAAACCCCATCTCTACTAAAATACAAAAAATAGCCAGGTGCGGTGGCAGGTGCCTGTAATCCCAGCTACTCAGGAGGCTGATGCAGGAAAATAGCTTGAACCCAGGAGGCGGAGGTTGCAGTGAGCCGAGATCATGCCACTGCACTCCAGCCTGGGCAACACAGTGAGACTCTGTCTCGGAAAAAAAAAAAATAAAAAGAAAGAAAGAAAAAAGATCTTTTACCCCTATGGCCTGTACTTATAGAATATAATTATTTTCTAATGTGAAAATAATTTCACTTTTATGTGGAAAGTGTGAAAACCCTTGCCTAAACTAATTCATGGGCAATGAGGACAGTAAAGAGGAATTATATTTCCAAGATGCTGATAAGGCAAACTTGATTAGACTTGGTGATTGATTAATATGGGGGTGAGAGATAGTGAGGAGTCAAGGATGACCCAAGTATTTGCTTAGGTGCCTAAATAGGTAGCGGTGGTTTTGCCAACTAAGATTGGGAACACAGAAGGAAGAGAAGAGCATGTTTTGGAGCAGTGGTTGTCAAAGTGTGGTTCCTGGACTAGCATCATCGGCATCACCTGGGGACTTGTTGGACATGCAATTCTCAGACTGCACCCTCGTCTACTCTGGGGGTGGGGCCCAGTGATCTAAGAACCTGTCCAGGTAATTCTGATCTATGTTGGAATTTGAGAGCTTCTGTTTGGATGTAAGGTAATACTTTCCACCTGAGGCTTGTTGAATGTTCCAGCAGGACATTCAGCGAAGTTTGTGGTCTCGAACTTCCTTGGCTTCCTTGTGCTTAGTCTTATGGGTTTTTGTTGTTGTTATTGTTTTGTTTGCTTGTTTTTTTTTTTAGTGAAGGAAGAGCTGTCAAGCTCCTTTTTACCCCCTTGTTCCTTGAGGCCAAACAGAATCACAGAGAACATTTCTTTTAGAAAAATGATACACACAAAACTTGGATAAACGATGGTTATGGTGTTGATATTTCAGTCTGAAGTCTACTTTTTTTCAGAGGAGGAGCAAACCTGCTGCCTCTTCTTCCTCCCACCCATTTGTTTTCTGTATCAGGGATCAGCAATGGCCCATGGGCCAAATCTAGTCTCTGACCTGTTTTTGTAAACAAAATTTTATTGGAACATCACCATGCCCATTTGTTAACATATTATCTATGACTTCTTTTGCACTACCCAGCAGAGTTTGGTTGTGACAGAGAATGTATGAAGTGCAACATCTAAAACTTTTCTTCTCTGGCCTTTTAGAGAAAAAGTCTACTGACCTCTCCTTGAGACCAGCGGTTCTCAAAGTTCAGCATTCATCAGAATCCCTGGGGTGGGGAGAGGGGTTTGAAACACAGGTCACCAGGCCTCCCCTCCAGTGTTTCTGATTCAGTAGGTCTTGAACGCAGCCTGGGAATTTACATTTCTAACAAGTTCCCAGGTGATGCTGATGTTGCTGGTCTGGGGGCAACACTTTGAGAATGTATTAGTCCACTCTTGCATCTCTCTAAAGAAATACCTGAAACTGGGTAATTTATAATGAAAAGAGGTTTAATTGGCTCATGGTTCTCAGGCTGTACAGGAAACATAATGCTAGCATCTGCTTGACCTCTGGGGATGCTTCAGGAAACTTACAATCATGGTGGAAGGTGAGCGGGGAGCAGGCACTTCACATGGCCACAGCAGGAGCAAGGTGGTGGGGGTGGTGCCACACACTTTTAAACAACCAGATCTTGTGAGAACTCACTCACTCTCATGAGGACAGTACCAAGGGAATGGTGCTAAAGCACTCAAGAAATCCACTCTCATGATCCAGTCACCTCCCACCAGGCCCCACCCCCAGCACTGGGGATTATGGTTTAACATAAGGTTTTGGTGGGGACACAAATCCAAACTATATCAGAAAACTACTGCTTTCAACAGTGTCTTTGTACCCTCAGAACTCACCCTTGCCTAGATCAAGGAAAAAACTGCCTATACAAGCTCAATCAGGCTCTGCTGCTACCTCAGCATGGACTGTCGCTCTTATGGAGCTCCATTTTCATCCTACTGGTTCCCTCTATGTGTGAGTCCTCTCTGCACAAGTCTTTAAGATAAGCTATTTGCTTACATTAAAAAAAAAGCCTTCCTTTCTCCTTATTTTTCTGAGGTACAATATATTAGAATGTTGACATCTAGATCTTTTTAAGAATTAGCAACTATTCTCATTGGTTATGCTTATGATCATCTTTTTCTGTTTATTCTTATCTATTTACCTTGTTCCTGTACCAAATCAAATAAATAATTTGAAGACACAATTTTTGTTTTCCTTATTTGAGTGAAAGCTTTTAAAGAGAGGGAAACTGTTTTTCACAAGTTGGAGAAATTTGTGAAATTCACAAATTTCTCCAACAAACACAGTATCAGTCTGAAATAGGATTAGGAAGAAGTTGAGATAGAATCAAATAGAGGTGTTGACTACTTTCTCCATTTTCACGAGCTAGGCTTCTACAAGGTTGTTTCATTACTTTGTTAGAAGTGCTGTGGCTTAATCACCAGAACACCAGACAGGGCCGTATGTGAATGTAGGTGAGAGTACATTCAATAATAAAAGCTTTTGTAATATTCAGGAGTTTTCATATGGTTGCTTTCTTCCCTTCCTACAGAAAATATAAAGGTGACTGTCTCTGTGTTTATGATGTAATATAAGGTTGATATAATTTAATTTTGAACTGTAAGTTCATAGAAAGTAGGACTATATGTGCCTTATTAGTTGAGCAACTATGAGTAAAGTACTATATCTACCCAATAGCTTAATAAATTCATGCAATAACATTTCTCTTCCCCTTCTTCTCATACTGTATTTATCAGAGTCTATGGTTGAGGAAAAAAACTACCAAGGAATAGTGAAGGTTTATAAGTCAGTTTGTTTCTCCCCATTTCTGCCCTGAAAAAAAAATTGGCAGTAGGAAAATCAAAGTCTGATAAACTTATCATCCAACTTTTAAAAAACATAAAAATTGATGAATTGTTGGGATGAAGAGCCAGGAAAATAGCTACCCAATCTATAAATTGCTCAGCCAGAATGATGTATTAGCAGCCACTCTTTAAATATGAAATGTACTAGTACTGGTTCTATCCATTTATCATAGATTTTATGCCTCAAATATATTCATAATGTATTACAGTGCTGAAGTTCATTTCTCACACATTTATATATTTAATATATTCCCCCCAGAAGATTTGAATGTGGTTAAAGGCAAAGTTGTATTTCTTCTTGATAATAATAAAATAATAAAGTGTTGCTCATAAAAGAAGTTCAGTATGAATTTATGGCTGGAGCCAGGCTGTATTTTATGCTGCAGTAGTAATGCTCTTGCTCACCTGACAGTGGCTTCTTTCAACATCATTACTCTTCTGGTTTAGGACTTTGTGATAAAAAAAGTCATCTTTTTAAAACTGGCACTTTCAGTTCTTGATAATTCAAGATGATGGGCTTTCAGAAAAGCACATGCCCTGAAGAATACCCTAAGGAAACCAAGTGTCTCTAATTACTGTGTCTTTGATTTAATACCAGATGGTAATAATATGACTATTACAAAATGGCAGAGTTGTTTCTACTTAGGAATACATTAGTAAAACTATTCTGTGGTATTAGAAGGAAGGATGGTTATACCAGTTACCTCTGGAAGGGTCATTACTTACTGGAAAAGAGCATGAGGGGTCTTTTGAGGTGCTGGAACAGTGCATTCTGTTTCTCCGTCTCAGTGCTCATTTCACAAGTGTGGTCATTTTGTGTAAATACATTGACTTAGGATTTGGGTCCTTGATATATGTTAAGCTTCAGTAAAAATGTCTATTAAATAAGAAAAGGTACAATCTATTAGGGTGACTTGGAAAATCAGCCCTATCTTTTTCTGAAGTTGTCAACTCTATATAAATTGTCGACTCTATATAAAGACCAATTATTTTCTACTTTGGAAAATCTGCTTAATTGTTTTTCTTTTTGTATTGTACAAGCAACATGATGTATGGTGCTTAGGCATCCCCTTCTTCTATTTTCTCTGGGATCCTCCCCCTTGCTGCTGACACTGCTTCTTTTGTGGCATACACATTTAGGGGAGGCCTCCATGACAACATGGCAAGAGGTTTTATTTTTTGTTTTATTTTACATAATTTATTATAATTGGAAGGTTCTCGGAATGACCCTGGAAAGATGCTGATGGTATCTATTCTTCCAGTTTACTTCTACAAATTGAAATAACACTTTAGGGACAAAATGTTATATATATACATACATATACAAGTGTGTGTTATATTTTCATTCCATAACAATGGATATGCATATATCCATTTGAACATCCCTACTCCAAAAATTCAAAATCCCAAATTCTCCAAAATCCAGAACTTTTTGGTTACTGACATGATGCCACAAGTGGAAATTTTTTTTTTTAATTTTGACAAATCTTATTTAATTCAGATAGCAGTCTGATCACACATGGTCCAACAACATTCAAATAATAAATCAAATATAATCAGATGTTAAATACTGGTCTTCAAACATCATAGCCAATGATGCCACGCTTGCCTATGATCTCTCCGACATAAAACCACATAACACCTCAGTGGCCACCAAACCATTCAGCACAGCTTCCTTAACTGTGAGTTGTTTGAAGCTACCAGTCTGAGCACTATTGACTATTTTTTTCAGACTCTGAATAGCTCTAGGGATCTCAGCAGGGGTGGGAGGAACCAGCTCAAACTTGGCGTAGTACCAAAATGTGGCCAATCAAGGCTTTGAGTAAGTCACAGCAGCGTTCACCAGCACCAGGGTCTTTTCCACAAGGTTACGGAAAAATTGGGCCAATGGTTCTGGGATGGAAAGTCTGTCGCCCTGAATGCCACAAGTGGAAAATTCTACACTTGACCTCATGTGATGGCTCACAGTCAAAAGGCAGTCAAAACTTTGTTTCATGTAATTAAAACATAAGGAAATTTTGTGTTTAGAGAAAATCCGAAATCTGAAAAACTGGTCCCAAGCATTTTGTATAGAGATAGTCCACCTGTAAGTAACTTCTGCAGTGAGCTGCCATCAGCTGAACAGGAGCTGATAAACTCTTTCACACAGAACTGCCAATAGATAACACTTGTTATCCTTTCCAGACCTATATGCTTTATTGTGGAATGACAACACTACACACACATATAATATATATGTATATACTATATATTATATATAATATGACATGTATAAATATATGTAACATTATATATACATATATGTATATTTTATACATATATATTATACATAAAATATATATAAAACACATTATATATATATACACACACACATATATATAATGTAATACATTATCCAAAATGCATGGGACCAAAAGTGTTTGAGATTTTGGGTTATTTTGGATTTCAGAATATTTACATGTATGTAGTGAGATATTTTAGGAATGAGACCCAAAGTCTAAACATGAAATTCAGTTATGTTTCATATACACCTTATACACATAGCTTGAAGGTAATTTTGTAGAATATTTTAAATAATTTTGTCCATGAAACAAAGTTTTGACTGCATTTTGACTGCAACCTATCATGTGAAGTCAAGTGTGGAAGTGGAATTTTTCACTTGTTATATCATGTCAGTCCTCAACAAGTTTTAGATTTTGGAACATTTTGGATTTTGAATTTTCAGATTAGGGATGTTCAACCTCGATATTATGTTGTTTGGACTGGAGATAGGAAAGCTTTGGGAGGAAAGAAGTCATTTAGTATTTGGGTGGGGGACATGCTTTCCATTCTGACTGAGCACCACAGAACCACTCCCCAAAACCGGTGGTCTATGACCATATTTTGGCAAATCCCTTTGCAAGGGGTTTCCTTCAGACATGGGTAACATAAATGGGTGTAGTGGTGAAGATGCACCACTGGATTTGGCTCTTGCAGGTGCTTTGTCAGGACTCATGTATGACTGGCATTAACAGATTTTGAACATGTGCAATTGGCTACTCCAGATGCCCTGGCCTGCTGGATAGACAATGAAATACTTCAAGCCATCAAGTTAATAAAAGCATCTGATAGTAAATTACATCTACTCCTCTAGATTAGATTTCTACAGATGAGTGTATCTGTTTGCATTAAAGGCACTTATGCATGCATTCAGATCATTATGCTCACAACGCTAAGAGAAACATTTTCACAATTTTCGATATATACATCTAGTAGCCAAAATATACATATAAAAACATTATGTTAGCATAATATATTTATATGGCAAGACGGAACATTTTAAATATCATAATTAGAGTTCAGGATAGGTCCTCCTGTCTCTTCCATAATTCCTATCCTAAAAATTCTTGAGTGAAAATAATCATCTTCAGAAAATTTCTTATAGTCTCTCCTCAGGAAATAATTTATTTATTAATAATATGGCAGAGAGTGGCTCAGAAAAAGAAAAAAATATAACCTATAGATTATATTTTTAAAATTCCTAGAAGCTAAAGAGAATTAGAAAATGAAGCCCAAGGGATCAATAAATCTTCCAGAATGTTGCTGGATTGTGCAGAGATTGCACTGGCTAACTCTTTGTGAAGGGTACTTCTCATTTACAGTTTATCCATGCACTTTGCAAATGCAAAGCACAGCCCAGAATATCCTCATTTAAATGAAGGACACAATTAATAGCCCACCTGCTGGGCTAAGGAGAGAATAGTGTGATAGCGAAGCTGAGCTAATTCTTTGATGCTAGGTTAAAAGTCTTGGTCCTTAACCTCATTTCAAATAAACAGATCAGAAGTCTCTACAAATAAAAAGAACAAGAGAGCCCTGGTTATATTAGGGGAAGAAAAGATGAGGAATCTGAATGTTTGAGTCCAGACTCTGCCATTTACTCCTTTTATGACTAAGCTTAAAACCAATCTCAATACCAGCTTTTCCATCTGTAAAATTAGCATAATGTTGCTTTACTGAGATAAGACATGGAGATGCAGCAAAAAAATAAAAAGCCTGTAAAAACAACTATGATTATGATTGATACAGAAATGTCAAGCACCTGCTATGCTTTGTGCCTTAGGACAGTCCTATGAAGCAGGCTGAGAGAAAAGCCTTGGAAAAATTTGCTAAATTCTTCCTTCATTTGAGAATGAATGGGCTTGAGAAACTGTTTTTAAGGAAACATGTACAGCAAAGCTGGGGTTATTCCATAAGCTTCAATATTGGGGGGCGGGGTGGTGGGAAAGAAAGGATGAGGCATTCTTCAGCCCTTCCAACTTGCTCTGCATCTTGTTTGCTAATTTGTCTTTATTAGAAAATAGAAGATGTCTGCCACTCAGGTGTGCTTCAAACGAGAATGGAAAAGTACAACTGGGTGTCATCAGTGTCAGTCACGTTGGGTGTAAATGAGGCGATCTAGCAGGGAGGAGAAGCAGAGGAAATAACTTGATTATGGATAGTTGTGGGTTAGGGATGGCTGTTTCCCTGATGCTCTACCTTTAAAAGAGGTCCAGGAGAGAGGCTACACCAGCAGAGGGCTGAGGAACAGTGTGCGTAATTCTAGTTATTACTTAATGTTATCTTGAGTGGAAAATAAAGGAATATTGTTACAAAATTCTTCATAGTACTATCTGTTTGTGGGGGTCCTGAAACTCTTGTTCCTGATGCATAGATGCATTACTTTGGGACTTGTTAAAAAAGAGTGGTTTTCCCTAACATTTGTCAGAAATTCCCCTAAAACATTATTTCTTGCATATTGCAAGTGACATCTTTGATTGCTCAAGCTCCTCTCTCTTTTCCTTAACTTTTATTCACAAATTGCTACTTGTCTGCATTTCCCTTTTCCATCAGCATGGCCACAGCCATGAACTCTGATGGCTACCAGTGTTGGTTATTGTTCGCATTCTCTTTCTCGATCTCTCTCTCCTACCTCTCCATTCGATTCCATCCTATAAATCATAGCCTAATATTCCTGAAGCACATCTAAGAACATTTCATAGCTCCCCAGTACTTACCAAACTGGATACACACTCTCCAATCCTCATTCACTGCCTTCTTTAGTTTAATCCCAACATTTTTTTTTTCTTTGAGACGGAGTCTCACTCTGTTGCCCAGGCTGGAGTGCAGCAGCACAATCTCGGCTCACTGCAAGCTCCACCTCCCGGGTTCACGCCATTCTCCTGCCTCAGCCTGCCGAGTAGCTGGGACTACAGGCGCCCGCCACCATGCCCGGCTAATTTTTTGTATTTTTAGTAGAGACGGGGTTTCACCGTGTTAGCCAGGATGGTCTCGATCTCCTGACCTCGTGATCTGCCCGCCTTGGCCTCCTAAAATGCTGGGAAGTTTTAATTCCCCACTGCTCTCATGCATTTGCCAGTCTTGCTGAAATACTCGCACTGGCCAAACATACCTTGTGTTCCTCCACTCAGGCCGTGATCTTCCCATTAAGATCTCTACCAGTAATGTTTCTCATCTTTCTCCTAACAGGAGCAGGTCAGGTGCCAGATCTTTTTGAATGTGCAGTTCATAAAGAGAGGAAGGAATTTGGGTTGTCTGAATATCTGCTTCCAGGGCAAAGTGAGGAAGGGAGGAAGAAACCTTGACTGCAGAGAAGGAAACCAGGCAGCTCTGGCACATTACCGTCACAACAGTGTCTATTCTACTTATGAGAGTATTGAACCTGATGCCAATACTTCATCCCATTGTATCTCCTACTAGTTGCTTGTATCTATTCTAATGCCTTTCATCTACAATGGGCTAATTCATGGTTCTCTCTCTCCTTTTCTTTTTTTTTTTGAGACAGAGTCTTGCTCTGTCATTCAGACCGGAAGGCAGTGGCTTGATCGCAGCTCACTGCAACCTCTGCCTTCCGGGTTCAAGCGATTCTCCTGCCTCAGCCTCCTGAGTAGCTGGGACTATAGACATGCGCCTCCATGCCCGGCTAATTTTTTTGTATTTTTAGTAGAGATGGGGTTTCACTGTGTTGGCCAGGCTGGTCTTGAACTCCTGACCTCAGGTGATTGACTTGCCTCGGCCTCCCAAAGTGCTGGGATTACAGATGTGAGGCACTGCCCCCAGCCTCTCTCTTCTTTTCTTATCTATTTATCTATTTATTTATTTATTTAGAGACAGACTCTTGCTCTGTCACCCAGGCTAGAGTGCAGTGTGTGATCACGGCTCATTGCAGCCTCAACCTCCCTGGGCTCAGGCGATCCTCCCACCTCAGCCTCCAAAGTAGCTGGGACTACAGGCATGCACCACTGTACCTTGCTAATTTCTTGTTTATTTTTTGTAGAAACTAAGTCTCACTATGTTGCCCTGGTTGGTCTGGAACTCTTGAACTCAAGTGATGTACCCACCTCTGCCTCCCAAAGTGCTGGGATTACCAGCATGAGCCACTGCCCAGCCTGTAACTTTACTTTAAAAATAGGCTTCTTTGGTGTACAGTTCTACGAATTTTAACATATATATAGACAGATGCATATAATCACACCACAATCCGAATATAAAGAAGTTTCATCACCCCTCAAATGCCTTCATGGTATCCCTATAACATCACACCCTCACTTTATCCATAACCTCTGGCAAGCTAATTTATTTTCTGTAACTATAGTTTAAAAAAAATTAAATATTTTAAATAATTTATTTTATTTTAAGTTACAGGATACATGTGCAGGATGTGCAGGCTTCTTACACAGGTAAACGTGTGCCATGGTGGTTTGCTGCACCTATCAACCAGTCACCTACGTATTAAGCCCAGCATGCATTAGCTATTTATCCTGATGCTCTCTCTCCCCTGCCGCCCCCTCCACAGACCCCAGTGTGTGTTGTTCCCCTCCCTGTGTCCATGTGTTCTCACTGTATTTTCTGTAACTATAGTTTTATTCCTTAAAAATATTTAATACAATTTGAGAATATCACATAAATGGAATCAGATAAATACATAGATAGACTAAATAGAATGTCACCTTTTGAGTATGGCTTTCTTTACTAAGCATAAGGCTTTTGACAAAATAGACATTTTATTTATTTATTTAGAGATGAATCTTGCTCTGTCCCCCAGGCTGGAGTGCAGTGGTGCCATCTCGGCTCACTGCATCCTCCATCTCCCAGGTTCAAGCATTTCTTGTGCCTCAGCCTCCCAAGTAGCTGGAGTTACAGGTGAGTGCTATCATGCCTAGCTAATTTTTGTATTTTTAGTAGAGATGGGGTTTTGCCGTGTTGGCCAGGCTGGTCTTGAATTCCTGGCTTCAAGTGATCCAACTGCCTCAGCCTCCCAAACTGCTGGGATTACAGGCATGAGTCACCGCGCCTGGTAACATTTTTTATTTTAATGAATTCCAATTTATCAAGTTTTTTCTTTCATGGATCATGTTTTTGGTGTCATGTCTAAGAATTCGTTGTCTGACTACAGTTTATGAAGATTTTCTCGTATGTTTTCTTCTAAAAAGTTTTATAGTTGTATATTTTACATTTTGAAGGTAAGATGTGAGGTTTAGGTCAACATTTTATTTTTTATTGCACTTTTATCAGTGATTAGAACTGAAAAGTAGAAATGACTCAAACGTCCGCCAGCAGGTAACTAGCATTGCAGTATATCCATTCAACTGAATACCACTCAGTAATAAAAAGAATAAACTATTGATACAAGCAGCAGAATAGATGAATCTCAGAATAATTGTACTGAGTGAAAGAACCAGATACAAATGAATATATGCAGTATGATTCCATCCCGTTAAATTCTAGAAACAACAAACAAATCCATAGTAACAGAACATAGATTAGTGGTTGCCTGGGGCTAGATAGGGCAGAAGTGAGAATCAACAAGGGGAACAAGGAAATTTTTGGGGTTGATGGCCGGGTTCACTATCTTAATGGTGGTGATCAGTTCTTAGGTATATAAATATGTCAATACCTATCAAATTGTATACAGGTATGTGGCACTTATTATATGGCAATTATATCTCAATAAAGCTGTTATAATGTTTTTATTATAACTGCTCATATAGTTATATATGAGCAGTATTTCACCACAGCTCATCTTAAAGATATTTTATAATTTATCCTCTATTTTTACAGCAAAATGGTCACATTTTTGTTAGTTGATAATTTTTTTTTTGTTTGTTTGCTTTTTTTGTAGAGTTGGGGTTTTGCTATGTTGGCCAGGCTGGTCTCAAACTCCCGGCTTCAAGTGATCCACCTGGCTTAGCCTCTCAAAATGCTGGGATTACAGATGTGAGCCACCATGCCTGGGAGATAATAAATTCTTGAAAGATTCCCAATACTTTACCAACTTACACATTAAATTAATCTTCCCATTTTCTTTGTCCAATTTTTAGAGCAAAATAATAAAAATATTTGTAGACCCAAATTGTAAACACATTTCAGTTTTGAAGAACAATATAAAGTAAATATAATATGGAATTACAATTAGAACACCAAGTTTGCACTGATACTTTTAAAACTTCTGTGGGGAAATGAGTTTTTCAAGTTAAGAACACAATGTGTTAAATTAGAAGGTATTTCCCTTCACTAATGAAAATTTTTGTTTTTTAATTATCTGTTGTTTTCTTTCAAATTTTGGGTTTAATGGTGACCAATTAATATTGCTTAAAGTTACAACATAGACAAACCATTCAAATATCTTAGCAAATTGTAGTTCTGGATATTCTCATATCATAATACGTAATTTAGAGGGTGATGACTCGAGATTTAAAAAATTAAATAACATGGCCATACAATTTTCTCTAAAATGTTCCCTTCAGATTTTAGGTCAACATTTTATTTGTTTTTTCCTTCTGCATATTGATGTCAATCGTTCCATCACTATTTGCACTATTTGTTGAAAAGATATGCTCCCTCCATTGAATTGCTTTTGCACTTTTGTCAAAAATCTATGGGCCAAATCTATTTAGGTCAATTTCTGGGTTCTCTATTCTGTTCCGCTGATCTTTGTCTACACATCTGCTAATATCATGCTCTCTTGATTACTCTAAAGTCTTAAAATATAGGAGAGTGATTTCTCCAAATTTATTCCTTTTTTCAAAATTATTTTAGCTATTCTAGTTACTTTGTCTTTCCATATAAATTTTAGAATTAACTCTTCTATAGCTACAAAAAATCATGCTGGAATTTTTATTGACATTGTATTAAATCTATAGATCAATTTGGGGATAATTGACATCTCTACTATGTTGAGTCTTCAGACCTTTATCATTGTATGTCTCTCCATTTAGTTAGATTTTCTTTAATGTCTTTCATTAGCATTCTGTAGTTTTCAGCATACAGATCTAGAAAATGTTCTGTTAGATGTATACTCATTTCACTTTTGAGGAACCTATTATACATGGTAGCGCTTTTAAAATCAGCTTACAAATATATGTTGCTAAAATATAGAAATACCATGGATATTTGTGTCTTCACTTAGTTTCTTGTGATTATGTTAAACTCACTTTTAAGTTCTAGGAGTATTTTTGCAGGACTGTTTCATTTTCCCCCAGATTGGCCTTTGAAGTCTTGACCTTTCTTCCAGCCCTTTCTTAAATACAATTCCTTCTCTGAGGCCTTTCTAGTTCCCTTTACCAGATGTGATTTCTTCATCCATTAAATATACAAATCATTTTGTCCCTACATATCACTTGTCTTTTTTTCTCTATATTATGGTGAACTGAATACTTCACTCATTCCTCAGTACAATATGGGATTATCATAGTGTTAAATACTTTTAATCACAATTCTGTCTTTTCTCACCCTGGAATATTGGGCAAATTCTTAAATCTTTCTGGCGTTCAGTTTTCTTTTCATTTGTAATGAGTGAAATAATAATTATTTTGTAGATTTATTGTGAGAATAATGCATGTTAGGTGCTCACTAAATATTAGGGTTTTTTTTCCCCTTTAGAGTTATACATTCTTGAGAACTTATTGCTACATACTTGCTTGAGTTCTCTGCAGTATCTGGGATGAAGTACAGATATATGTTTAATTGTATCAACAGAATTTAGCACAGGGCAAGGAACACTATCTATGTTTAGTAAACTCTGGTCTTACAACTCTTTATTGTATCTATAACAAATTTTAATATTATGTGATTGTAAGGATCATTAGGAAATTAGCCAACTTGCAGCATTAACATAAGCAAAGCATGCAGGGAAACTAAATTATACCAGATTCTCTAGGCAGCTATTAAACTAAATTGAGGTCATTATTAGCTGAGTAAGGGAAATGGTTAGAGGAGGGCAAGACAATGGTACCCTTTAGTGAGCTACCAGAAGAGCAGATTTTACAGCAACTGAAGAATGGATGATGTTATGGTTTGAATGTGTGCCCTAGAATTCATATGTTGGAAACTTAATTCCCAATGCAACAGTATTGGGAGGTGGGGCTTAATGGAAGTTGTTTAGGTCACAAGGGTTCTGCGCTCATGAATAGATTAATGCTGTTATAAAAAGGGCATGTGGGAGTGGATTCCCTCTTTTGTACTCTTGCCCTTCCACCTTCCACCATTTTGATAATACAGCAAGAAGGCCCTCACCAGATGTTGGCACTTTGATCTCAAATTTTCCAGCCTCCAGAAGTGTGAACCAATACATTTCTGATCATGATAAATTAACTGATCTTAGGAATTTTTTTATAGCAGCACAAAATGGACTAAGACAAATGAGGGTATGAAGAGGACTACCCGTTTAAAAGAGATTACTTTGGGATTTCAGGTAGCAAGGCAAGCAGGGGAGCCTTATGCTCTTTGTATTAGAGAAGAGGAAGAGTAGTATCTTCACCATCACTGGTGACCGGGAAGTTTACTGGCAGGGTTAGAATTCTTGTTGCTATCACAGTGCCACTAGGCTATCTGACAGACTGAATCTAGAAGCATCTGTTTGTGCTCTACATAACAAATAGAAATGACTTTAGCTTTCAGAAACTTGAAGTTAACTGGGATCTTAGTCAGTTGGGGCTGCTATAACAAAAATGCCATGGACTAGGTGGCTTAAACAGCAAACTTTTATTTCTTAACAGTTCCACAGGCTGGGAAGTCCAAGATTAAGGAGCTAGCAGATCTAGTGTCTGGTGACAGCCCACTCCTTAGCTTGTAGACAGCTGCCTTCTCTCTACATCCTTATATGACTGAGAGCTCTTTTCTTTTAAGGACACTAAACACACTCATAAGGGCTTTACTCTCATGACCTAATCACCTCCCAGAGGCCTTACCTCCAAATACCATCATATGGGGGATCACATTTCAACATACAGATTTTGGGGGAACACAAACATGCAGTTCATAGCACTAAGAAAGCACAATCATTTGCAGAAATTGCTAACATCTAAATATTAGCTGGGTCAGTCTGTGGACCAAGAAAGAGAAGAAAAATATCTGTGGGATCTTAGCATTAGAGACTATGATGCATCTGTTTATGTGTGTGTGTGTCATTTAGAGCATATAAATGAAGCTTGTTCTCATGTAGCAGTCTAAGAGCAGGTGGTGTTCCTGAGGAAGTCCAGCAGGGTGCACTAAGAGGCCAGGGGAAGAGAACACACTGGGAAATTGTGCAACCTCATAGGAGCTGAGCATAATATCAAGTTTATCATGACCTTCAATGCAGAATTACCTAGGTGAGGGTGGGAGGGTATTGTAACAGAAAAAGATAAAAGGTAGCAGTCAAACATCACAAAGTATTTCTGGAATACTATTTAAAAATACCACTTAAGCATTTAATCTTTGTATCTAGATTAAAAAGTTGTCCTGCAAATATTCACATGCTTTGCCACTAAAACAAGCTATAGAAATTTTATTTAATAATTTTATTCTTTACAATATGAGCCTGGTGCATACTAGGTAAGATGTTTTTCATAGTTCTTGGAAATAGTTATGCCTTTATCATGTGTATGAAAGAAGATAGGGATAGTAGATGCTATGGTTTGAATGTTCCCTCCAAAGCTTGTTAAATTTAATTGTCATTGTGATAGAATTAAGAGAGGCAACTGTTAACAGGTCTCTGTCTCTGTCTGATCTAACAGACTTGTTAGATCACAAGTCTCTGTCCTCCTCATAAATTGATTAATGTAATAATCACAGGAGCACATTATTATTGTGGGAATGGGTTAGTTATTGTGACAGTAGACTTGTGAGGCAACTGTTAATAGCTGATTAGGTCAAAGGTTTCTGTGCTCCTCATAAATTTATTAATGTCATAATCACAGGAGCACATTATTATTGAGAGTAGACTTGTTATAAAAGTGAGGTTGCACCCCTCTTGCTGTCTCTCTCATGTTCTCTTGCTCTTCTGCCTTCTGCCATGGGATGACACAGCAGGAAGGCCCTCATCAGATGCAGGCACCTCAACTTAGGCTTCTCAGCCACCAGAACTGTAAGAAATAAATATCTGTTCTTTGTAAATTGCCCAGTTTCATGTACCATTCTATACCACCAGAAAATGGACTAAGACACAAAATTGGTACCATGAAGTGGGGCCATTGCTATTAAAAATGTTGAAGTGACTTTGAAAGTAAGTAATGGATAGATGCTAGAAGAATTTTGAGGAGCAGGCTAGAAAAAGCCTAGATTGCTATAAAAAGAGCAGTAAGAGTGATTCTGGTGAGAGTTGAGAATAGATGTAAAGAAGCCTGGAACTTCTTAGATATTACTTAATTGGTCATGATTAGAATGTTGGTAGAAACATGAATGGTAAAGGCCATTCTGATGAGGTCTCAATGGAAATGAGGAACAAAATATTGTAAAATGACATAAAAGTTATTTTTGTGACACAGTTGTAAGGAACTTAGCAGAATTGTGTCCATGTCCTAGGACTCTATGGAAGACAAATTTAAGAGTACTGAATTAGAATGTGTGGCAGAAGAAATTTCTAAGCAAAACATTGAAGGAGCTGCATGGCTACTTTTAACTGCATACAGTACGATGTGAGAGGAGAGATATTAGAGACAGAATTTATAATAAAAGGGAAGCAGAGCAGAAAAATTTGAAAAATTTGGAGCTTAGCCATTGTATTAGTCAGGGTACTGTGGAGGGACAGAACTAATAGGACAGAGGTATATGTAAAGGGGAGTTTATCAAGGAGTATTGACTCACATGATCACAATGGGAGGTCCCACAATAGGCTGTCTGCAAGCTAAGGAGCAAGGAAGTCAGTCCAGTCCCAAAGCTGAAAAATTTGGAGTCTGACATTAGAGGGCAGAAGCATCCAGCATGGGAGAAAGATGTAGGCTGCGAGGCTAAGCCAGTTTAGTCTTTTAACATTCTTCTGCCTGCTTTTATTCTGGCTGGGTTGGCAGCTGAATAGATTGTATCCACCTGGATTGAGGGTGGGCCTGCCTTTCCCATTCCACTGACTCAAATGTAAATCTTTTTTGGCAACACCGTCACAGACACACCCAGGAAGGCCAAATCCTTCAATCCAACCAAGTTGACGCTCAGTATTAACTATCACAGCCATGTAAACAGTGAAAAGGATTTTTACCTTTGCTTTAGAAGAGCAAACCAAGGGTCTAGCCAAGCAACTATTTGCTAAATTGGTACTGATAGAGGAGAGCCAGGGGCTAGTTTTCAAGACAATGGGAGAATGACCCAGAAGGCATTTCAGAGATCCTCTAGGCAAGCTGTGACCTTGAGGGCAAAGTTTCCAGAGAGGCACCCAAGGGAGCTCAGGATTTGCTGCCCAGGGTTATCCCAAACTTTGGTCCCTAAATTCTGGTGCAGCACACCTTAGCTGCCCCATTATTTTTTGGCTCAAGTGGGCCCAGTACAGCTCAATCAACCACTCTGGAAGTTACAAGACATAAACCTTGGCAATGTCTATGTGGTACTAATTCTGCAGACAGGTGGAATACAAGAGCTGTAACTTTTTCCACTTAGATTTCAAAGGATGTCATAGACAGCCTGGGCACAGGCAGAAATGTCTCAGGGGTGGAGCCACCACAGACAGCCACCACCAAGGCAATGCCCAGCAGAACTGTGGGATTGGGGTCACTGCAGAGTCCCCACTTGGGCAACACTTACTGGGAGCTATGGCAGCTGTCAAGACCCCAGGACTGTAGAGCTACCAGCATGCCAACTCTAGCTGGGGAAAGCCACAGGCATGAGACTCTAATCCATGATAGCTGCTGGGTAGACTGAGCCTAGCACAACCTCATGGTGGGGCTGCCTGGGGCCTTGGGGGCCCAACCCCAGCCCAGGGTGCCCAGAATAGGGGACATGGAATCAAATAAGATTATTCTTCAGATTTACGACTTAATGTTTTCCTTGTTGGATTTTGGACTTACTTGTTACAGCTACCCTTTTTTCTTGCCTACTTCTCCCTTTTGGAATGAGAATGGTTATCCTATGTCTTGGCTATTTTGGAAGCACGTAACTTGTTAATTTCACAGGCTTACAGCTGGAGAGAAATTTGTTTAAAGATGAATCATGCCTTGAGTATCACTCACATTTGATTCAGATGAGACGCTGGACTTTGGACTTTTGAGTTGGTGCTGAAATGAGTAAGACTTTTGGGGCTATTGGCATAAAATGAATGTATTTTGTATATGAAAAGGACGTAAGTTGTGAGGTGCCAGGGATGGAATTCTATGATTTAAATGTTCCCTCTAAAATTTATGTTGAAATGTAATTGCTATTATAGCAGTATTATAAAGCAGGACCATTAAGAACTGATTATGCCATGAGGGTTCCACCCTCATGAAAGGATTAATGTCATTATCTCAGGAGTGGGTTAGTTATTGCAAGACTGGGCTTTTTATATAAGTGAGTTCAGCTCCCTCTTGCTCTCTCTCTCATCCTCTCATTCCTTTCTGCCATGGTATGACATAACAAGAAAGCCTTAGCAGATGGGGGACCCCTGACTTTGGACTTCCAGCCTCTAGAACTCTAAGAAATAAATCTATTTTTTTGATAAATTATATCTAGACATTATTCAGTTATATCAGCGCTTGAGAGGGAGTGAGGTCAATCTGAATTCAGTGTCTTTTTTCACAGCTTTAGTTCACCAAGAAATGGGAAGAAAAATCGGAGGGGAGCAGTTGACACCACTCATTAAATATGCCATTCTTTTCTCACTGAGGTGAAATGTGAGCTTCATCATATGCCGAATGATTACATATCCCCGAGTCTGTTTTTAGATATGAATTTATTTTGTTGATTTATTTGCCTAGTTCTCTTCCAACACTATGTTATTTTAATGTTTTGATATTTATTTTATTTATTTTTATTTAATAAACATTTACTTAACACTACATGCTGAACATTATTTTTAGTGATTTATAACTTTGAAATCATTTCATCTTTAAATAAACTTACGAAGTGGGTCCCATTGATTGAATCCATTTTACAGATTAGGAAACCGAAGCACTGGGAGGAGTGACATAAATTCTAGATCCCCCAACCTATGTTCAGTAAAAACGCCAGTGCCCTCCTAAGAGTCCCAGGAATTCCAAAGTACTTGTTTTCTCATGGTAACTGATCCAATTTTTTTTCCCCTAGGAGTTATTAACATCAATTGAGTCTCACTACACAGAACTGTTTTGTGCTCTCTGCCTTGTACTTCCCAAGCTAAGAAAAACCACCATTTCTCTTGTCCCTAAAACACTCCTTTTCCCATGAGGTTTTTTTTTTATGTCATAGTCACATTTACTGAAGGTTTGACAATTGGACAACTGTTATTACATCTCAGGACTTAAAAGTCCTTTAGTTCACTATCAGGGATATGTCACTGGCTAGTATTTCTCATTTCCAGTATCTAGATACCTAATCAATCTATCTATCACCTATCTGTATGTAGTTTTTTTCTCTTCTTCCTCCTCCTTCCCCTCCCCCCCTTCCTCTCCTCCCCTTCTTCCTCCCCCTCCCTTTCCTTTTCCCTCTCTCCCTCAATCCTCCTCCTCCTCCTCCTCCTTCTCCTTCTCCTCCTCCTCCTCCTCCTCTTTCTCCTTCTTCTTCTTCCCTGTTCCCCCACCACGCTCTTTCCCCTTTTATTTTGTATTCCCCTGCCTCAAAATCATATACATAAAAGATGAGCTTTTATATCCAAAGTTGCTAAAAGAATGAAATGGGCATGTCCTCTGGATTGAAATTATTCCAACTCACTTAGGGACAGAAACAGCTGCAGGAAATGGTAGACTTAAATAGTAATTTACCCCTTCCTTCTCATCATCATTAAAATATTGCTTGTGAATTTATAGTTGTGTTTATAGTCCCAGCTATTCAGGCAGCTTAGGTGAGAGGATTGCTTGAGGCTAAGAGTTTGAAGCTGCAGTAAACTATGATTGTACCTGTTAATAGCCACTGCTCTATAGCCCTAAGCAACATAGGGAGACCCTGTCTAATAATATTAATATTTGTGTTTAGTAAACATAAACTCATAGACTGTTAGAACTGGCAGTCTAAGTCTTCTTTTATAGACCAGTAATTCTGAAACTTGGTTGTGCATTAGAATCTCCTGGGACCTTTACAAAATACTGATGTCTGGGAACAGTGCTTGCTATTCTGATTAAATTAGTTTGGAGTGTTGTCTGGCCATCAGGAATTTTTGTGAAGCTCCAAGGTGATTCTAAGGTACAGTCAAGTTGAGAATGACTGTTATTGATCCAGAGAAAGAAATCTACACAAGATCAACACAATTGGGAACAGAGCTAGAGTTAAATTCAGCATGGTATTTAAGTCCAAGTTTTATCATTTACTGTTATCTTGGGTAAGTTTCTTTCTTTTTTTCTTTTTTCTGGAGATGGAGTCTTGCTCTATCACCCAGGCTGGAGTGCAGTGGCGCGATCTCAGCTCACTGCAATCTCCGCCTCCCGGGTTCAAGCAATTCTCCTGCCTCAGCCTCCAGAGTAGCTGGGATTACAGGCGCCCGCCACCATGCCGGGCCAATTTTTGTATTTTTGATAGAGATGGGGTTTCACCATGTTGGTCAGGTTGGTCTCTAACTCCTGACCTCAGGTGATCTGCCTGCCTCAGCCTCCCAAAGTGCTGGGATTACAGGCTTGAGCCACTGCGCCCGGCTACCTTGGGTAAGTTTCTTTATGGTTCTCCGAGTCACTCTGCACACCACTTGTACTCTGTCTGGGTTTGGAGTTGGACACGGTGAGAGCTGGCATGGTAGAGAACAAGGACATATGTGCATGCACACGGGAGTGCTACTGCTTTTTAAGGAGTCACTCCTGGCATATTTAAAATAATTATTTACTTTCAATTAAAATAATAAAAACAAGGGCTCTTTTAGCCAGGTCGATAAAGGAAAGAGAAGGTTAAGGAAAGGATAATAGAGAACAGCTGTTTTCAATGTATTGCAAAGCCCCTTGTATTGAATTACCCTGTGTAATGAATTACCACAAACTTAGCGGCATAAAAGAATACCCACATTAGCTCACAGTTTTGTAGGTCAGAAGTCTGGCATGGCATGGCTGGGTTCTCTGCTCAGGGTTTCATGAGGCTGAAACCCAGATGTTGGCCACATGAGGTTCTTTTCAAAAGGCTCTGAGGAAAAATCCTCTTCCAAGCTCATTCTTACCATTGGCAAAAATTCATTCCTTTTGGCTCTAAAACTGAGATCCTGGCTGGCTGGGAGCTGGGAGCTCCTCTGAACTCCTACTGATCACTTGCATTCCTTGCTAAGCTATCCCCTCCATCTTCAAGCCAGGGATGTGTGTCGATCAAATCTTTGTTATGCTCTGAATCTTTGACTTCCTCCTCTGCCATTTGCTAGAGATTTGTTTTTAAAGAGCTCATGTGACTAGGTCATGTCCATCAGATAATCTCCTTATGTTAAGGTTGACTGATCTGGAATCTTGACTCTCTTTTCAAAACTCTAGGTACAGCAGTTCCTAGATTAGTGTTGGATTGAATAACTCAGAGAAGGTATATGTACACAAGGCACCAGGAATCTTGGGGCCACCTTAAAATTCTGCCTACCACATTCTATTCAAGATTCATACATGGTTTGGAAGATTCTTATTTCCTATACCATCCTCAATTCTGAGAGTAGTGTTTTTTTTTTTTTTTTTTTTTTTTGTTGTTGTTTTGTATTTTTAGTAGAGACGGGGTTTCGCCATGTTGGTCAGGCTAGTCTGGAACTCCTGACCTCCTGATCTGCCCGCCTCGGCCTCCCAAAGTGCTGGGATTACAGGCGTGAGCCACTGCGCCAGGCCTGAGAGTAGTGTTGAAGTATTATCGAAAGGCTTTCGTGATACACTGGCTAAAGAGCAAATTTGTTTAATAAAATAAACCAATCAAACAGCCAATCAACTTAATCCCTGAAATATAGAAAGTAATCAACCTTCATTCCCCACAAGTGTTAAAGTGAGGAACTATTTTCTCTTCACCAAAAATTTTTTCATGAGCAAGAGTAGGAAGAACATTCTGGGGCAGAAACAGTACAAAAACGGGCATATAGAGTGAAAATTTGCCTTGCTTTCCAGAAACTGGAAGTAAAGAGCTTAAGCTATGGAGTACCTTGGTCAGGTTTATGCTTTAGAAATATCAGCTTCTCATCAGAGGACAGATGGGGGATGGTGGTGGTGGTGAAGCTGCTACATTTTCTGGGATACTCAGGGTTCATTGCCTTGCGCCAAGAAAATTTAGGACATAGACACACACATGAGGAGTTTAGGAGCGGAGGTTAATAAGCAAAAGAAAGAGAAAGAAAAATAGCTCTCTCTCTAGTGAGAGGGAGGGGACTTCCAAGAGGAAAAGGCGAGACAGCAGTGGATGTGCTGGATTTTATAGTCAGGTATAAGGAGGCGGTCTCTGATTTACATAGAGCTCACAGATTGGTTCGATCAGGTATGATGTTTACATATCAAATATCATGTAATTATTAAAATAGTTCTTATCCTTAGATACATATTGGAAACACCCAAAGAGCTTTATAATCTACTCATGCTTGGGTGCCATCTCAGAAATTCATACTTAATTGGCGTGAGGGCCAATGAAAAGATCTCCGGATGCTTCATCTATGCAACCAAGGTAGACCCCCTAGACGTTGTGGGTATGGAGAAGTTCAGGAGTCAACAGAGATCTCCAGAAAGTCTAGTATTTCCTATACCCCTTAGATTTCTTAGATTTCACCAAATATTCGTGTTTTGGATCTAACTAAGTGTAAAAACTAGTAACGAGAAATGAAAATCTCTGTGTGTAGAGATATTGGCAAAGTTATACTAAGAAACAGTATAGTAAAAGATCGTAAGCCATAATTCCTCTGCGACAAAGAAATTATGGCTAATTTTTACTATTTGTAAGGCACTTTAAGGGCAATATCTATCTTATCTCATTTTACCTTTACAGTAAAGCTCTGAGGGTGATATTATTAATCCTTATTTTACAAATGATGAAACAGGCACAACTATTAAAATGCAGAGTCATGATTTAAACCTTGACTGTCAGTCTGTTGAATTTCAAAGCTGATTCTCTTAGCCAAACAGTTGTACTTACTGATAACTTTGAAAAATATAATGCAGCTTCAACAAGTTAAGACATTTATTTTGTCTCACCTATTAAAGAACAGAAAATATACACAACATATACACTTGTGCACTTAACTTAAGATTTCCATATACACACATGAACGGATCCAGTAACAGGAAGACCTATGTACCATATTTATTAATATGGCAAGTTAAATGACATCTCTGGAAAGCTAAGTTTAACTTAGCTAACCTATGGAATAAGGATTATAAAGGGGATTAGTGTCGTGGAGTAGAAATGAACTAGAGATTAGGAAACTTGAGTCAGTGACCTCTCCCAACCTGCCTCTCCTAACCTAGAAGAGTTCCAGGACCCTGAGTTAGCTACTGTCCTTCTTTGCTTCTGGGTGTCCAAAGTTGTACAATGTAGCATAAGCATTGAATTATCTTTTAGAGCCTTTCTATTTAAAAAGGCAATTTTTTAAATGATTTGAAGCTATTGTGTATCCGTTTTCTTTTCTTTGGCACTTATTCATTTATCTGTTTATTAGTCTTCAATTATTTGTTTTACTGTTGAAATTCAATTTTATATCAGAGAAATAATTTAATAATGGTAAAATAAATGATTATTATGATAATAGCATAGGTTTATCAAACACTAAATTCTAGACACATTTATGAATTATGTATGTTAACTCATTTGATCCTCATGACAGTCCAAAGAAATAGGAACTACTATTATTACCCCCATTTTAGAACTGATGAAGCAAAGAAGTCACAGTACTGATGGTAGGCAGCCTTCCTGAGGTTGCAAAGCCAGCATATGGCAGAAGAATGAGGTAGTTCAGTCAAGAATATTTTCTTTAAACTGTTTTACACTCTACCTTCCAATGTTTTTGGTGCTATAAATGGGAGATTTACATGCTTATTTAATGGAGTTTATTTAATGACACATTACAATTTGAGGAACCCCCAAATGATAAAACTGTTATCTACATTTCAATGGTATTTGACCTAACAAAATTCTTTCTCTCTACCACCCTCCCCGACACATACTGACACACATATATGCACATACTATCTCTTGAAACCCATTCTTTATTTTATATATGGCCCACGTGACAGATAATCTCTGGGATATTCCTCTCTGACAACAATATAAATATCATATTTAGAAAAGATAAGAGCATCTGTTTTTATGTTCAGGACATGATATCTTCTCACTTTTCTCTGCCTTCTGGGAATTTAATTAAAACAATAAAATAGAGCTACAAGAGTTTGTCACCTAATGATAGCAAAAGGCAACAGCACATAGTTAATCCCTTCTGTGCAAAATGTTGCCTTATATGCACATTCATCCAAAAATTAATGAAGCCAGTCATATCAATAAAGGGCAACGAGCTGACTGCACAGTCTGAGGGATTGGCTGATTATACAGCAGTGTTTTAGGTCTCAGCTGTAAAGATCTAGAAAATACACAGTGGCACAGGAAGTTGCCTTTGCTGTGGCAGTTAGTTACCATGGTTTCTGGGTCTAAAGGTAGAAATGTTGCAGCAGAGAGGCTTCTGAGTAGAAACCCTTAATCCTAAGGCAAAATATGGAATTGGAGCAATAGTCTAGATAATTCTCACAATGTGGAGCAAAAGTACCTTTTTTTTTTTCTTTTTCTTCCAGGGATGATCTGTCTGGATGGTAACTTTAAATCATTTCCCATTGTCAGCATAACATACTGCCTACCCCTCCTGGAACATGTGGCTTAGTGAGATAGACAGCACTGTGCTTTATTTATTTATTTAAAATTATACTTAAGTTCTGAGATATATGTGCAGAACATGCAGATTTGCTACATAGATGTACATGTGCCATGGTGGTTTGCTGCACTCATCAATCCATCATCTACATTAGGTATTTCTCCTAATGCTATCCCTCCCCCTTCCCCCCACCACTGACAGGCCCCAGTGTATGATGTTCCCATCTCTGTGCCCATATGTTTTCATTGTTCAACTCCCACTTATGAGTGAGAACATGCAGTGTTTGGTTTTCTGTTCCTGTGTTAGTTTGCTGAGAATGATGGTTTCCAGCTTCATCCATGTCCCTGCAAAGGACATGAACTCATTCTTTTTTTATGGCTGCATAGCATTCCATGGTGTATATGTGCCACATTTTCTTTAGTCTATCATTGATGGGGATTTTGGTTGGTTCCAAGTCTTTGCTATTGTGAATAGTGCTGTGATAAATGTACGTGTGCATGTACCTTTATAGTAGAGTGATTTATAATCCTTTGGGTATATGTACCCCATAATGGGATTGGTAGGTCACATGGTATTTCTAGTTCTAGATCCTTGAGGAATCACCACACTGTCTTCTACAATGATTGACTAATTTACACTCCCATCAACAGTGTAAAAGTGTTCCTATTTCTCCACATCCTCTCCAGCATGTGTTGTTTCCTGACTTTTAATGATCGCCATTCTAACTGGCATGAGATGGTATCTCACTGGGATTTTGATTTGCATTTCTCTAATGCCCTGAGATGATGAGCTTTTTTTCATGTTTGTTGGCTGCATAAATGTCTTCTTGTGAAAAGTGTCTGTTCATATCCTTCGCCCACTTTTTGATGGGGTTGTTAGTTTTTTTCTTGTAAATTTGTGTGAGTTCCTTGTAGATTCTGGATATTAGACCTTTGTCAGATGGATAGATTGCAAAAATTTTCTCCCATTCTGTAGGTTGCCTGTTCACTCTGATTATAGTTTCTTTTGCTGTGCAGAAGCTTTTTAGTTTAATTAGACCCGACTTGTCAATGTTGGCTTTCCTTGCCATTGCTTTTGGTGCTTTTGTCATGAAGTCTTTCCCCATGCCTATGTCCTAAATGGTTTTGCCTGGGTTTCCTTCTAGGGTTTTATGGTTTTAGGTCTTCATTTAAATCTTTAATCCATCCTGAGTTAATTTTGTATAAGGTATAAGGAAGGGGTCCAGTTTCTGTTTTCTGCATATGGATAGTCAGTTTTCCCAACACCATTTATTAAATAGGGAATCCTTTCCCCATTGCTTGTTTTTGTCAGGGTTGTCAAAGATCAGATGGTTGTAGATGTGTAGTGTTATTTCTGAGGCCTCTGTTCTGTTCCATTGATCTATATATCTGTTTTAATACCAGTACCAAGGTGTTTTGGTTACTGTTTGGCCTTGTGGTATAGTTTGAAGTCAGGTAGTATGATGCCTCCAGCTTTGTTCTTTTTGCTCAGTATTGTCTTGGCTATACAGGCTCTGTTCTGGTTCCCTATGAAATTTAAAGTAGTTTTTTCTAATTCTATGCAGAAAGTCAATGGTAGTTTGATGGTGATAACATTGAATCTATAAATTACTTGGGGCAGTATGGCCATTTTCACAATATTGATTCTTCCTATTCATGAGCCTGGAATGTTTTTCCATTTGTTTGTGTCTTCTCTTATTTTCTTGAGTAGTGTTTTGTAGTTTTCCTTGAAGAGTTCCTTCACATCCCTTGTAAGTTGTATTCCTAGGTATTTTATTCTCTTTGTAGCAATTGTGAATAGGAGTTCGCTCATGATTTGGCTCTCTGTTTGTCTCTTATTGGTGTATAGGAATGCTTGTGATTTTTGCACATTGATTTTGTATCCTGAGACTTTGCTGAAGTTGCTTATCAGCTTAAGGAGTTTTTGGGCTGAGATGATGGGGTTTTCTAAATATACAATCATGTCATATGCAAACAGAGATAATTTGACTTCCTCTCTTCCTATTTGAATACCATTTATTTCTTTCTCTTTCCTGACCTGGCCAGAACTTCCAATACTATGTTGAATAGCAGTGGTGTGAGAGGGCATCCTTGTCTTGTGCCAGTTTTCAAAGGGAATGCTTCTAGCTTTTGCCCATTCAGTATGATATTGGCTAGGATTTGCCATAAATAGCTCTTATTATTTTGAGGTATGTTTCATCAATACCTAGTTTATTGAGTGTTTTTAGCATGAAGGGGTGTTTAATTTTATTGAAGGCCTTTTCTGTATCTATTGTGGTGATCATGTGGTTTTCGGCATTGGTTCTGTTTATGTAATGGATTATGTTTGTTAATTTGCATATGTTGAACCTGCCTTGCATCCCAGGGATGAAGCCGACTTGATCGCAGTAGATAAACTTTTTAATGTGCTGCTGGATTTGGTTTGCCAGTATTTTATTGAGGATTTTCGTATCATTGTTCATCAGGGATATTGGCCTGAAATTATCTTTTTTATTTTTTGTTGTGTCTCTGCCAGGTTTTGGTATCAGGATGATGCTGGCCTCATAAAATGAGTTAGGGAGGAGTCCCTCTTTTTCTATTGTTTGGAATAGTTGCAGAAGGAATGGTACCAGCTCCTCTTTGTACCTCTGGTAGAATTCGGCTGTGAATTCACCTGGTCCTGAGCTTTTTTTGGTTGGTAGGCTATTAATTAATGCCTCTGTTTCAGAACTTGTTATTGGTCTATTCAGGGATTCAACTTCTTCCTGGTTTAGTCTTGGGAGGGTGTATGTGTCCAGGAATTTATCCATTTCTTCTAGATTTTCTAGTTTATTCGTGTAGAGGTGTTTATAGTATTCTCTGATGGTAGTTTGTATTTCTGTGGGATTAGTGGTGATATCCTCTTTATCACATTTTATTGTGTGTATTTGATTCTTCTTCTTTTTTTTTTCTTTGTTAGTCTGGTTAGCAGTCTATCTACTTTGTTAATCTTTAAAAAAAAACCAGCTTCTGGATTCATTGATTTTTTGAAGAGTTTTTCATGTCTCTATCTCCTTCATTTCTGCTCTTCTCTTAGTTATTTCTTGTCTTCTGCTAGCTTTTGAACTTGTTTGCTCTTGCTTCTCTAGTTCTTTTAATCGTGAGGTTAGGGGGTCGATTTTAGATCTTTCCCACTTTCTACTGTGGGCTTTTAGTGCTATAAATTTCCCTCTAAACACTGCTTTAGCTGTATCCCAGAGATTCTGGTCCATTTTGTCTTTGTTCTCATTGGTTTCAAACAACATATTTATTCCTGCCTTAATTTTGTTATTTACCCAGTAGTCATTCAGGAGCAGGTTGTTCAGTTTCCATGTAGTTGTGCCATTTTGAGTGAGTCTCTGAATCCTGAGTTCTAATTTGATTGCACTGTGGTCTGAGAGACTGTTTGTTATGACTGCCATGCTTTTGCATTTGCTGCAGAGTGTTTTACTTCCAATTATGTGGTCAGTTTTAGAATAAGTGCTATGTGGTGTTGAGAAGAATGTATATTCTGTTGATTTGTGGTGAAGAGTTCCATAGATGTCTATTAGGTTCACTTGGTCCTGAGCTGCATTCAAGTCCTGAATATCCTTGTTAATTTTCTGTCTTGTTGATCTGTCTAATATTGACAGTGATGTGTTAAAGTCTCTCACCATTATTGTGTGGGAATTTAAGTCTCTTTGTAGGTCTCTAAGAAGTTGCTTTATGAAGCTGGGTGCTCCTGTATTTGGTACATAAATATTTAGGATAGTTAACTCTTCCTGTTGCATTAATACCATTCCCATTATGTAATGCCCTTCTTTGTCTTTTTATATCTTTGTTGGTTTAAAGTCTGTTTTATCAGAGACTAGGATTGCAACCCCTGATTTTTTTTTGCTTTCCATTTGCTTAGTAAATCTTCCTCCATCCCTTTACTTTGAGCCTATGTATGTCTTTGCATGTGAAATGCATGTGAATACAGCACACCAATGGGTCTCGAATCTTTATTCAATTTGTCAGTCTGTGTCTTTTAATTGGGGTATTTAGCCTGTTTACATTTAAGGTTAATATTGTTATGTGTGAATTTTATCCTGTCATTATGTTGCTAGCTCGTTATTTTGCCCATTAGTTGATGCACTTTCTTTATAGTGTTGATGGTCTTTACATTTTTGTATGTTTTTGCAGTGGCTGGTACTGGTTTTTCCTTTCCATATTTAGTGCTTTCTTTAGGAGCTCTTTTAAGGCAGACCTGGTGGTGACAAAATCCCTCAGCATT
The DNA here is from genome assembly GCF_000001405.40 of Homo sapiens. Classification (NCBI taxonomy): domain Eukaryota; kingdom Metazoa; phylum Chordata; class Mammalia; order Primates; family Hominidae; genus Homo; species Homo sapiens. The sequence goes on from NC_000006.12 coordinate 122,883,527, forward strand.
TACTTGTCTGTGAAGGATTTTATCTCTCCTTCACTTATGAAGCTTAGTTTGGCTGGATATGAAATTCTGGGTTGAAAATTATTTTTTTTTTTAGAATGTTTTACGTTGGCCCCAACTGTCTTCTGGCTTGTAGGGTTTCTGCAGAGAGATCCACTGTTAGTCTGATGGGCTTCCCTTTGTGGGTAACCTGACCTTTTTCTCTGGCTGCCCTTAACATTTTTTTCTTTATTTCAACCTTGGTGAATCTGATGATTATGTGTCTTGGGGTTCCTCTTCTCAAGTAGTATCTTTGTGGTGTTCTCTGTATTTCCTGAACTTGAATATTGGCCTGTCTTGCTAGGTTGGGAAAGTTCTCCTGGATAATATCCTGAAATGTGTTTTCCAACTTGGTTCCATTCTCCCCATCACTTTTGGGCATACCAATCAAATTTAGGTTTGGTCTCTTCACATAGTTCCATATTTCTTGGAGGCTTTGTTCATTCCTCTTCATTCTTTTTTCTCTAATCTTGTCTTCATGCCTTATTTAATTCAGCTGATCTTCAATCTCTGATATCCTTTCTTCCACTGGATCAGTTTGGCTATTGATATTTGTGTATGCTTCACGAAGTTCTCAGGCTGTGTTTTTCAGCTCCATCAGGTCATTTATGTTCTTTTCTAATCCAGCTATTCTAGTTAGGGTTGATAGACACCTCATACAAGAGAGCTCTGGCTGGCATCTGGCAGGTGACCCTCTCAGACGAAGCTTCCAGAGGAAGGACCAAGCAGCAATGTTTGCTGTTCTGCAGCCTCCACTGGTGATACCTATGCAAACAGGGTCTGGAGTGTACCTCCAGCAAACTACAGCAGACCTGCAGAAGAGAGGCCTGACTGTTAGAAGGAAAACTAACAAACAGGAAGCAATAGCATCAACGTCAACAAAAAGGATGACCAGTCAAAAACCCCATTCGAAGGTCACCAACATCAAAGACCAAAGGTAGAAAAATCCACGAAGATGAGGAAAAACCATTGCAAAAAGGCTGAAAATTCCAAAAACCAGAATGCCTTTTCTCCTCCAAAGGATCACAAACTCCTTGCCAGCAAGGGAACAAAACTGGACGGTGAACGAATTTGACTGATTGTCAGAAGTAGGTTTCAGAAGGTTGGCAATAATGAACTCCTCCAAGCTAAAGGAGCACGTTCTAATCCAATGCAAGGAAGCTAGGAACCTTGATAAAAGGTTATAGCACAGTGTTTTAATGTGAAAACTAACTCACAGCAATTTTTGAGTATTTTTGTCTTTCTAATGAAATTGGTAGGGTTGTACATATTATATGTTTATAACATATTACATAATAAACATATGTACAACACGATGTAAACATATGTGTTTTAGATATAAGATTGCTGAAACATATAAGGACAAAAATATAACATTGTAGGTAGTGTCCAACTCACCAATATATCACTTTCCCAATTGATGTATAAATTAGTTGTTTAGAAACCCATTGAGTGTTTCCCTACACAAAATAAGTAAACAAGTATGCTTTATTTCTTTTTTTCACTCTCACTTTGTGAAGACATATTTAGTGTTACATGTGTTTTGAAGTATACTGTGATTTTTCTTCTAGTTCTTGTAATCAGGAGTCTTTTGTTGTTACAAGAGAAGGAATCAGAAGAAACTGGAAACATTAGAGATGGGTGTATGGGAAATTCCAAGTTACTTAGTACTTTCTCCTGCGTCCTATTCAATTGGGCCCCTGGGCCCTGCTCAGGGCTATGAGCTGTCCTGAATCTCTTTCCAGGGCACCACACTGAGGTGAGCCCCACAATGTCTTCACAAACATTCTGTTCTTTAACTTACTTGTATATTATTCTCCGGATTCTCTGCGCTTACCGATCAAAAGCAATCTGAAGTAAATAATTAATACCAATAACAAATCCAAATTCCTTACACAAAAGGAATACACAGATTTTTTTTAAGTAGATCTTTACCATGTTTACTTTGCAATTATCACAACATTACTTAAAAACTTATAGGCCTATTACAGGGATATATTTCTTACACTTTTTGCTTTTACCACAAAACATTTTTAAAGCAAATACAAAAAATACCAGAAAACTCAAATAACATTAATGTTATATAATGGGCCAGGTGCGGTAGCTCATGCCTGTAATCTCAGCACTTTGGGAGGCCGAGGCAGGGTGAATCGCTTGAGCCCAGGAGTTTGAGACCAGCCTGTGCAACATGATGAAACTCTGTCTCTACAAAACATACAAAAATCAGCTGGCTGGGTGTGGTGGTGCACACCTTTAGTCCCATCTACTTGGAAGGCTAGGTGAGAAGCTTGCTTGAGCCTAGGAGATTGAGGCTGCAGTGAGCCAAGATTGCACCACTGCACTTCAGCCTGGGCAACGGAGAGAGACCCTGTCTCCAAAAAAAAATAAATAAAAATAAATAAATAAATAAATAAACAAAAAAAAATATATATACATTGAATATCTTAGGCTGAAACTAAATAATTGATGTTGACTTTAATAGTAGGAAGATGTATTGATGTATTTTTTTATATTTTACTTGTTGTTAGATTGACTCTTAATTTTTGAATGTGAGACACATCAATTGGGTCACATATTATTGTTTTTATTATTTTTTCCTGTTGAACTATAACCTTTTTTTAATTGTCAATGATCATTTTTATTGAAGAGCCAATCAATTTAATGGTATATATAAAAATAAAACTGAAAGGTGTTTTTTATTTATTAGTGGCAATCAGCTGTCATTAGCTGGAACATATATAGTGATCTGCTAGTGAGCTATTATAAGTTAGTATCAGAAGAAACAGAATCTGCAAGTTGTGTCTGTTCTTATTGAGAGTGGGGAAAGGGCTGCTATAAGGAGAGTTCTTTTGAGTTTGGCAATTCTATACCACCATGTTCAGATAATAACTCAGCTCTGTTTTCAACATTAAAAAAAAAACTTTTATTCTAGGTTTAGGGGTACGTGTACAGTTTGTTACATAGGTAAACATGTGTCATGGTGGTTCGTTGTACATATTATTCATCCTCAACGTTTTTCTACTTGACCAATTTAGGAAAGTTTGCTAAAGTCTCTAGCAATGCTCTCTCCTTCACTGCCCGGTACTTACAAATGTCTACTAAGCCATTCAAGATTTGCAACCCCTGCTGGGTTACCACACTGACTTAGAATCCCAGCTTCCCTTAACTGCTTCCACTTTTCCTTTTCTTCCCCATAGAATTTTATTGTCATTCTTTTCCTGCTAAAATGTAAACTGCATAAGGCCATTCTTTGTTTTGTTCACTGATCTATTACAACAGAATAGTACCTGTAACATGTAGATGCTCAATGACTATTTGTCAAGTGAATAAAAATAATAGACAAAGTTTATTAACACGTACGATGTTCCCCCATTGCTAAAGAGAATTTATATTTACTAAACTGCTTACTTTTCCCCAAACCTAAGAATTTTCTCTTTTCCAGTCTTGTGTTTGAGGTAGTGTGATTCAGAATTAGGAATATGGACTGGAATTTAGAAAAGAGGACTGAAGAAACAAAGGAATTTGAGAGGAGGACAAAGAAAAAGATCCAAAGCTAACTGGATGTGGTAGAGCTTCATGAAAGTTAGCAGGCAGGGAGTTGGAGTAAGGGTTTAGAGAAAGAGAAATTCTGGAGGATTAGAGAACGAGAGAGGCAGTGAGGGATTGTTTTAAGAGGTGTTGCTATGCATTAAAAAATTGACCTTTAAATTACTTCTACTTAACTTGAGTTTTTAAAGGGAGTTTATCTGCATTATGCACTATTCCCTTGAGGTCCTCTGCCTCATATTCAGAGCACATGTACACTTGTCCTTTTCTTGGACCAAACTGATTATTGATACAAATGACAGACAATAGTACTGTATTTAGTTATAAATTATTGAAAGTCAGTACTAACTAATAAGATAGATATTTGAATGACTATCTCAACTGTAAAAAGTTATCAAGGAAACCAGAAAAATTAGAAAAATACCTACAGATTTTAAAAACATATATAATTCCAAGAATATAATCTTTGCTGAATATGATAGATGGCCTTTAACTTTACCAGAGGGGATTTTCAAAGAGCAGAGGGTTACTATGCAGATGCCTTGCCAGTTAGAGAGAGCTCTCTGCATTTCTCCAGAGGGATCACAGAAGACCACCCATTCTCCAGAGACCTAATTTTATTCTGTTCTTAAAGTAGGCTTTTTAAATTGAGTTTAGATCCCAGGGCACTCTAAGCTCTCTCTAACTCCTGTGAAGACCAAATCCTAAACCTTATAACAGAGCCAGTTGGAACACATATGCATTCTGGGAAAATTAATAATTCATTTACTGAAACTCTTCTCTATTATACATGGCTCCAAAAGTTCCCTAATCTTAATTTTCTTAAGTTAAATTCAGGCATATTTGGTAGAATAGCATTCCAAGTAAAATGGAGGATGGTAGAACTAGATCCATTATAATGAGATATTATAACCTTAAGAATTATCCCTAATAAAGGTTGATGGCATGCCTTTCTGTGTGGCATTAATGGTGGCATCACTGGCAGAAGACTTGCCATCACAGAAATTGTTGCTAACCTCATTGCCTCTTCTGTCCATCTGTTCTTTTGGCTCCTTCACCTTCCAATTCCCTGTTTGCATTTGGCTGTCTCTGATAGGGTTTCAATTTGCTGTACCTCACATTTTCTTTTGGGCAATCTTGCTAATACCCAAGCATCATGCATATATTGTTATTTATGTCCCTGGTGGTAGATGTATTGTCTCAAGATAATTGCTGATTTAAAAATCATAAACAGCACACATTGAACATACACTCATGATCCTTTTTATTCATGCAAATTTAATAGCATCCCAATAGAAAACCTTACACTGAATGGAAACTATGATACCTCTTTCTGCCTTCTTGTCTTTTGATTTTCATATCAAATGTATACTTTCATTTTCACACTTATATTTACTTTCACACACAACAAGAATAAACCAACAACCTTAACAAGGTATTATAAATATGAAAAAAGTATCAAATGCAGGCAAAAATACTCTTTTAATCCATGTACCATATGACCCTAGCTACTGGGAATAACAGAATTCAGAGATGAAAAGGTCTTGAGGAATTGTCTGATCCAGCTATTTATTTAGTGATAGAATTCCCTCTACTTAGAACACTATTTCTGATGAATGACTACCTGGTCTCTGCATGAATACTTTTAACGTATTACTCACTCCTAAGCAAGCTCATTCTACCTCTAAAGAGCACTGTTTGAAAAATCTTTGTTAACATAATCCTAAGTCATTTTGTTATAGTTTCTTTTTATTTTTATTTTATTTTTATTTATTTTTATTATTTATTATTTTTTATTTATTTATTTATTATTATTATACTTTAAGTTTTAGGGTACATGTGCACAATGTGCAGGCTAGTTACATATGCATACATGTGCCATGCTGGTGTGCTGCACCCACTAACTTGTCATCTAGCATTAGATATATCTCCCAATGCTATCCCTCCCCCCTCCCCCCACCCCACAACAGTCCCCAGAGTGTGATGTTCCCCTTCCTGTGTCCATGTGATCTCATTGTTCAATTCCCACCTATGAGTGAGAATATGTGGTGTTCGGTTTTTTGTTCTTGCGATAGTTTACTGAGAATGATGATTTCCAATTTCATCCATGTCCCTACAAAGGACATGAACTCATCATTTTTTATGGCTGCATAGTATTCCATGGTGTATATGTGCCACATTTTCTTAATCCAGTCTATCATTGTTGGACATTTGGGTTGGTTCCAAGTCTTTGCTATTGTGAATAATGCCACAATAAACATACATGTGCATGTGTCTTTATAGCAGCATGATTTATAGTCCTTTGGGTATATACCCAGTAATGGGATGGCTGGGTCAAATGGTATTTCTAGTTCTAGATCCCTGAGGAATCGCCACACTGACTTCCACAATGGTTGAACTAGTTTACAGTCCCACCAACAGTGTAAAAGTGTTCCTATTTCTCCACATCCTCTCCAGCACCTGTTGTTTCCTGACTTTTTAATGATTGCCATTCTAACTGGTGTGAGATGGTATCTCATTGTGGTTTTGATTTGCATTTCTCTGATGGCCAGTGATGGTGAACATTTTTTCATGTGTCTTTTGGCTGCATAAATGTCTTCTTTTGAGAAGTGTCTGCTCATGTCCTTTGCCCACTTTTTGATGGGGTTGTTTGTTTTTTTCTTGTAAATTTGTTTGAGCTGATTGTAGATTCTGGATATTAGCCCTTTGTCAGATGAGTAGGTTGCGAAAATTTTCTCCCATTTTGTAGGTTGGCTGTTCACTCTGATGGTAGTTTCTTTTGCTGTGCAGAAGCTCTTTAGTTTAATTAGATCCCATTTTTTGTTATAATTTCTAACAGCTGTTTCTATAAATTCTTCCCATAGAGCTATTTTATAATTTGAATTTTTCTATCACATGACTACCCTTCAAATATTTGGGGACAGCTCACATTTATAGATAAAGCAAAGGAAATACCATAAAATGAAAATGGAAGGTTGTGTTATTGACAAGGGGGAAGGAAACAAAGGTATTAATTGATAGAACCAAAAGTAAAGAAAGAAATGAGACTTGGCACAAGAATAAAGCAGACAGTCCACTGATTCACTGAAACCAAAGAATGTGTGAAAGTCCCTAAATTCACAGAATGACACTTGATCTTCATGAGGAAAAGCTGTGTAGAATTCTGAAAAACTAAGTGGGATGTGCAAGGGAAAGCAAAATTAATCAGGTGATCACCAACTAGAGTAGAGTGACCATAGAGAAGGTGAGCTGCTATTCTGGCCATGCAACGTGGAGTTCACTAACAAGAAGGGATATTCTGTGATTGTAATGGATCCCAGTATGTACAGGCAATGACATCATCACTCAAAGAGATCATCAAGAAGTATTTCTTCTTTTTCTTAATGTGTGAAATGGGATGAAAAAGTGTTCTTACATGTAAAACAAAGATAATACACCTGATTAAGACTATGTCATCCTATACCGATAATCACAGTTGTCAAACTGTGATTTGAGTCACGACCGAGATAGGCAGGCAGTAAGACAGGCTATACAACTCTATAGTGGTATAGTGTGTGACTGTTTTCTCTATGACATCTCTTCTCAAGAACATCTTCTCGGTTTCTCTGAATTTGGCAGTCAGTAGCTTTACACAACTTGAGTTTTCTCAACCCCTAGTAAGTGGCTAAGGACTGGAGGTTACTGAAGACTTCTAATATAAAGAAAGTCAGAGATTTCTGGAAGAGATGAGATTACTTATGTTCAGCTGCACTTAGTAGTGGTTAGTTTATGTATTTGTGGTAGAGTGAATAATGGTCTCTTACAGATATCCTCATCCTAATCCCTGAAATCTGTACATGTTATCTAATGTAGCAAAGAGATATTTTTAGATATGATTAAGTTGAGAATCTTGAGATGGGGAGATTATTCTATATTATCCTGAGAGCCCTAAACGTAATCACAAGTGTCCTTATATGAGGGATGCAAGAGATCAAAGTTAGTAGTAGGAGATATGAGGACAGAAGCAAGAGACCCAATAGTGCGGTCATAAGATAAGGAATGCAGGCAGCATCTAGAAGTGGGAAGAAGCAAGAGAAGCAAGAGATGGATTCTTCCCTGGAGCATCCAGAAGAAACTGACTCTTTAGAAACCTTGATGTCAGCCTTGTAAAATTCATCTTGGATTTCTGACTTCCAGAATTGTAAGAGGATAAATGTGTGTTGTTTTAAGCCATTAAGTTTGTGGTAATTTATTACAGCAGAAATAAGAAACTAATACAATATTATGTATATTTTCTATTAATTTAACATCTTCCTATCAATCCAGTATAAAAACATTTTTCTTTTTTTTAAAATATACTTTAAGTTTTGGGATACATATGCAGGACATGCAGGTTTGTTACATAGATATACATGTGCCATGCTGGTTTGCTGCACCCATCAACCCATCATCTAGGTCTTAAGCCCTGCATGCATTAGATATTTGTCCTAATGTTATCCCTCCCCTTGCCCCTCAGCCCCCTGACAGGCCCAGGTGTGTGTGATGTTCCCCTCGCAGTGTCTGTGTATTCTCATTGTTCAACTCCCACTTATGAGTGAGAACATGTGGTGTTTGGTTTTCTGTTCCTGTGTTAGTTTGCTGAGAATGATGGTTTCCAGCTTCATCCATGTCCTTGCAAAGGACATGAACTCATTCTTTTTTATGGCTGAATAGTATTCCATGGTGTATATGTGCCACATTTTCTTTATCCAGTCTATCATTGATGGGCATTTGGTTTAGTTTCAAGTCTTTGCTATTGTGAATAGTGCTGCAATAAACAAACATGTGCATGTGTCTTCATAGTAGAATGACTTACAATCCTTTGGGCATACACCCAGTAATGGGATTACTGGGTCATCTGGTATTTCTGGTTGTAGATCCTTGAGGAATCACCACACTGTCTTCAATAATGGTTGAACTAATTTACACTCCCACAAACAGTGTAAAAGCGTTCCTATTTCTCCACATCCTCTCCAGCATCTGTTGTTTCCTGACTTTTTGATGATTGCCATTCTAACTGGTGTGAGATGGTATCTCATTGTGGCTTTGATTTGCGTTTCTCTAATAACTAGAGAGATGAACTAGTGATGATGAGCTTTTTTCATGCTTGTTGGCCGCATAAATGCCTTCTTTTGAAAAGTGTCTCAAAAGTTCATGTTCTTTGCCCACTTTTTGATGGGGTTGTTAGTTTTCTTTTTCTTTTAAATTTGTTTAAGTTCCTTATAGATTCTGGATATTAAACCTTTGTCAGATGGATAGATTGCAAAAAGTTTTCTCCCATTCTGTAGGTTGCCTGTTCACTCTGATGATAGTTTCTTTTGCTGTGCAGAAGCTCTTTAGTTTAATTAGATCCGATTTGTCAATTTTGGCTTTTGTTGCAATTGCTTTTGGTGTCTTAGTCATGAAGTCCTTGCCCATGCCTATGTCCTGAATGGTTTTTCCTAGGTTTTCTTTTTGGGTTTTTATGGTTTTAGGTCTTACATTTACATCCTTAATCCATCTTGAGTTAATATTTGTATAAAGTGTAAAGAAGGGGTTCAGTTTCTGTTTTCTGCATATAGCTAGCCAGTTTTCCCAACACCATTTATTAAATAGGGAATCCTTTCCCCATTGCTTGTTTTTGTCAGGTTTGTGGAAGATCAGATGGTTGTAGATGTGTGGTTTTATTTCTGAGGCCTCTGTTCTGTTCCATTGGTCTATATATCTGTTTTGATACCAGTACCATGCTGTTTTGGTTACTGTAGCCTTGTGGTATAGTTTGAAGTCAGGTAGTGTGATGCCTCCACCTTTGCTCCTTTTGCTTAGGATTCTCTTGGCTATATGGGCTCTTTTTTGGTTCCATATAAATTTAAAGTCGTTTTTTTCTAATGCTATGAAGAAAGTCAATGGTAGCTTCATGGTGATAACATTGCATCTATAAATTACTTGGGGCGGTATGGCTATTTTCACCGTATTGATTCTTTCTATCCAGCAGCATGGTATTTTTTTTTTCCATTTGTTTTTGTCCTCTCTAATTTCCTTGAGCAGTGGTTTGTAGTTCTCCTTGAAGAGGTCCTTCATGTCTCTTGTAAGTTGTATTCCTAGGTATTTTATTCTTTTTGTAGAAATTGTGAATGGGTGTTCACTCACAATCTGGCTCTCTGTTTGTCTATTATTGGTATATGGGAATGCTTGTGATTTTTGCACATTGATTTTGTATCTTGAGACTTTGCTGATGTTGCTTATCAGCTTAAAAAGCTTTCAGGCTGAGACGATGAGGTTTTCTAAATATACGATGAGTTATATGCAAACAGAGACTATTTGACTTTCTCTCTTCCTATTTGAATACCCTTATTTCTTTCTCTTGCCTGATTGCCCTGGGCAGAACTTCCAATACTATGTTGAATAGGAGTGGTGAGTTAGGGCATCCTTGTCTTGTGCAGGTTTTCAAAGGGAATGCTTCCAGCTTTTGCTCATGCAGTATGATATTCGCTATGCATTTGTCATAAATAGAAAAGCATTTATTTCTATACAGACATTCCCAGGGTGCTGTGAGAAGAAGGCATCTGGGGGAGTGAACACTAATCTATGCAATGCTACACAAAAATAAATTCTATTGGTTAATGTCTATTAGTTGCAAGGATCAGAAAACAACTCAGATAACAGAAAATGAATTTACTGACAGGATATTAGGAATATCACATTAGGAATTAGAATTAGAAAAATAAATAAGAACAAGGGAGCTAGGTATCAGCCAAGACCAGGCTAACAGCACTCTCCAGATGAAACCTGTGAAGACACTGCTGCCGCCGCCACTGCCACTCACCACCATGGCTCACTTGGTAGTCCATCATGGTACCAGAAACCAAGCACCACCCTGCTCAGCTGACCCTGACATCTCTGGAAACCTAATGTTTTTGCTGGTGTTGCTATCCCGTGCCACTAGAATAGACTTTTTGTGGACCTTGTGTCTTTGAATCTTTAACTCCTGTTCATAGCCTCAATTGGGCAAATCTGATTGATCAAGGCTGGGTCACATGAGGCACACCTTAACTACTATATAAGGGAAGCTGGGAAAATGTGCATCTGGTGCATTAAGCTTCAGAGAGATTGCTCTATTTCTCACTAGGACTAATAAGGTATGAATTTCCCCAATATAGGAAAGAATTTCAAATGATGAGTGGCTTTAAAATGCACAAATGTTAAAAACCTAAATGTTAAGGAAAATTGGTATAAAATGCACTGATACACAAGCAGGAAAATGAAAATAAGAATATGGTATAGCACATATAATACAGTAAACAAGATATTTTGAGATTTGGGAGAAAAGAGCTCAAAATTTAAAAAAAAAACCCCACAAATGAAAAACTATCCCTATTCAAAAGAAAGTATACACTTAATATTCATCAAATGCTTGTTATATACCAAGCACCCTTCTAAGTATTTAACACATGTTAACTTTGTTAGTCTTTGTAGGAAAGCACTATTATTTTCATTTGTAGGTAAATAAATAAGACATCAGATGTTTAAAAAAACATGCCCAAGGTCACACATGTGAAAGTAGCAGACACAGAGTATAAATACAGGCAGTGTGATCCAGAGCTGTAATCACTAGAGTTTGCTGATGGCTGAGAAAAAAAAACTGCGTCTTAAAAAAAACAAATAAACAATACTTTTGTGTCTTTTTAATTTAAAATCAGATGTGCTTAGTGTAGGAAGAGCTAGTAATACAAGAGTTTATTTGAGTAGAAAGTAACAGTGTTCTTTTTTCCCATAAATCTCACCCCACCCAGATGGACATTCACTGGTGTAGTGCACTTTCTTTTATGGTCTCTAAGGTTAGGCTGGCACTGTGTTCAGGTTACTATGTGTCTATAAAATCTCATGAAACTGAAATCTGATAACCTCAGGAGACTGTCTCAATGAAGATTTAAAAAAAGAGAGAAACCTGATATTTCTGATGTGGTAAGGTTCTGTTAGGCTTTTGTTCTATCCATTTTCTTCCTGACCCCCATCTTTCATAGTTGGGTTTGGGAGAGACTTAATGAAAAATTTGAGCTCAGGTAATGAGCCAATAACAATGATACAGTGAAATTAACTTACACTTGCACAATTTCTTTTTTGTTATTGTTTGGTTGGTTGATTAGTTTCAAGATGGCAGAGTGAATTTGGTGTCTCTGGCCTAATGAATTAAATTATAATAGAAGACTATACTATTTAAGAACATTTGTCGTTTGTATTAGGGTGGGGTGTGTAAAGTCCCCACCATCATACAAAAACTTTCAGTCCAAAACTCTCTCAATCAGTAGCCTAAAAACTCTTCTAATCAAATATTCCCACTCTTTCCATCAATGGTCCTTCTCCATTGATTTTTGTCATAAGCACTTCTGTTTGAGATTGTAATTTGCAGGTGTTAATCACTGAATTACATCACAGGATAAAATGCCTTTTGATTTGGGGCAATTACATCTCAGGATGAAGTGGAAATTTGTAAGAAATGTGCATTTTACCCACTCCTCAAACTTCCAACTCTCTCAGCCAAATTTTTTCTCCCAGCTAATTGCTCCTGCTTTCTTACACATGTGTGCAAATATTGAAACTATCAGAAGAGAACTTCAGTAAACTGCCACACATTCTCACACATCTTCCCAACTATCAGCTTCTGCCTTCTTGTACAGTGTCGCCTGCCACATTACAATAGAACTCTGTGCTGCACCTGAGGCCCACCCCGCATTCTGTGCTAGAGCCCACTCCTTCTCTCAGACTCAAGGTCACTGCTCCAGTGATTCTCCCTTCAGTGGAATGGCAGTGGAGAAAACACTGCCATGTTGACTGCTGTCACTTTAATATATTTTTCCCTTGGAAAGTTATTTAATTATTTACTAAAGAGTTTTTTAATGGAACATTACACAGACTGACACAGCAGAATATCCACTCATCTTTCCCCAAATGTCTACCATAAGTCAGCTGCCTCGACCTTTGAGTTTCCTTCTTTCTTCCATATTTTCTATCAAAGCCCCAAATTGGGCTAGTTTTCGTATTTTTTTCAACTCCATTTCACTATTTCCACCCCCTGACCCGCCCCCGTCACTTGCCTTTGAAACTTTTTCTGATCTGTCTGTGTGTATGTTGGGTTGTGGGGCTGGAGTGGGGAAGGGGATCCAGTGAGTTTTGAGCAGGGAGGAGAGATCCTTGATGTTTCTTTTTTTTTTTTTTTTTTAATAATAACAACAGCTTGTTAATTGAAAAATACAGCATGCATCAACAAAACATGTAAAAGGTAAATGTTCAGTTAGAGAATAATTATAAAGCAAACATCATTTAACAATCACACAGGTTAAAAAAAATTGAGTGTTAACAGTTCCCTCATGTGTCCCTTTCCAAACATAATTATTTTCCTCCTTGGTCTTAAATAATTACTATTTAGAATTATTTTAAATCATTTCATTGAACATTTAAAAATGATCTAAGTATGCATTTGTAAAAAATATTGGCTAGGTTAATCTGTTTTTGCATTCTATTGATATAACTCTAATGTATGTATAATATATGTACAATTTTGTGTCTTCCTTATTTTGTACAATGTTTTAAGATTCATCTATGATGCTGTATGTACATGTAGATTGGGCATGTTTGTTGCTGTATAGTTTTCCATTGTATAATTATACCATCACCATCAATTATGTAACTGTTTTACTGATGTTACAGTTGTTGCAAAAGCAACAAGAAACAAATACAATATTAGAGAATAAATTATAAAACAAATTTATAATTATTGGGCCTGCTGTTGATGATCCTGATACGATCATCCTTTGATATATCTTTGATGTACATATGTTGAATACTTGCGGTTGAAATAGATGGGTCATAGGCTATGCATATATTTAACTCTAGCGGATACTACAAGTCTTAGCAATTTATACTTTCACCAGCTGTGTTTGAGAGGTGCAGTCCTCCACATTTTTGCTATAACTTCACATTATCAGCTTTTATTTTTTAAATGTCAGCCATCCTTCTGGGTAGTACTGGCCTTTCACTGGTCCATAAACACCTCTGTCATAAAACCAGTATTAGTGTAGACATGTCCCCTGCTTGAGCTCTTTGTTTCTCACCTTCTGTTTCTGACATTTACTTCAATCAGGCCTGTAGTCCTGCTACATTCCTCTAGTGGCTCCTTCTCACACTGTCATAGATGACTACTTCATTAGCCTCTTTTCTTATAGTGATATACCTGTCCAACTTTTTCCTGACTCCATACTTTCGTATCTAACTGCCTAGTTGACATCCCACTCAGAGGCTCTAACACTTAAACTAACACTTAAAAGGTCCAAAATTAAATTCCTGGCCCCTGACCCCAAACCTGATCCATGTCCACAGCTTGGGTGATGGCAACTCCATCCTTACACTTCCTCATGATCCATACCTTCAACTCAATGAAGATATACATTTCAGTGTGATTGTTCTTTAACTCCCCATTTGAAATTGTGCCTCTCCATCTTAGTAGTATCTCTTTTTCATGTCTTGTTTTTACAGCATCACTAATTATCTAACATAATACAGACATATGTTTACCTTATTTGTTTTTAGTGACCCTCAGGTGGAAGGTAGGCTTCAAAAGAAGAGGTTTTGGATTGTTCTGATTTTTCTTGTATCCCTAGCACCTAGAAAAGTTCCAAATGTACAGAGATTGCTAGATAAATATTTGTCAAATGAAAGAATAAATATAAGGCCCTGTTCTTTTGGTCTATTACATGAATAAACATGCACACTGTCTCATTTACCATTAGGAACATTTGTAAAAAAGACTTGGAAATCTCAACTGATACCAAACTATAGGAATTGGCAGTGGGCCATAATTGCCTAAAAGCTATTCTTATCTTAGGTTACATTATACATTTAGAATCATGGACAAAGGAGGTAAGATAAAACATGAATATTTTATTCAGTTCCCTTGAAAAGAAACACAGTCAAACTGGGAGTCAGTAACAAAGGAATTTGGTTGTGAAATAGTATAGGAAAATGGAATACAAACATTTAAGAAATGTGACTCTGGGAAGACAAGACAGTTTTCTTCACATATGTGTAATGACTCCTGTTTTAAAGAAGTTGTAAGGTAGCTTTTGCAAGACCCCAAAGGATGGAACTACTAATAGCTTCAGTAACCATGAAACATAGTTTTATCAAATATAAGTATGAGGTTTCATACTGTCATAATCTGACAGGTGGAAGGACCTTTCTCATGCTTTACCTCCAGCCATGCCTCCATAAGATGCTGTAGGATCTTCATCCACCCCCAGGAGCTCCCAGACTGCAAGCCCTTCTGTCACAACAAAGTCTATAATCAAGCCCAGAAGCCAGGGTGCCAGCAGCCTTGAGCCTTTAGTCTCTCTTCTTCTCTCCTCTTTTCTTGAATTCAGACACTTTCCAAGGATTTTGGAGATGCCTCTATTTTCCAGAGACCCAAGTTCAGTACATATGCCTGCACAGTATTTTACAGTGTAAGTGTGCACAACTTTAGACAGTTACCCTTCTGAATGGTCATCTGTTTAGACTTCAGTTGTATTCCATGAGAGCTAAGGGTTCTCATATATCAAAAGATGACAGAAGTGAAAATTAATTATCATGCATACTTATGGTCACCTAAATACACATCACTCTCAACCACTTTGTCGTTGGTCACTGCCTGAAATGAAAGTCCCTATGGTTCTGGATCACATGCCGTTTTTATTCTCTCATCTGAATTCTCCTTTTTATTTTCTTTCTCCAGACTCAACTTTAACTTTTCTTTCCTCTTCACACCTTTTTGTTATGCACTGTTAAACACAGTTCTGTTGTTAACAAATCCTTTACATCCTTGATTTCTTTACCGACATTTCCTCAACCTCCTGTTCTTCTTGGAAAGCTAATTATCCCTGAGGACATCAAGACCCTGCATCCCTCCCAGATTAAGGCTATAAAATCTTATTCCCAAATCTTAAGGTAATGGAATGTGTTTGGTGGGTTCTCTGCCCATGCCACCATGTCAGGACCATTAATCACTCTCCTTCATGTAGCTCTTCTCTTTTGAGGCTCATGTAATCAGCTGTACTTCTTGTGTTGTTTGTAGATACTGTCATCATTCATTTATTTCATCCACTGCTCGGTCATTCCAGAGATATTCATCCACATCTCTGGATAAATATCTTGCATCCTGGCTGCCCCATTCCTTGGGAGCCTCATCTCTAATGACATCTTCAACTTCTCAGTCACACATTTTCATGTCCATGTTCTGGACCGAATCATCACTCAGAACTGTTCCACTCTTGCACTCCAACTTTTAATCTTTCTGCCTACTTCACTTAATATTAGGCAGGATTCTTTGTTGCAAAAAATAAATCTGATTTGGATAGCTTAAGTAGAAAATCAATTAATTAAAGTATACTAGATAGCTTGAGGAAGTCAGAGAGCCATGTCTAACTGCCAGAAGCCAGGAATGGTGTTTGACTGACTCCCTTGGGGACTGCTCTAGTAAAAACATCCTTGCTGCCACTACTTAGCACCACCATTGTTGGTGGTACCAGTGATGCCAAAGGTTTCACTGGTTGCTGAAAGCTCCCTGCTAATTCTCCTGAGGATCCAAGTGTCTTTGTTAATATCGTTGCTAGAAAGTGAATTCCTCTAGCCAGCATCCTTACTTTGCTCACTCTCTGTAGTGATGTTCTGAGAGGATGCATCTGATTGTTGTTCACATGCCTACACTCCAGTCAAAAAGGTTTCCAGGGAAATTTCTTGGTCCCTACTGTGGGTAGGCAGGATTCATAAGGCAGAAAATACGCAAATATTTCACAGATAATCAACAGGTTTCTAAAACTCAGAACATATTACAAATAACCACCATAATAATTATTCCTTTCTTCCTTGGTTTTGCCTTACCAGGAATTTTAGCATAGATCCTTCTAATTCAATCTCATTTTATCTGTTTTCCATCTTCGTGTCCTCTCACAGGTAGCTTAGATTTCATGGTACACAGTTCCAGTCACTCCCTTACATGTATACCAAGCTTCCTTGCTCTATTATTTTGTCACATGGATAGACCCCAGTGCTGAACAAATCCAACTATTTAACATTTTTTTTGTCTGTGTAGGAGTTGTGCAGTACTGTTGGAAACAATCACACAAGCCGATAATTGATGCTCTAAATGAATGGTTCTGAGGATCATACTCCCCCCGTCCTCAAGATTTGTCCAATAGTACTTGCTGTTTGCCTTGTCAGTTCTCTCTCTATGTGTGTCATTTCAAATGTTCTATAATCTTCTCAAAATTATCATTCTACTATTCCACTGATTTCCTTCATATTTGGGCACATTATCTTATCTCTACTTCAGAAAGAAAATGGGGCCATCAAACATAACATTTTTAAAATGTTGCCCACAAACCTATAAACCTAGTTATATCAACAACAATACTCTCTTCTTTTGCACCTAATATCAAAAATAGAACTCTTTGGCGTGTGTTTCCTTCCCTGAGAGACGTCACTTTTAAAATTCTTTGCACTCTATCCTTTCTTTTGTTTCTATTATCCCCTCTGTCAGCGTTTAAGCACACTCATATTGCTCCATATTAAATTAATTTAAAACATCAAAAGCCAAGCAACAAAGTAGCCGATGGTACAAAAGGAAACATTTATACAAACAACCCACCTACAATGTGCCAGCTACTATGTTATTACTTTCATCCTTTAAATAAAAACTTCTTGATTTCTGCTTCAACTTTTCTGCTCAAACAACTCATGAGGTTATTCATAATCTACTTTCCCTTCCTTCCTTCCTTCCTTCTTTCCCTCTCTCCTTCCTTTCCTCCCTCACTCCTTCTTTCCTTCCTCCCTCCCTCGCTTCCTTCCTTCCTTCTCTCCTTCCTTCCCTCTCTCCCTCCCTCCTTCTTTACTTCCTCCCTCCCTCGCTTCCTTCCTTCCTTCTCTCTTCCTTCTTCTTCTTTCTTCTTTCCTCCTCCTCCACCACCTCCTCCTCCTCCTTCTCCTTCTTCTTCTTCTTCTTCTTCTTCCTCTTCTTCTTCCTCTTCTCCTCCTTCTCCCTTCCTCCTCCTCCTCCTTCTTCCTCTTCCTCTTCCTCTTCTTCTTTCTTCCTTCTTTCCTCCTCCTCCTCCTCCTTCTGCTTCCTCTTCTTTTTTCTTCTTTGTAATGCCACTGTCAGCTTTTCTGACTTTATCTGACTTGGCCTCTCTAGATCCCTCAGGATATGGCCTCTGCTTCCTTCTTAGCCTCATTACGTGGAGCAATGGGATATAGTATTTACCCTAGTTTTATTCTGGAAAAATTACATCCGATGGATCCATGATTAAAACTCAGGGTGTCTGAATTTAAAAATGTGTGAAAATCTTTGCTAAGGTTGCACTCCATGAGACTTTTTGTCATAGGGGAGACATATTATGAAGAAGAGAAACACATTAAGAATAACTAAAAATGAGAAAAAATTGGAAGGCTTCAGAGTTGCTTTGTTGTGTTTACCAGCTGGAAGTGCAGGTGGGCCACAGGAGGGCCTGGAGCCAGAGCTGGACAGCAGTGGCCTGGCTCTCCTTGCTCCATCTCTTAGTGCTGTGAGGTCTCCCTTGGTGTCTTCTCAAGCAGATCAGCATTTTTCTTGCTCTCTGTAGACTATCCTTTGCTTCTGAGTGCACATAGACAAATGAATTTGGTTTTATATTCTCCTCAATGCAATACTGGAAATTTTTCTCAGAGATTCCTTAGTCACTGAGGAAGAAGGGTTTTTGTCCTGCCTGCATCCCAGGGTTGTTCCTTAATCCTAGTAAGAACTGTTTTTCAATTATCTGAGCTCTAAAATCAATGATTTTCTTACATTTTATTCTGGATTCAGACATCTTCCTGACTTGGCCCCTCTTTTTCTTCCTGCTCTAAAACTTGTGCACAATATTCTGGCTGATGAATGTATTCAGGTGTTTTCGTGACCTTTAACATATTATCTTATTTCTCTTCCAATTTCTTCATGCCTTCTGCTCTCATTTCTCTAAAACACCTTTTTTACCCATCACATGTTAGTCTTCTTTTATTTTTTCAACAATTCACAAATTGTTCTTCCTTAAGTCTACCTATAGTCCTCTTAATAAAATGTAGAAGGTCTTAATCCAGTAACCATAGCCTTAAAAATAAAACCATTATTTATATAGCCAATAAATATGTATTGAATGTATACTGTGTATTGTATGCTGTGTGAGGCTCTGTGTAAACAGAATGCCTGAAACTTATTTTTCATCCTCCATCTTCTGGCTCAGAGATTAGGGGCATTGTGGTTATTATTTCATAGACGAGAAATTTAGACTTGAAGAGTTTATGCAATACTTGTCCAAAGTCTTATGATTATAAAAAATGAGTCAGGATTCAAGCTCAAGTTTGAGTTCAAAGTACTTGCCTCATAATCTGCATAAAATTCTTATGGAAATTTCAGTGGGGACGTATCTCCATTCCATTTGTTTGGTGAGGAATTAGGTTGAATGGAGGCTTCCAAAAGTTATTTGTCCCCAGAAGTGATAAGAAAGAAAGATATTTGATTAGATTGATATGTATGCCAATGAAAATGTAAATGTAAAGTTGTAATTTGTGTGTGTGTGTGTGTGTCTAAGAACTTATTCAAGGGCATTGTAAAAGAAGTTCCCCAAATATTTTGATTACTGTTAACCTCCCTGGAATAAATGTGTATTGTAATCTTTCAAGGTGAAGGATACTCTGAAGGATAGCCTTTAAGTGTATGTACACGTTTTTTTGTTTGGCATTTAAAAAGATATCTCATTATTTTAACATTTGTTCTTAAAGACTTTGAGGAGAAATATCGTACTACATTATCCATCATTACCACCTTAGAACAGTAAGTTTATCATGTTAATTTCTGTTACTTAAGCTGCCCAGGGAGAATGAGATGACAAAAATTTTTATGTACTAAGCCAAAAACATTTTAAAATATAAAAGGGTCTACCATAAGTTTGACTTAAGTGTCTGCTTATGCAATTGGGTTAGTTGATGGAGACTTATACAGCATCTCAAAGCATGTATTTCCTACATTTTTATTTCGGCTTTGAGTCAATGTTCTTTAGCATGTAGTGTTTATAATTGAGAGAAAATATGTTATCTCCTGTTGTAGAACATAAAATATACTTCTCTTTACTGTTTGCTCACTATGTCCTTCTTAAGGTGATTTTTCTGTCCCTCTATAGCTCTCTGAACCATCATTTAAAATTAAATAAGTAAACATCTCTTTATTTTGTTAGAAAATCTAGACAAATACCATCTGTTCTTTGAATTGTTCCAGGTACAGCGACCACCTATCGTTCCCCATCTGTCAAATGTACATTTATTCATGTCATCTGTGCTGCCAGATGATTTTATGCTTTAAAACAGTGGCTGGTTTTCTGTATCTCTTTTCATGTTAAGTATAATGTGGAATTCTGATTTACAAATAAGATATGAAACTATAAAGCAGTGAATACAGTTTCCTAAATTGACTTGGAAGGGCATTTTAAAGGAGGATTTCCAAAAATGGTTGCAGCATCACTGGCATGTATTCAGCCTTTCAAGGTGAATTGTTTGTATGATGGCATTCATTTGAATGTTTACTTTTCAGTAAGTTAAACTTTAAAAGTTAAGCCTATTTGACTGTCACAATTCATACAAGTAAGTAGTAGGAACTACATCAGATAAATTTAGAAAAAGGTAGGCACTTCAGTGACAAAAAATTAGCCTTTTCCCTTAAAATTATAAGTAGCTTTTATTGGAACTTTAAAATTTTAATTTAAGCAATATTCTTATTGAAAAGTAATATCTTAATATGTATGTTAAATGAAACTCAAGTGCAGAACTCTACAAATCACATGGCATTTGGCCACAATTACTAGGCTTTTAACAACATATAAAAATAATTCTATCTATCTTTATAGTTAAGAAGTTAGCTAGGGATTTACAAAATATTATAAAATTTATATTCATTTATAAAAAAAGTATATTTACAATACAAAGAAGAAGAATAAAATTAAGAAGTATGACCATGCAAGCTAATAAATAGAACGTTGCCAACATTCAGAAGCCCTTATGTAATGTACCAAATCATATATCTTTTCATTGTCCAGCAGCTAACTACTAATCTGAATTTTGTGTAAACATTTGCTTGCTCATTGTTATAGGTTTATGATATGGTTTAACTGTGTGCCCACTCAAATCTCACCTTGAATTGTGGCTCCCATTATTCCCATGTGTTGTGGGAGGAACTCAGTGGGAGATAATTGAATCATGGGGGTGGGTCTTTCCTGTGTTGTTCTCGTAATAGTGAATAAACCTCATGAGATCTGATGATTTTATAAAGGGGCGTTCCCCTGCACAAGCCCTTTTGCCTGCTGCCACATAAGACATCCCTTTGCTCTTCCTTCGTCTTCCGTCATGATTATGAGGCCTCCTTAGCCATGTGAAACTGTGAGTCCATTAAACCTCTTTCCTTTATAAATTACCCAGTCTTTGGTATGTCTTTCTTTGCAGTATGAGAACAGACTAAAATACCATCCATGATAAATCCATAAACAATGTACTGTTCAATTATACCAGCTTTTAAACTTAATTAAATATATTCAATGTTATATATAAGTTTCTGTGCTTTGCTTCTTTTGATTAATATTATGTTTCTGAGGTTCATATATGTGGGTGGACATTCGTACTTCTCCACTGTTCAACAGTATTACACTATTGTGACTATACATTCTAGGACTGGTAGGCATTTGACTTGTATCCAGGTTTTGGCCATCATAAATAAGGGTGCTATAAATATCCCTATAAAAGTCATTTTGGGAGCATATGTTTTCATTTCTTTTGAGTAAATTTGAAGGAGTGAAATTACTGGGTTATAAGGTTTAAATGTACAAGAAACTGACAAATAGTTTTCCAAAGTGGCTGAGACATTTTATTTTATTTTTATAATTTCAGCTTTTATTTTAGACTCATGGGGTAAATGTACAAGTTTGTTTCATGGGTATATTGGGTGATCCTGAGGTTTGGGTTATGAATGGTCCCATCACCCAGATAATGGGCATAGTACTCAATAGGTAGTTTTCTGGCCCTTGCCCCCTTCCCTTTCTCTATCCTCTAGTAGTCCCCAGTGTGTATTGTTTGGCTGTGACATTTTTAATTCACTACAGCAATTTTAAAAGTCTCAGTTGCTCTGTATTCTCACCAAAGTTTGGTATTGTCAGGTTTTGAAATTGTAACCAATCTAATGGAGTTATAGTGGTATCTCATTGTGAGTTTATTTTACATTTTCTTGGTGAATAATTTGAGCACTTTTCTATGCTGATTGGCCATTCACAAATCATTTTTTGTTTGTTTAAATCTTTCGGCCATTTAACGATTGGGTTGTCTTTTTATTTATTATTGGTTTAGTAGCAATGCTTAATATTTTGTGGGCACAAGCCTTTTTCTAGAAATGTGTATTGCAAATATTTTCTTCCATACAGTAGCATCTCTCTTACTTTTACTTATGGTGCCTTCGATGGACGGAATGTTTATTTTGATGAAATCCAATGTCTCTTTCTTCATATTTCCTTTTTTGTCTTTTTGCTTTAGGGTTGGTGTTTTTGTATCCTCTCTAAGAAATGTTTATCTTACCCAGGTTCTGAAGATACTGTTCAATGTTTCACATTAGAAACTTCATAGCTTTGCTTGTAGTTTTAATTATAAAATTGATCTTGAATTAATTTTCTCTCTCTCTCTCTCTCTCTCTCTCTCTCCCCCCCCCCCCTCTCTCTCTCTCTCTCTCTTTCTTTCTTTTTTTGAGACAGACTCTCACTCTGTTGGCCAGGCTGGAGTGCAGTGGCACGATCTCGGCTCACTACAACCTCCACCTCCCTGATTCAAGTTATTCTTCTCCCTCAGCCTCCCGAGTAGCTGGGACTACAGGCATGTGCCACCACTCCCAGCTAATTTTTTCGTAATTTTAGTAGAGATGGGGTTTCACCATGTTAGCCAGGCTGGTCTCGAACTCCTGACCCCTCAGGTGATCCACCCGTCTCGGCCTCCCAAAGTGCTGGGATTACAGGTGTGAGCCACTGCACCCGCCATGATCTTGAATTAATTTTTGCATATGTTATAAAGAATGGGTAATATTCATTTCACTTTTTTTTTTTTTGAGACGGAGTTTCACTCTTGTTGCCCAAGCTGGAGTGCAGTGGTGCAATCTCAGCTCATTGCAACCTCCGCCTCCTGGGTTCAAGAGCTTCTCCTGCCTCAGCCTCCTGAATAGCTGGAATTACAGGTGTGTGCCACCACACCTGGCTAATTTTTTGTATTTTTAGTAGAAACGGGTTTTCATTATGTTAGCCAGGCTGGTCTTGAACTCCTGACCTCAGGGGATCCACCCACCTCAGCCTCCTAAAGTGCTGGGATTACAGGCGTGAGCCACCGTGCCCAGCCAATATTCATTTCTTTATATGTTTTCCAATTGTCCCATCACTACTTGTTGAAGATTTTTCATTTTCCATTGAACAATCTTGGTACTTGGATCAAAAATCAATTGACTATATATATTTTGGGATTGGTTTTTAATTTTCTTCTGCATGTTGATATGTTTATCTATTCTTTTTCCAATACTAAATTTTATTTATTACTATAGGTTTAGAGTAAATATTGAAATCGAGTAGTGTAAATACACCAGCTTTGTTTTCCCTTCTCAATATTGTTTAGTTAGTGGGCCTTTGTATTTTTGTATAAAATTTGTCAGTAATCGTAAAATACTTGTCAATGTCATAAAAAAGCCTTTGGGATTTTGATTATGAATGCAATGAAGTTATATATATCAATTAATGGAAAATGAAGATATTAATGATATTAAGTCAACTAATCTGTAAACATGGAATATTTTTCCATTTTATTTAAGTCTTTGTTATTTTGTTATTTTTTATTTTAATTTTTTTATAGAGATTGGATCTCAATCTGTCACCTGCTGGAGTACAATGACTTTCTTAGCTCACTGCAGCCTCAAACTCATGGGCTCAAGCGATCCTCCTGACTCACACTCCCAAAGAGCTAGGACTACAAGGTGTGCACCACCATATCTGGCTGAATTTTTAATATTTTTGTAGAAACAGGGTCTTGCTATGTTGCGTAGGCTGGCCTCAAACTAATGGCCTCAAGCTATCCTCCTGCCTTGCCCTCACACAATACAGTTATCTTTAACTCAGTTGTGGTTTCATTTGCAAAAAAATGTACAGTTTTGTTTAAATTTTCTAAGTGTGTTATATATGGAGGATGTTCTATTCAATGGTAGTTAAACATTTTATTTTCCATTTGTTTGCTGCTAATATATACAGAAATACCACTGATTTCTGTTTATTGATGGTTTACACTGCAATCTTATTGCTTTTACTAAGTAGATCTGATATATTTTCTGGTAGATTCCTTAGGTTTTATACCTACACAATTATTCACTTATATTTCATTTTCTTTTCTTAGATTGATATGATTTGGCTGTGTCCCCACCCAAAATCTCATCTTGAATTGTAACCCCCATAATCCCTACAATTCTCATGTGTCAAGGGTGGGACCAGGTGAAGGTAATTGGATCGTGGGGGCAGTTTCCCCAGTGCTGTTCTTGTGATAGTGAGTGAGTCTTATGAGATCTGATGGTTTTATAAGCATTTGGCATTTCCCCTGCTTGCACTCACTACATCTTGCCGCCCTGAGAAGAAGCTGCCTGCTTCTCCTTTGCCTTCCACCATGATTGTAAGTTTCCTGAGGCCGCCCCAGCACTGCAGAACTGTGAGTCAATTAAAACTTTTTTGTCTATAAGTTACCCAGTCTTGGGTATTTCTTCATAGCAGTGTGAGAACAGACTAATACATACATTGTATAGGTACTTTATTACAATGATGAATAGAAGACATGAGACAACATGCTTACTTCCTTCTCAGTCTTAGGGGGAAGTAGATTAGACATGGTATTACCAGCATGTCCTTTGTAAAGATTTCCTTTATCAGACTGAAGTCTTATTTCCACTTCCAAGATTTTGAAAAAAATTATAAATTGATATTAGATGTCCTCAAATGTGTTTTCTACATTGGTCAAAATAATTATGTTTACTTTCTTTCATCTATCTATTTTTATCTTTTTTTTTTTTTTTTTTTAAGACGGAGTCTCGCTCTGTCGCCCAGGCTGGAGTGCAGTGGCGCAATCTTGGCTCACTGCAAGCTCCGCCTCCCGGGTTCACGCCATTCTCCTGCCTCAGCCTCCTGAGTAGCTGGGACTACAGGCGCCCGCCACCATGCCCGGCTAATTTTTTGTATTTTTAGTAGAGACGGGGTTTCACTGTGTTAGCCAGGATGGTCTCGATCTCCTGACCTCGTGATCCGCCAGCCTCTGCCTCCCAAAGTGCTGGGATTACAGGCGTAAGCCACCGTGCCCGGCTATTTTTATCTTTTTAATGTGTTGAATATACAGTGATTTTCAAATGTTAAACAATTCCTGGAATACAGTATAAATTACATCCCTGATTTCTAAATCAGGGTCATAAAAAGTCCTGCAGCCTCCATCCAGGACTCTTACAACATTCTCTCACTGCAAAATCTGAGCTGTCATAAAAAAAAGATCAGGTTCTTTGAAACCATTGTGCTGTAGAAGCCATGTGTAGGAGCTGTGGTCAACAGATCCAGCTGAGCCTAGTTTCTTAGGCATCTCCACTAAAGTGCTAGACATGTGAGTAAAATGACCTCAGACTCTTTAAGCCATTCAAACCACCAGCTGAATACCACCTAGTGACTTTTGTTATAAGCCTTCACATGGTAGAAAAAATTCAGCTAGCTGGGACCCACCCGAATTTCTGATCCAGGAGTAATGAGATACAATGTGGCTGTTTGAAGCCACTGAGTTTTGGGGTAGTTTATAACACAGTAATACGTGTTTTGGAATATGCAGTAAATAAGAAAGTGTCGTACTAGGTTTAAGAATAGATTAGTCATCAGAGTAGAATAAAGAACCGAGAAACAGACTCATATATATATGTTGACATGTAATTTAAAATAAAGGTGACATTAAAGCGCAATGGAGGAAATGCCAATCTTTTCAATAATTAGTGTGGGGGTAATTAAGTACTCATATGGAATGCAAAAATGAAACCAGATCCCTACCTCACTTCATAAACAAAAATTAAGTGTAGTTATTTTATTTATTTCTTTCTTTTTAAAATGCTGGTTGACTCAGCCACTGTGAAAAGACTGAGATCCTGCCTTCTTCTTTTTTTTTTTCTTTATAGATGGGATCTTGCTATGTTGCCCAAGCTGGTCTCAAATGCCTGGCCTCAGCAATCTTTCTGCCTTAGCCTTCCAATGCATTGGGATTACAGGCATGAACCACTGCATTTGGCCTATAGTTGTTTTATAATTGAATTCAGAAAGCAAAACAGTAACTTTTAAAAAAGATAATTATATCTTTTTAATAACTCTTGGTATGTAAAAAGACAGGTCCTCTGATCTTAGAAATTTTCCTTATTTTACATAATTTTAGAATAATTATCAATTATTATTTAAGAAATAATTATCAAGTTTTATAGAAATCATGTTAGGATTCTGATTGGAAGTGCATCAGAAATAAATTAACTTGGGAAAACATGGATATTTTAAAAATATCAAGACTTTAAGCCATAAAAATAGTAAACTACATTTTAAAAAAGCCTTTGTCAATGTCTATCAATTAAGTTTACTATTATTTTTATAAGGAAATTTCATTTATTTTGTTAAATTAATCTTAGGTACTTTTCAAGGATATATGTATTTATTTAGTTTTACTTATGTATTTAGTTTTCTTGCTCTGTCACCCAGATTGGAGTGCAGTGGCACAATTATGGCACACTGCGGCCTCGACCTCCTTGTCTAAAGTGATCCTCCTTCCACAGCCTACCGAGTAGTTAGGGCTACAGGCATACACCATGATGTCTGGCTAATTTTTAAATGTTTTCTGTAGAATGGGGTCTTGCTATATTGCCTAAGTTAGTCTTAAACGCCTGGACTCAAGTGATTCCCCTGTATTGGCCTCTCAAAGTGTTGGGATTACAGGCACGAGCCAAGGCACTTGGCCAAGTTTTATCTTTTTTTTTTTTTTTTTTTTTTTGAGACGGAGTCTCGCTCTGTCACCCAGGCTGGAGTGCAGTGGCGCGATCTCTGCTCACTGCAAGCTCCGCCTCCCAGCTTCACGCCATTCTACTGCCTCAGCCTCCCGAGCAGCTGGGACTAGAGGCGCCTACCACCACGCCCGGCTAATTTCTTTGTATTTTTAGTGGAGACGGGGTTTCACCCTGTTAGCCAGCATGGTCTCGATCTCCTGACCTCATGATCCACCCGCCTCGGCCTCCCAAAGTGCTGGGATTACAGGCGTGAGCCACCGTGCCGAGCCAGTTTTATCTTATTTTTAATTGACAAATAATAGCACATATTTGTGGGTAAAATGTGATGTTTTGATACATATATACATTATGGAGTGATCAAACGGGCTAACTGACATATTTATCACCTCAAATACTTATTTCTTTGTGAAATTCACTCTTTTAGGTATTTTGAAATATATTATTTACTATAGTCACCATGCTGTGCAAAGGATCACTAGAGCCTATTCCTTGTATTCTACTGAAACTTTGTACCCTTTGACCAACATCTCCTCCTTCCCGGTCCATTCCCCTCAACTATGGTAATGACCTTTCTACTCTCTATTTTCATGGGTTTGACTTTTTAAGATTACACATGCAAGTTAGAGCAGATTGCTTTTATCTCTCTGTGTCTGGTTTATTTCACTTAGCATAAAATATCTTCTAGGTTCATCCATGTTGTTGCAAATGAGGGAATTTTCTGCTTTTTAAGGCTGAATAGTATTCCATTGTGCATCTTTACTAAACTTGTTTATCAGTTATAACTTTTTTTTAAAATGAAGTCTTTAGGTTTTCCTATATATAAGATCATGTCACCAGCAAACAGAGACAATTTCATTTTATTTTTCCTATTTGGATACTTTTTATTTCTTTTTCTTGCCTAATTGCTCTAAGACTTCTGGCTACTCCACGTTGAACAGAACTGGTGAGAATAGGCAACCTTCTCTTGTTCCTAATCTTAGAATAAAAACCTTCAACTTTTTATCCTTGAGTATTATGCTACCTATGGGATTATTATATATGGCCTTAATTTTGTTGAAGAACATTTCTTCTATACCTAACTTGTGAAATTTTATTATGAAAGGATGTTAAATTTTTTTCAAATTTTGCTTTTTCTGTATCTGTTGAGATAATCGTCTAGTTTTCATCCTTAATTCTGTTAATATGGTGAATGAAATTTATTGATTTACATATATGGAACCATCCTTACATCCCAGGGATAAATTCCACTTGATCATGATGAATGATCCTTTTGACATAATGTTGAATATAGTTTGCTAGTATTTTGTTGAGACTTTTTGCATTGATGTTTATCAGGGATATTGGCTTGTAGTGTTCTTTTCCTGTAGTGCCTTTATCTGGCTTTAGTATCATGGTAATGCTGGACACATAAAATGAATTTGTAAGTACTCCCTCCTCTTCAAGTTTTTGGAAGAGTTAGAGAAGGACTGGTATTAGTTTTAAAAATCTTCACTAGAATTCAGCAGTGAAGCCATCTGGTCCTGGGCTTTTCTTTTAATAAAAGCACACTTTTATTTCCTGAATTAATCTTCTTACTCATTATTGTTCTGTTCATATTTCTAATTTCTTCATGATTTAGTCTTAATACATTACGTAGTTCTAGGAATTTATTCATTTCTTCTAGATTTTCTAATTTGTTGGAATGTAGTTGTTCATAGTAGTCTCATAATTCTTTGTATTTCTGTTTTCAGTTGTGAGACCTCTTTTATTCCTGATTTCATTTTTTGATATTCCTTTTTTTAAGTCCAGCTAAGAGCTTGTTGATTTTGTTTAGATTGTCAAAATAACAACTCTTTGGTTTTTGTTGTTGTTGTTGTTTTTCTTAGTCTCTATTTCATTTATTTCTGCTCTTATGTTTGTTACTTACTTCCTCCTATTAACTTTGGGCTTAATTTTTTATCCTTTCTTCTAGTTCTATGAGATGTAACATTATGTTGTTTATTTGAGATCTTTTTTCTTTTTTGATGTAGGCATTTGGTTCTATGAATTTCCCTCTTAGAAGCACTTTTCCTGTATCAGGTATGTTTTGATATGATACGTTACCATTTTTATTTGTCTCAAGGTATTTTTAAATTTCTCTTTCAATTTTTCCTTTGACCAAATAGCTGTTCAGGACTATATTGCTTAATTTTCATATATTTGTTGATTTTTATAATTGTACCTTTCATTGTTTTCTGGTTCCATACAGATGAGGTTGGAAAAGATAATATGATTTTAATCTTCTTAAATTATTAAGACTTGTTTTGTGGCCTAACATAGGATCTATCCTGGAGAATGTTCTCTGAACATTTGAAAAGAATGTGCATTTTTTTGCTGTTGGATGGAATGTTCTGTTATATGCCTGTTAGGTCTATTTGGTCTTTAGTGGAGTTCATGTCCAATGTTTCCTTATTAATTTTCTGTTTGGATAATCTGTGTTCCCACCCACGTCTCACCTTGAATTGTAGTTCCTGTAATCCCCACATGTCATGGGAGGGACTCAGTGGGGAGTAGATCGTGGGGGTTGTTCTCCAATGCTGTTCTCATGATGGTGAGTGAGTTCTTACGAGATCGGATAGTTTTATAAGGGGCTTCCCTGCCTTCATTCAGGAGTTCTCCCTGCTGGCATGTAAAGAAGGAAGTGTTTGCTTCCCCTTCTGCCACAGATGTAAGTTTCCTGAGGCCTCCCTAGCCATGCAGAACTGTGGGTCAATTAAACCTCTTTCCTTTATAAATTACCCAGTCTTGGGTATGTCTTCACAGCAGCATTAAAACAGACTAATACAGTAAATTGGTACTGCATAGAAAGGAGTGCTGCTGTAAAGATATCCAAAAATGTGGAAGCAACTTTGGAACTGGGTAACAGGCAGAGGTTGGAACAGTTTGGAGTGCTCAGAAGAAGACAGGAAAATATGGGAAAGTTTGGAACTTCCTACAGACTTGGAGGGATCAGAAGACAGGAAAATGTGAGAAAGTTTGGAACTTCCTAGGGACTTGTTGAATGGCTTTGACCCAAATGCTGATAGTGATATGGACAATGAAATCCAGGTTGAGGTGGTTGCAGATGGAGATGAGGAACTTCTTGGGAACTGGAGTAAAGGTCACTCTTGCTATGCTTTAGCAAAGACTGGTGACATTTTGCCCCTGCCCTAGAGATATGTGGAACTCTGAACTTGAGAGGGATGATTTAGGGTACCTGGTGGAAGAAATTTCTAAGTAGCAAAGTGTTCAAGAAGTGATAGAGCATAACATTTTGGAAAATTTGCAGCCTGATGATGTGGTAGAAAAGAAAAACCCATTTTTAGTGGACAAAAATCAAGCCAGCTACACAAATTTGCAGAAGTAACAAGGAGTCAAATGTTAATGACCAAAATAGTGGGGAAAATGTCTCCAAGGCATGTCAGAGACCTTCACAGCAGCCCCTCCCATCACAGGCCTGGAGGCCTAGGAAGGAAAAATGGTTTCTTGAGCCAGGCCCAGGGCCCCCCTGCTCTGTGCAGCCTCAGGACATGGTGGACTGTGTCCCAGCTGCTTCAGCTTCAGCCATGGCTAAAATGGGCCAAGGTACAGCCTGGGCCATTGCTTCAGAGGGTTCAAGGCCCAAGCCTTGGCAGCTTCCACGTGGTGTTGGCCCTGTGGGTACACAGAAGTCAAGAATTGAGTTTTGGGAACCTCTGCCTAGATTGCAGAGGATGTATGGAAACATCTAGATGTTCAGGCAGAGGTGTGCTGCAGGGGTGAAGCCCTCATGGAGAGCCTCTGCTAGGGCAGTACAGAAGGGAAATGTGTGATTGGATCCCTTATACAGAGCCCCAACTGGGGCACTGCCTAGTGGAACTGTGTGAAGAGGACCACATTCTCCAGACCCCAGAATAGTAGATCCACTGACAGCTTGCACCGTGCATCTGGAAAAGCCACAGACACTCAATGTCAGCCTGAGAAAGCAGCTAGGAGGGGGACTGTACTCTGCAAAGCCAAAGGGACAGAGCTGCCTGAGGCTGTGGGAGCCTATGTCTTGCATCAGCATAACCGTGATGTGAGACATGGAGTCAAAGGAGATCATCTTGGAACTTTAATGTTTTAGTGACTGCCCTGTTGGATTTCAGACTTGCATAGCCCCTTGTTTTGGCCAATTTCTCCCACTTTGAATGCGTGTATTTATCAAGTGCCTGTACCTCCTTCTATCTAGGAAGTACCTAACTTGCTTATGATTTTACAGACTCACAGGTAGAAACGACTTGCCTTGTCTCAGGTGAGACTTTGAACTTAGACTTTTGGGTTAATGATGGAATGAGTTAAGACTCTGGGGGACTATTGGAAAGGCATGATTGTATTTTGAAATTTGAGAAAGAGGAGATTTGGGAGGGCCCAGGGGCTGAATAATATGATTTGGCTGTATCCCCACCCAAATCTCGTCTTGAATTATAGTTCCCATAATCCCCATGTGTCCTGGGAGGGACCTGGTAGGAAGTGATTAGATCATGGAAGTGGTTCCCTCATGCTGTTCTTGTGATAGTGGGTGAGTTCTCATGAGATCTGATGGTTTTATAAGGGGAATTTTCTCCCCTTCCCTTGGTACTTCCTCTCCCTGCACTCAGGTGAATAAGGATGTGTTTGCTTCCCCTTTGGCCATGATTATAAGTTTCCTGAGGCCTCCACAGCCATGTGGAACTGTGAGTCAATTAAAGCTCTTTCTTTATAAATTACCCAGTCTGAGGTATGTCTTCATAGCAGTGTGAAAATTGACTGATGCTCTGTCTATTGTTGAAAATAAAATATTAAAATCTCATGCTATTGTTGTGTTGCAGTCTATGTCTCTCTTTAGATCTCTTAATGTTTGCTTTATATATTTATGTGTTCTGATTTTGATGCATATATATTTATAATTTACATATCCTCTTAGCAATTGACCCTTTCATCACTGCATCAATAATCTTCTTTGTCTCTTTTTACAGTCTTGAACTAAAGTCAATTTTTTTCTGAAATAGGAATAGCTATCCCTGTCTCTTTTGGTTTCCATTTGCATGGAATAATCTTTTTATCCCTTAACTTTCAGCCTGTGAGTATCATTTAAGGTGAATTAGTGAGTCTTTTATAAGAATAGGCAGCATGTAGTTGAGTCTTTTTTCCTTAAGCCATTCAGCCACTCTCTTTTTATTGAAAAGTTTAATTTATTTACATTCAAAATAATTATTGATAGGTAAATGACTTACTAGTATCTTTTTGTCAATTGCTTCTGGTTGTTTGTAGATTCTTTGTTTCTTTCTTCCTCTCTTGTTTCCTTCTTTTGCAGTTTGATGGCTTTCTTTCGTAGTATGCTTTGAATCACTCTTTTTGTCTTTTGTGTATACATTATAGACTTTTGTGATTACCCCGGGATAAAGCATCTTATCCTTATAACAGATTATTTTCACTTGATATCAACTTAATTTTAATCACATACACAAAGTCTATGCTTATACACCACATCCTCCCATTTTTTATTTCTTATGTCAAAACTTACATCTTTTTATATTTTGTATCTCTTAACAAATAATTGTAGCTTTCACTGTTTTTAATATTTTTGCATTTTAACATTTATACTAGAGATATAATCGATTTGTCCACCACCATTACAGTATTAGAGTGTTTTGGATTTGACAATGTACTTACCAGTGAGTTTTGTGGTTTTATATGTTTTTATGTTACTAATTAGCATCCATTTTCTTTACCTTAAAAAATTCCATTCCACATTTCTTGTAATGTAGACATAGTGGTGATAAGCTCTCAGCTTTTGTCTGAGAAAGTCTTTATCATCCCTTCATTTTTGAAAGACATGATTGCTGAGTATAGTATTCTTGATTGGCAGTATTTTTCTTTCAGGATATTGAATATATCATCCCACTCTCTTCTGACCTGCAAGATTTCTGCTGAAAAATCTGCTAGTAGTCTTATAAATGTTCTCTTATATGTTACAATTCACTTTTCCCTTCCTGCTTTCAAAACTCTCTCTTTGTCTTGAACTTTTGATAATTTAATTATGATGTGTCTCAGTGTGCCTATGGATTCATCTTATTTGGTGTCTGTTGAGCTTTCTGCATCTGGATTTCTATTTCCTTCCCCAGTCTTGGAAAGTTTTCTACCATTACTTCTTTGAAAATATTTCTGTCCCTTTCTCTGTTTCTTCTCTTTCTGGAATGCCAATGATGCATAAGTTGTTCTTGATAGTGTCCTATAATCTCTTAAGCTATCTTCAATCTTTTTCATTCTTTTTCTTTTTACTCCTCAGATTGGATGATTTCCAGTGACCTGTCTTTGAGTTCACTGATTTTTTCTTCTGCTTCATCTATTGACATCCTCAGCTTTATGATTTTTGTTTGGTATTTTTAAATTTTTTGTATCTCTTTGTTGAAATTCTCAGTTTGCTTTTACCTTGCTCCCCTAGCTTAATGAGCATCTTTATGACAAGTATCATGAATTCCCTGTTGGGTAAATCATACATCTCCATTTCACTTGAGTTTGTTTCCAGAGATTTATCTTGTTCTTTTATTGGGAATACATTGCTCTGTTTCTTTATTTTCCTTGATTCTCTGGATTGGCTTCTGCATACTAGATAAGACAACTGCCTCTTTCAGTCCTGTTAGACTTGGCTTGTATAGGAGAAGGATCTCACAAATCTATCCACTGAGAGATTTTAAGGTTTCTCTCAAATCTTTGTGTTTGTTCAAACTGCACTCTCTCTTTCTGATGACCTCCAACAAACGGTTATCTTTGTTTTTGATTAGGATGTGCCATGTCCTGTTAATACCCTGAGATCAGTAAGGTAAAAGCCAGGTTCTTTAGATATAGCTGGAAATGTTAATGCCTTGAATGTGTATTCCAGTTGCTTTTATCCTCACGGTGAAGTTGAGTGTGGGTGTTTACCTCCCACTCTTTCTGCACTAAGCTGAGGAGAGGATCTTTGGCAAATGCCCTGTATTCACATTTAGGTTACACCCTCTGACCTTGCAAAGATAGCTACTGGAAGCACGTCTTTCGCATGCTCACCTCTTTGCTTTCTTTGGTCCAGGGACACTCAGGATTGCTATAACTTCCAGAGCTGGTTCATTTTGGAGACAGCCCGTTGGTGAGAGCTCTATAATTTGTGGACTCAGTGTGTGGACAAACTTCCTCCAGAAAGAATGAATAGACCCAGATTTATCACTGAGGCAACTGAGAGGAAAGGCTTGGGAAGTGCCAGGCTCCTGCTCAGGTTACTGGAGGGCTACTGTTTATTCCATTAATGACCCAATGCAAGCAGTTAGAGGCTGGGCCATAAAAACCACTGGAAGAGTGTGTAGTAAGCCCCTTTAGAGAGAAAGTGAGAGTTGTGCCTTTCAGCCACTTTTCTACACTGCTGTCAGGGTGAGTAGTCCCTGGAAGTGTTTGCATACCTGGTAAAAAATCACCTTTTTATTCTGTGACCTATGGAGACTTGCATATGCTTAGTCCTTTCTGCTCCCAAAGCTAGGAGATTTGTGGTCCAGTGCCTTGGGTGTGTAGCTATAATAATTGGGTCAATTGCATAAACAAACTCCTTCCAGGAGCAATTTGTAGACCTTGAGATACTGCTGGGTCAGGCTGAGGGAGAAAAGCACAAGCAGTGCTGAACTGCAGCTCAGGCCACTGCAGGGCTATTGTTTGTTTAGCCATTTAACTTCTGGATAAAAGTTAGTTAGAAGCCAGGTAATCAAGTAGACACTGGAAGAGTGTGCCAAAAATCCTTTCCTGGGAGAAAGAGAGCTTCACTTTTTTAGCTCCTACTCCATACTGCTCCTGGGAGGTGTAGCCCCTGAAAGTAGTTGCACATCTGTTTTAAACCAGCTCTTTTTTCTGTGATCTAGAGGGACTCAAACATGTCCAGTTCTCTCTCTCCAGAGCAAGGAGGTTAGAATGAAGTCCCTTGGGTAGGAACTGTAAAATTTGGGGCACTTGATGAGTGGACAAACTTTCAGAGGAAATTGGTAGACCTGAAGTTGTCTCTAGTGTGAGCTGGCGGAGAAAAATCAGGAAGATGCTGCTTCTCAGTCTGCCAGCAAGTTACTGTTTTTGTGTGCCTCTTCAACTCCTCCATGAAAGTTAATTAGAATACCTGTCCTTAAGTAGTTAAGGAAAGAGTGTGTTACAAACTCCTTCCAGAAGAAATAGAAAGCTTCATTTTTGAGATCTTCCTCTGTATTTCTCCAAGGAAATGAAGCCCTCGAAATGCTTGTGCCGACATATAAAACCACTAATTTTTCCTGTGGTCTAGAGAGACTCATATATGCCTAGTCCCCTCTCCTCCCAGACTTAATGACTTTAAAGACTATGGGGAACCTTAGAGTTGGGTTGCTATATGTGAGGTCAAAGCCCTCCTCTCCACAGGGAGGTAATGGGTGTTGGTGATTCCTTTCCCAATTGTATAGCACAGTGCCCAGGGTGGGGTCTGTGCCCAAGTGTGCCTCAACTTTTCCTACTTGTTTGATGTGGATGTTTTCTCAGTTGCCTGGTGGGTAGAGGTTTTTTAAACTGCTTTTAAAAAAAGTTTTGTTTTATTTTGGAATGACACATCATAATAATTGTACATATTTATGAGGTACAACTGGTTTCTGTTTTTCTCTCAGAGGGGAGTGATCCATGAAGATGCTAAGTCAGTACATCATAAATGGAGAGAGTCAGAAGCCTCCTATTCCTCCATGTTGCTGATGTCATTCCCCCATGATTTATTTTTAAATGCATTTCTCCTTTTACCAAAATGTTTGTTTGCCCTATACTGTTTTGAATCCAACAATATTTCCAGACTCTCTTATTTTCTATAATAATTCATCCAAAACTATTTTGTATTTTTTTACAGTCAAGTTACTTTTGGAGAGTGACTTTTTTTTGCAATTATCTTATACAGTATTTTCTTGGATAGAAGAGAGCCACAATCCAAGGAATTCAGACAGCCTCTAGAAGCTGGAAAAGATTATAAGAAAGTGGATTCTTCCCTAGAGCCTCTGGAAGCAGTATAGCTCTGCCAATACCTTGATGTTAGCTCAGTGAGGCCCACATCAGACTTTTGACCTCCAGGACTGTAATACATTTGTTTTTCTTAAACCTGTCAGTTTGTGGTAATTTGTTATAGCAGCAGTAAAACTAATGCAGGATATATTAAAATATTTTCTTTCTTTTAATTTTATCATTAGATTCTGATGTTCATTGTTTCTGCTGATTTGATATTAATTAAGGCTTTTCACCAGTATCCCAGATCTCTTATCTTTCTGGGCAAATGATATGATTTGACTTCTCTGTCCTTTTGAAAGTTTGATGTGTTCTACTGAGATCCTAACCAGTAATATGGGAAGATAAATGATGAGTGTACCTTCCTGTTTGAAGCTTTTAAGCACCAGTACACAGTTTGCTATATTGTCTTCTATTTCTGTTGTAGTCATGGAAACATATAATTGAGCTGCTATCAGCCTGAGTTCCTGAGTATAATACCAGAAGTATGACTGTTGATCAACATTAGATATGTCTAAGTATAAAATAAGTTTTTGTTGTATTTTTTTCTGAGATTTGGGTTTTTGTTATGAGAATATAAACTATAGTATCCTGACTTATATAGAAATTGGTAGAGGGAATGGGTTCTGCTATAATTTTTTAAAAAATTTCAAATGTGTGGCATTGGCTTAATGACCATTGGCCAACAGTGAAAAATATGAGAGGCAAAAAGAATTGCTATTTTTGTAATGCATGTAACCATGAATGCATGGCAAATTGTTGTCTAAAATAATTTTCAAGGCAGAAAATATACCTAATGATCATGTGTCTCTAAAGGATAATGTTGGGAAATAATATATAAGTAATGTCTGTTAGTTACATTTGATATTATAATAAATAGAAAAGCTTAAAGAAAGAATTGGTCTTAGAGCAGGTCATTTCATCTTGTTCTTTTCTCTAAGTGTGTCTTGGTTTTATTGCCCTTTGATTTCCCATATTTCAGTGCCAAATTTCAAGACAGGCATTTTTTTCTTGCTGAACTAATGAGGGCATTTAAACAAATTTATTGTTGTTGTTATTATTAAACATTTTTAATTTTTAACTTTTGTAGCTATATAGTAGGTGTATATATTTATGGGGTACATGAGATGTTTTAATATAGGTAGACAGAGGGCATTTATTTATAATTAATCCTTATACTGTGGCTGGAGTCCTTTGAGGTCCCAATTTTATGAGAGTCTCCTATTAGACTTCCCATGTTACATATACCCTTAGCTGTGTCCTCTGCTTTCCAGTCTTAATGAAGAAAGGAAATCAATGTATAAATTAGTCCTCACATGTCAACTCACAGATACAGTTGAGAAGATGTTATTCATAAGAAGGATGAAATATGTATCTGGTTCATCATGTTGCTGGAAATGAGAGTCCCTAAAAACAATGTTTTGGAAGGAATTAACTAATCATTTAAGAATAACTAATAATAACTAATCATTTAAGAAACTGCCGTTTCTTAAATGATTGAAATGACTTCATCCCTATTTCCCCTTTGTTTATTGTCATATTTTACATGCCCTCCATGTAAGCTCTTTTAGTCTCATATAGAAAGGTCATTTCTCACTGTTTTTGTAAATGTAAGATAATGTTAATATCTTAATGATATTAAGATACATGTAAGATATTAAGATACATTAAGATATTAATGTTACTTAATGTTATTAAGATACATTACATTAAGATAATGTAAGATAAATGTAAATAAATGTTATTAAGTGTGTAAAATCTGTATCTACACAGTTCATCAAGGACTTTAACTCCATGAGTCATTTACTCTATTCAGACTCATACCAGAACATTTATGCCAAACCCTTCAATGTTAGGGCATAGATTATCCAATTTGATAGGAAACTCTATTGGGTCACAACACCAGAGGTTGCAATATAAGACACATTGGGAGTAAATGGACAGTAAATGACATACTGAGAAATGTCTTAAGTCTGCCTCTATTATGGAATCAAAGGGAAATTCCTTCTGTAATATTTCCTTTAGGCCTAGCATAATATTAAAACCCCAAGGAAATTTAATTTGGTTTCAGTATCCTTTGAAATTATTCTTTTAATTAAAAGTATATATTTTCCTTCAGGCCTTATTTTAAAACACTAAGTGAATCCTTGTTGCTTCTCCCAGAAATATAAAATGAAAATGAAAATGAAAATGTTATCCTTTTATTATGACACCTGCAAAATTAATTCTTTCTCTATGGATAGGTAAGGGGCACTGGTATGCTTATAAATAAAAGTCTTTTTCTTTAAATTTCCTGTTTTCTATA
The DNA here is from genome assembly GCF_000001405.40 of Homo sapiens. NCBI lineage: Eukaryota > Metazoa > Chordata > Mammalia > Primates > Hominidae > Homo > Homo sapiens. The sequence goes on from NC_000006.12 coordinate 122,921,584, forward strand.
ATAAGTTTAAAGTCAAATTTGAGCTCTTACTTGGCAGTGGAAGAGTAAAGCCAACATTCCAGTAGATCAGTCAATTTCAGACTTCTGTTCTTGAGCCCTAGGAAAAAGTTTTAAAGGCATGAAATAGCAGTGAGGGCATTGCCTCCAGATAATGATTTATGCAAATGTTATATTCATTTGTATAAGAAATGGAATTGTTGTACCATCTTCCTCAATTTATGATCTTCCGCCTCAGCATGAGAGGACTAGGAAGACAAATATTAAGTGGTTAAAATAATGAATGGAGGATATTAAATGTCATCATAGAAAAAACAGAAAAAGAATATTATACCTATAGCTTGCAACACTGTAGAAAGCCCATATTTGACTGCTGATAATGCTTCCCAAGTGGCAACTTAGTCACTTTTAAATCTTTTAACTGTTTCTTCCCTGACTGTCTTTACATCTCTAAATAATATGCTCATATAGTTAGCTTAAACTTTATTAATTTTGTGCCCTCTAAATGGATTTCTTACTATGCTGGCTTATTTATATCATCTCAGCCCCACTCCCGCATTTATTCATTCAAGAAATATTTACTGAGTGCACACAATGAGTGAGGTCATGGGGTTACAAAAATTAATGAGACAAAGTCCCTGCTCTCAAAGAGCATATGGCCCACTGATGGGAGAGATCAGCATGCAAATGAATTAATGAGAAAATTCAAATGTTGATGAATGAAATGAAGACAGTAAAGCGTGGTAATGTTAAAGAAAAAATGGAGTTTTCAACAAAAAAGTAATTGCTTTCCATCTTTCTGTCCTACTATCCTCAGCATACTGTCTTTGTCCAGCTGTGTTTCTGTTGACAGTGTGGAAAAATAGCCTTCACGATTCTAGGCTCACACACTCACGGGAATATCTAGAGTTTTATTTTTATTTCTCTGTTTTTGTACTAAAAATTTTTTCCCTGGAAGCCATTTTGCAGACTTCCTGTTCTTTGTCTTCCTCCTAAACCAATTATTAGCAAGAGCAATGGAATTACTGTGATTGGTTTCAATAATCAAAATTTACCTTCAAAGTAGGAAATAAGATCACCATTCCTAGATCATCTATGAGAGAGGTAAAAACTTAAATAGAAAAAGCAGGTTGGCTTTTAAAAACGTGTCAGCTGCAGTTTTTTCATTTGTTTGTCTGGAGCACATTGCCATAAGTAGTGTCTTAAAAAGAATTGTGTGAGGGTAAATTTTCTGGGCTTCTGCATGTGTGAACATGTCTCAATTTTACTTTCCAAAGTCTTGATAATTGTCTAGTTAATGGACCTCTAGGATGAAAAAGTGTTTCTTCAGAACTTGAAGCAATTGCTCTATGTCTACAGGTTGCAGTGGTAAACATTTTCTTCTGCATTTTTAAGTGATCATTTAATTCTGGACACTTTTGCATCTAGGTTCTTATGACCTTCTTCCACTCTGAGATATTTTTTGTTGTTCTGCTTAAATAATAACTTCCTCTCATCTCTTTCTTGGCTCTTTCTTTCTAGAATTTATATTAATTGCATGTTTGATGTCCTGAATTGGTCTTCTAAGGTTTTTATTGTTTATATTTTCTCTTGCATTTTTACCTCTTTTTAATTGTTTAGGCTTGGGGGATACAATTTTCATGTTATCATTAAATTCTGAGTTGAATTTTTATTTCAGTAATCATATTATTTATTTCCATGACCTCTTTTATTTACTTTATTTATTTCTCATTACAGATTATTCTTTTCCAGTTATGGACACAATATCTCCTCTATTTTAAACTACATTTATACTAAAGTCAATTCTCTCACTATTTACTGCTGATAGATAATGTAGTCCTTACCTTTCTGAATTGACTAAAGGACTGTAGGAAACTTTAGTGGCTCTATTTCTATACACAGATATTATCTTGGAAAAACTATTTCTGTTAGGCTGCCATACAATTTTAGGAACATTGGAGAATGATATATGCAATGGCCAACAACATATGATAGCCCAGACGATTTCAGTTGTGTGGTTGTGGGGACACCACCAAGATTTACCATTGTCAAAACTGCTAAAAAGCTGGATTTATGTTGAATGTTTTCCCAGCTCTTTTTCTCTTCCCTATTTGGTACTGACATTTCCTCAATCTTTCCCATCCCCAGATTGATCACTGCCGTCATATTGCATTCTCTGAGACCCTACTAAGGCCTTTCTGTCCTCAAAATTCAGCTAGAATACTTATACCATACTTCGTCTATCAAATCTGCTAATACATAGCAAGAAACAAATCAAAATTAACTGATTAATTCATGTCAAAGTGTGAATGATTGATGGCCCAAAGAGAGGTCTTGAAAACTCAATAATCTTTAATTGGCATAATTGAGAGGGAAGAATATTTTTAAGAGCCTTTTTAGGGCTTCTTGCTTTCTCTAGGCAGACTCTCAGAAGCTCTGTCCCAGACACATTAAAGCAGTAATCAGCAACTTAATGTCTTGAGTCTGAAAGAGCCTTATTATACCAAAAGTGATATGTAAATGTATTCATTTGCTATAAATCTACATATGTGTTATAGAGATAATTATAAACATCCACTGTTTTCAGACAGAAGAATATATCTGTCTTTCCATGTTTTTCAGAATCCTAGTAAAAATGACTAATCTCTACACAATAAAATCTATGGGAGAGAAAGAAGTATACCTGATACCTGATTTCTTCCTCAAAAACATCTGGTGTCATTTTTAGTCCAACCCGAAGTCCTTGCAAATGTTAACTAAATGAATTTCTTAGCTAGAAGACACATGAAAGTCTTACCTACATTTTTAAACACCTGACCAATGACCTAGATATGCATTAGGAGTATGGATTTCTGGTTGTTCAATCTGTTTATGTAAACAAACTTGCAATATATGACCACAGGTACACTGAAGAATGAAGGTTAGTTATGTAACCTGAATGGAGCTTGATGACTTGCATAACACACAAAGTGTACAGACCCCCAAATTAAAGAGTTTCCTTTAGTTGAACTTGCCCTCTGTTGACTCATCATAATGGAACCACCACATACCCCAGTATAGGAAACAGACTCAAGAATGTGATAGTTCAAGGCCTCTGCTACACGCTGCTGCAAGTGTTGCATCTTTTGCTAGCCAGCAATGAAGGCTGGTGCTGGGTAAAACTTGTGTTTTGGGAGAAATTATTTGATGATCTCTGTTTTTGTGATTATGCAGTCTGTGTTTTTGAAAACACTATTTAAAATGTCTTTTTAAAAATGTATTCAGGCAAACACACACATCCCATACTGTATTTTAATATAAACACAGGACAGCAATTAGTGCATAACTGAAAGAATAAGGATTTTGGAGTTGGACATGGACTTGAATCTGATTTTTATCATTAATGCATGTATACATTTTAGCAAGTTACTTACCTCTCTGAATTTCAGTTTTCTCATTAGCAAGAGGAGGACATATTAGTCATCTTAATAAACTATGGCAATTAAATAAGATAATTTTTTGATGGTACCTTTAGTCTTATCAAATAGTAGATTTTTAAATACATAATTTCCTCCTCTTTATTTCTCATACTTGTAAACTAGTCTTTTCTAGCACAGATGTTACACTGTTACATCCCTGTATAAATAAACATACCCAATTATGCACATTCTGACATAAATATGTGATTTGGTGAGTATAAATAACAATAAAAATAGGAAGACAGAAAAAGTAAGATTTGTTTAAAATGTAAAAATCAATGGTAAACAGTAAAACCAAGTGCCAAAGGCTGCATATTAAATAAAGATTCAAGCTTTTCTATTACCATACAGATGCCACTGCCACTACGCATGCACATTTTTTTTTTTGAGACTTTGCCCAGGCTGGAGTGCAATGGTGTGACCTTGGTGAACTGCAACCTCTGCTTCCCAGATTTAAGCGATTCTCCTGCCTCAGCCTCCCAAGTAACTGGGATTACAGGCATGCACCACCACTCCCGGATAATTTTTGTATTTTTTAGTAAAGACAGGGTTTCACCACGTTGGCAGGCTGGTCTCAAACTCCTGACTTTGGATGATCCACCTGCCTCAGCCTCCCAAAGTTCTGGGATTACAGGCATGAGCCACTGTGCCCAGCCTTCGGCATGTACTTTGAAAAGATAGATCTAGGTTTTCATACTAGAATTACTTTTAATCATGTACTCTATGCATTTCCATATACAACCCACTTGTAGTTAATATGCTAATCTCATGCCTCTATTCATCTCTGTGTAACCTAGGATGTTCCATTGCCTATAATGACCTTTTAATGTCTGCCATACAAACATAGAATGTGAGGATTTAAAATGAAGAGATCCGTTGGTTGCTATTTACAAGAACAGGGAAATGGAAAGTATTTGTTGTTGGTATTATTGAAAGAACATTGGTGTTATTGATGTTTTTTGAAAGAATGTTATTGACATAATTCCCAGGAAGATGTGTCTAACAATCATAATTGCATATGGTATACCATCTAGTGGTATGAGATATTTATAATTCTACATATGTATATATATTCACATGCTTAATTATCTCCAATTATAATTTTAGCCATATTGGGCTCATTGAACTATTTTCAGGTAACTCCTTTCCTTTTTTAAAAAATTTACGTGTTTACTTTTTTTTCCTTCAACTTTTAAGTTTTGGGGTACATGTGCAGGATGTGCAGGTTTGCTATGTAGGTAAACGCAGGACATGGTGGTTTGCTGCACAGATCAACCCATCACCTAAGTTTTAGGCCCAGCTTCCATTAGCTATTCTTCCTGATGCTCTCTCTCATCCCAAACCCCCTCCAGCTGGCTCTCCAGGGTGTGTTGCTCCCCACTATGTGTCCATAGATTCTCATCATTCAGCTCCCACTTATAAGTGAGAACATGTGGTGTTTGGATGGCTACCGGCTCCATCTATGTACCTAAAAAAGAACATGATCTTGTTCCTTTTTTTGGCTGCATAGTATTCCATGGTGAATATGTACCACATTTTTTTTATCTAGTCTATCACTGATAGGCATTAGGTTGATTCCATATCTTTGTTATTGTGAATAGTGCTGCAATGAACATATACGTGACTGTATCTTTATAATGGAATGATTTATATTCCTTTGGGTATATACCTAGTAATGAGATTTCTCTTTGGCTGTGAGTTTGTCATCCATGGCTCTTATTATTTTGAGCTATGTTCCTTCAATACCTAGTTTATTGAGAGTTTTTAACATGAAGAGCTTTTCTGCATCTAGTGAGATAATTGTGTGGTTTTTGTCTTTAGTTTTGCTTGTGTGATGAATTACATTTATTGATTTGTGAATGTTGAACCAACCTTGCATCATGAGGATAAAGCCAACGCGATCATGGTGGATAAGCTTTTTGGTGTGCTGCTGAATTCAATTTGCCAGTATTTTATTGAGGATTTTTGCATCGATGTTCGTCAGGGATATTAACCTGAAGTTTTTTTTTGTTGTTGTTGTTGTTGTTATTGTTGTTGTTGTATCTCTGCCACGTTTTGGTGTCAGAATGATGCTGGCCTCATAAAATGAGTTAGGGAGGAGTCCCTCCTTTTTAATTTTTTGGAATGGTTTCAGTAGAAATGGTATCAGCTCTTCTTTGTACCTCTGGTAGAATTCTGCTGTAAATTTATCTGGTCGTAGGCTATTTATTACTGCCTCAATTTCAGAACTGGTTATTGGTCTTTTCAGGGATTCCATTTCTTCCTGGTTCAGACTTGGGAGGGTGTATGTGTCCAGGAATTTATCAATTTCTTCTGGATTTTCTAGTTTATATACATAGAGGTGTTTATAGCATTCTCTGATAGTTGTTTGTATTTCTGTGGGGTCAGTGTTCATATCCCCATTATCATTTCTAATTGTGTCTATTTGATTATTTTCTCTCTCTTCTTTAGTAGTCTAGCTAGAAGTCTATCTATTTCATGAATTTTTTTCAAAAACCAGCTACTGGATTCTTTGATTTTTTGAAGGGTTTTCAGTGCCTTTATCTACTTCAGTTTTGCTCTGATCTTGGTTATTTCTTGTCTTCTGCTAGCTTTGGGGTTTGTTTGTTCTTTATTCTTTACTTATTTTAGTTGTGATGTTAGGTTGTCAATTTGAGATCTTTCTAGCTTTTTGATGTGGAAATTTAGTGCTATAAATTTCCCTCTAACACTTTTTTAGCTGCATCCCAGAGATTCTGGTACATTGTCTTTTTATTCTCATTAGTTTCAAAGAACTTCTTGATTTCTGCCTTAATTTAATTATTTCCCCAGGAGTCATTCAGGAGAAGATTGTTCAATTACCATGTAGTTGTGTGATTTTGAGGGAGTTTCTTAATCTTGAGTACTAATTTGAGTGCCCTGTGATCTGAGGGACTTATGATTTCAGTTCCTTTGCATTTGCTGAGGAGTGTTTTACTTCCAATTATGTGATCAATTTTAGAGTAAGTGTTATGTGGCAATGAGAAGAATGTATATTCTGTTGTTTTTGGATGGAGAGTTCTGTAGATATCTGTTAGGTCCACTTGATCCAGAGCTGATTTCAGGTTTTGAATATCTTTGTTAATTTTCTGTTTTGATGATCTGTCTAATATTGTCAGTGGGGTGTTAAAGTCTCCCACTATTATTGTGTGGGAGTCTAAATCTCTTTGTAGGTCTCTGAGAACTTGCTTTATGAATTTGCGTTCCCCTGTATTGGGTGCATATATATTTAGGATAGTTAGCTCTTCTTGTTGAATTGAACCCTTTTCCATTATGTAATGCCCTTTGTCTTTTTTGATCTTTGTTGGTCTAAAGTCTGTTTTTTTTTCACAAACTAGAATTGCAACCCCTGCTTTTTTCTGTTTTCCATTTGCTTGGTAAACTTTCCTCCACTGCTTTATTTTGAGCCTATGTGTGTCTTTGCATGTGAGATGGGTCTTTTGAACACAGCATACCAATGAGTCTTGACTCTATACAGCTTGCCAAATTATGTCTTTTAATTGGGACATTTAGCCCCTTTACATTTAAGGTTAATATTTTTCTGTGTGAAGTTGATACTGTCATTATAATGCTAGTTGGCTATTTTGCAGACTTGTTTATGTGGTTGCTTCATGTGGTCACTGGTCTGTGTCCTTCAGTGTGGTTTTGTAGTGGCTGGTGATGATTTTTCCATTCCATATTTAGTGCTTCCTTCAGGAGCTCTTGCAAGGCAGCCATGCTGGTGATGAATTCCTTCAGCATTTGCTTGTTTGAAAAGGATCTTATTTCTCCTTCACTTATGAAACTTAGTTTGGTCAGATATGAAATTCTGGGTTGAAAATTCTTTTATTTGAGAATGTTGAATATTGGCCCCCAATCTTTTCTGGCTTGTAGGGGTCCACTGTTAGTCTGATGGGCTTCCCTTTGTAGGTGATCTGGCCTTTCTCTCTGGCTGCCCTTAACATTTTTTTCCTTTATTTCGACCTTGAAGAATCTCGTAGTTATGTGTCTTGCATTTGATCTTCTTGTAGAGTATCTTACTGGGGTTCTCTGGATTTCCCGAATTTGAATGGTGGCCTGTCTTGCTATGTTGGGGAAGTTCTTCTGGATGATAGAAGAATGTTTTCTGACTCGCTTTTGTTCTCCCCATCTCTTTCAGGTACCCCAATCATTTGTAACTTTGGTCTTTTTTACATAATCTCATGTTTCTTGGAGGTTTGTTTGTTCCTTTTTATTCATTTTTGTCATTTTGTCTGCCTCTCTCATTTCAGAAAGATAATCTTCACATTCTGAGATTGTTTTCTCTGCTTGTTTTATTCTGGTGTTGATACTTGTAATTGCATTGTGAAGTTCTCATGCTATGTTTTCCAGCTCCATAAAATCAGTTATGCTGCTCTCTAAACTGACTATTCTGATTATCAGCTCTTAGCTTGTTTGCATTGGGTTACAACATACTCCTTTACCTCAGTAAAGTTTGTTATTACTCACCTTCTGAAGCCTACTTCTGTCAGTGCAGCCATCTTAGCATCAGTCCATTTCTGTGTCCTTGCTGGATAGATGTTGTGGTCATTTGGAGAAGAAGAGGCCCTCTGGCTGTTTGACTTTTCAGTGATTTTGTGTGTTGATTCTTTCTAATATTTGTGGGCTTATCTACCTTTGATCTTTGAGGTTGCTAACCTTTGAACTGGACTTGAGGTGTCGTTTTTGTTGATGTTGTTGTTGCTTTCTGTTTGTTTGTTTTCCTTTTAATTGTCAGGCCATTCTTCCATAGAGCTGCTTGGTTTCCTGGGGGATTGCTTCAGACCCTAGTTGCCTGGGTTTTTCCCTTACCTGGAGTATCACCAATGAAGGCCACAAAACAGCAAAGATGGCAGCCTGCTCCTTCCTCTGGGAGCTCCATCCCAGGGGTATACTGACCTGTTGCAGGCCTGGACACTCCTATAGGAGGTGTCTGGAGACCCCTATTGGGAGGTCTCACCCAGTCAGGAGAGACAGGATCAGAAACCTGCTTAAAGAAGCAGTCTGGTTGCTTTTTGGTAGAGCAGGTGTGCTGCATTGAGGGGAACCCTTCCTTGTCCAGAACACCTGGACTCTCCAGAGCCAGCAGGCTGGAAAGCCAGAGTTGACTGAACCACAGAGACATTGGCCCCTCTCCTTCACCCCCCAACCCCCCGCAACCCCTGGGGCTCCATCCCAGGGAGAGATCAGAGTTCTGTCATATAACCCTGGCTGGAGTTGCTGAAATTCCCACAGGGGGTACCTGTCCAGTGAGGAGGGATGCATTGGGGTCCCACTTAAAGAAGCAGTCTGGCCATGATCTGGCACAGCAGCTCTTGTTGGGGACTCCTCCTTATTCAGACCGCCTAGACTCCCCAGAGCCAGCAGGCTAAAATAGCCGAGTTGACCTAACCACAGAAATAGTGGCCACCCCTACCCACAGAAACTTGTCTATCTCAGGCAGTCTCCAACCTCTTGCACTAGTTGGCTGGAATTTCAAGCCAGTGGGTCTTAACTTGTGAGGTGCCATGGAAGTGGGGCCCACAGAACAATGCTGCTTGGATCCCTGCATTCAGCCCCCTTCCTAGGGGAATATACAGAAGGATCTCCTGATTTGTCAGGATTCCCAAGGTGGGAGTCTAAAACTCCTGGGTTATCTCTATGTGAACATGAGTGACTGCTCTGCTGAGACTCTGCACAGCTCTGTGTATCAGACCCAAGGCCCTGGTGGTGTGGGCTCACAAGAGGATCTCCTGATTCATGGGTTGCAAAGATCCCTGGGAGAAGTGTGGCTTCCCAGGTAGGGTCACACAATCATTCACCACTTCTCTTGGCTGGGGGTAGGGGTTCCTTTGGCTCCATTGTCACTTTCTGGCAGGTCTTTGCCCCACCTGCTTTTCTTTGTTCTCTGTGGGTCTAGCTGTTTGCCTAGTCAGTCCCAATGTGAGAACCTGAATATTTCAGTTGAAGGTACTGAATTCACTCACCACTTTCATTTCTCTCCGTGATAACTGTGGACTGCAGCTGCTTCTAATATGTCATCTTGCCCCCTTCTATCATTCCTTTCTTTTAAAAAAAATATAGTTTAAGTAACTTAGTGCAGTATTGATTTTGAATAATATAGTAGAAATTCCAGTTTCAGCCTAAACTGTATTCACATCTAGAAATAAGCATATATGGGCATTTCTGAAGAATTGGGAGGGAAGTCCAATCTTATGGAAGTCCATTTTCATGTGTGGTAATTCATCCTGAGAGCTAAAGGAATAATGCATGAGAAAAAAACTGACTTAGTAAGAAAACCTAAAGGAAGGATGAATTTTTCCCTATTTAACATCAGATTACTATGGAAATTTGGCATTTTAAAGATGCAGATTCCTCCTTTGGTGGAGACAGCTAACCCTTGAGAAATACGGTGGTTTTCCATGCATACTGTGTGGGAGAAAGGTGATGCTAGTGGGAACATGTGAGACACTCAGGAAACTTGGATAGGTGGGGCTTGGGAACATTTTGTAAGGGAGCTGAAATGCTCCATGATCAGGTGTGGGTAAATGCTTTGGGCCATTACTATTAATGAAACCTACATTATATGTATGATTATGTACCGAAGTATCTAATCTCAATAAGCACAACTGGTAACCTAGTAAGTGCTGAGTGCTCCTTAATGCTAGCCTTCCCTGGGGGGCTCCTGTAACACACCATATACACTTAGAACTCTGTTCAATTTGTATTCTTCGATCAAAGTCAAGAGGTTTATAAAGAGCACTTAACACTTACATGTTAATCAATTTTGTAATATTTATTCAAAGTGCAAAGTTTGAGGAAAAGTGAACCCCCTTCCTTTCTTGACATGTGTGAAATGATAAATTATTTTCATTCATTACAGATAAAGTTTGTTGAAAATAATACTAAAATGATTTTCTGGAATGTAGAACTAACTTTTATTCTGGAAAAATAATGTGTCTGTCCCATAAAAACTAATTTTCCTTTGTAAATATATTTAATCTCATTAATCATGCTAAATTGTGTGTATGTGTGTGTGTGTTGTGGTGAGAGGGCTGAGGTTTCTAACTTATGTATTTCAAAAGTCATCTTTTTTGAGGTTACATAATTCTTAGGGTTTCCTACATGACTCACAGGAGGTAGAATAAGCTAATATGCAATTTGTATAGCTTGGCATTATATTTTTATTCTTCAGCACATTTTTTTCTCTGTATAAAAACATTAGATTGACTTTCCCTCAGGAGATCTGTCTCAGTATACTTCCAGAAACTATTATTATAACCTCTTTACTTGGCTTATAGTAACCCAGGCCTTTTGCTCTGAGCATTGTTACTAACCATTGTTCTTAACTATTCTAAAATGCTGGTTATTTCTAGAACTCTATGCCTGAGTCAATCTTGTCAGCTGATTTGTTTCCTTCTTAGATTTGACATTCACCCCTGAGACTCTCCGTCCTCAAAGTCTGTAATACTTTTCACTGTTCTCGGCACACCCCCTATTCCTCTGTTGTGAAAAAACACCTGGCATTATAACAGGAAAAGTTGTGGGTGGAGATTGAACAGACTTGGGAAGTCCAGGGGTGAAACAGTGATGCCAGGACAGGTAAAGGTGGCATGACTTGGGCAGGCAAAGGAAACTGAGGTTGAGAAATGGAAAGTCACCTAATTAAAGTCAGTTAACTAGCAAGTGGTAGACAGCCCTGGGTACCAAGCCTGTGAGAGTGCTCTGTAATCTCCTCTCAACTTATCTGGGTCTCTCTTGTACTACAGCTCAGTAAAGAGAAGCAATAGTATCATGCTTACAACTGTATCCCAGGTCATAGGTCTGGAACTGGGTAAGACTTGATAAATACTGTGAAATTCATTAATGAGTAAAGAATAATATGCTTGCATTAAAAACCCACTATCTTTCTCTATGTTATGCCCTTCTTAAAAGTCATACAAAGAAAGTGCTCCTTCCCTTGTTTCAGTGGAAGTGGTAGTGGAGAAGTTCTGAGACAAGGAAGATATGAAAAATAACAGACATACGTGCAAAATGGAAATGTAACTTACTTGCCTCTGATTATGAAGGCAGAAATGAACAAACACCTGTAATTTGAGATGACTTCACCTTTGGGCAGATGACTTCATCTATTCTTTTCTATTGGAAAAATTACCCCAGTGACACAAATATACAGCAAAGACTCTCTTCGTTTAGAAAAGATTGAGGTTTTAATGGCTAGTAGGCACTAAACCGCTCCTCACAATAAGAAAAGTTACCCATGATACAGAGTTCATCTCTTAGAGTCTTTTACCCATAGACAAATGGTCCTTTCCATGGCTGGATTTAGGCTACCCTGTTTTGTATAAACTTACAGATGGCTCTTGTCCGCTGTGAGTTTGTAAAGCAGTTGACCACAGAGAATACAGGTTAGATTCCTTAAGACTGCAGGAGAGATCTTTAGGCCTCGTGTCAACCTGAAAGCCCTCATGAAACAAAGACCTCATAAGGCACAGTGAACAAGACCTGGACAGGGCTGTTGATGAATAATTCAGAGTTCAGGAATAAATTTAAACTGATTTCTTACATGGATTGAACTCAGCAGGGTACCACCAAGAAACAGGGTTTTTCAATCTTAACACCACCAATTAATTAAATATTGTAGAATCAATCTTTCCTACCCTGTCTCAGCATTTTGAGAAGATTACATTGCTTTTCAGTTATTTGCAGATATTGAAACCTAAAATCTAGTCTAATTCAAAATTCTAATTTTACTTGCAATTTAGTGCTTCTCTCTTTCCTTTAGTGCAAGACTAGCCCAAGGTCTGAGAACAAGGGTGGGAAAGAGAAGGAGATACACACACACACCACAGAGACAGGAAGACAGAATCTAAGAGACAGAATGTGAGACAGAGCTAGAGAACCTATGCAAACACCTGAAGTTACTAAGAAAGTACCACTCACGAGTGTAGAATATCTCCCTTTAGTGCGACAATAACAATGGCATTTAAAAAAAAGATTTACAGTCCCACCAACAGTGTAAAAGTGTTCCTATTTCTCCACATCCTCTCCAGCACCTGTTGTTTCCTGACTTTTTAATGATTGCCATTCTAACTGGTGTGAGATGGTATCTCATTGTGGTTTTGATTTGCATTTCTCTGATGGCCAGTGATGATGAGCATTTTTTCATGTGTTTTTTGGCTGCATAAATGTCTTCTTTTGAGAAGTGTCTGTTCATGTCCTTCGCCCACTTTTTGATGGGGTTGTTTGTTTTTTTCTTGTAAATTTGTTTGAGTTCATTGTAGATTCTGGACATTAGCCCTTTGTCAGATGAGTAGGTTGCGAAAATTTTCTCCCATTTTGTAGGTTGCCTGTTCACTCTGATGGTAGTTTCTTTTGCTGTGCAGAAGCTCTTTAGTTTAATTAGATCTGATTTGTCAATTTTGTCTTTTGTTGCCATTTCTGTAAATTAGTTCAACCATTGTGGAAGTCAGTGTGGCAATTCCTCAGGGATCTAGAACTGGAAATACCATTTGACCCAGCCATCCCATTACTGGGTATATACCCAAAGGATTATAAATCATGCTGCTATAAAGACACATGCACACGTATGTTTATTGCGGCATTATTCACAGTAGCAAAGACTTGGAACCAACCCAAATGTCCAACAATGATAGATTGGATTAAGAAAATGTGGCACATATACACCATGGAATACTATGCAGTCATAAAAAATGATGAGTTCATGTCCTTTGTAGGGACATGGATGGAAATTGGAAATCATCATTCTCAGTAAATTATCGCAAGAACAAAAAACCAAACACCACATATTCTCACTCATAGGTGGGAATTGAAGAATGAGATCACATGGACACAGGAAGGGGAATATCACACTCTGGGGACTGTTGTGGGGTGGGGGGAGGGGGAGGGATAGCATTGGGAGATATACCTAATGCTAGATGACGAGTTAGTGGGTGCAGTGCACCAGCATGGCACATGTATACATATGTAACTAACCTGCACAATGTGCACATGTACCCTAAAACTTAATGTATAACAAAAAAAAAAGATTTAAAAAATCAGGCAGAAATTTCTGTTTAGATCTTTAAAATGTAACAACAGAAATCCTTTATTTATTTATAAAATAATTTAAATAATAATTTATATAATATAAATTTAATATAAAAATATTTGTTTTATTCCTTTTCAAACCATTACTCCTGTGGCATTGTGTGAAATGTTTTGAGTGATAATGACAGCAGGGGGTTTTCATATTATTTCAAATATATAGAATATATGTATGAAAGCATAAATAACATGCCTGCATCACTGCAAAGTTGGAGTGTAGAAGCTGAGAACTTGGAATTGGTGAGTAGTGATATAGACTGAAGTTACCCTGAAGGGTTAAATAAGACATACTAATGAATATTTATGTTCTCAACAAATATGTGAAGAATTTCTACTATTTGTTTATGGCTAAAATTGCTGTACCTAACTAAGGTTAGAGACATCAAGAAATAGAAACATTTGAATGTGTCCAAAATTCAATTGACAATAGTAGTTTTATAAGCACTCTAATAAGCAGTGCTCCCACTAAACAAAAGTTAATATTGATGTCACGATGCATATATATATATATATATATATACATATATATATGAGGCATATATACACATCATGATATATATATATATATGATAGATGAGAATAAATTTCCATGGTTTGCTGGTAAACCTTTTAATTAAAAATTATTTATTTTCTTACTTAAAAACTTATATGTGATGTCCAGTATGTAAAGTTAGGAAAGATAAATTTAAAAAAAGGAACATAAGAACTAAAATCACCTGGTATTCTACCATTTAGAAATAGCAAATGTTCAATGTCTGATGAATTCTATGTAGTTTCTTTTTCTTTGCAAATATAAGTCTATCTACATATTTTACAAATGTGGCATATAAAGTTATATTTTTAAAATTTGAATTTGTTTCTTATCTCATGGTTTTTAAATAAACAAACCATATTTTTGCTATTATAAATAGTGCTACAATAAAAATTTTTGCATATGTCTCTTAGGTACATACAAGATCATCATTGTTATATCTTTTTAGTGGAATTATACTTTTATGTATTTATCTCTTTTAATGAATTTTGCCTTAACTTGTATCTTATCTACAATTAACATTCTACCTGAACTTTCTCTTGGTTGGTTTATGTATATAATTTCAATAGCTTTGTGGGTACAGGTGGTTTTTGGTCACATGGATGAATTTTATAGTGGTGAAGTCTGAGATTTTAGTGCACCTGTCATCCAAGTAGTGTAGATTGTATTCAGTATGTTGCTTTTCATCCCTCACCTCCTTCTCTCTTGCCCCTCTTCTTGGTCTCTAAAGTTCTTGGCTAGTTTTTGCAAGACATAGTCTCTCCCTTAATTTTATGTTCAATCTCTGTGATTTATGTATGCATGTGTGTGAGTTTTCTAAGCATGTCTCTTGTCAGCATGATACTGCTGGGTTTTTTTTTTTTAAATTGAACCATGAAATCTGTTTATTTTAAAATAGATTTAATTCATTTTCATATATTGAAGCTAATGACTGTAATTAATGTTTAATGATTGGAATTATTTCTGCAACCTATTTTCTGTTTCTCATATATTTTTTTCTTTTGTTACTTGTCTACTTCTCTGCCTTGTTTCTCTGCCTTGTGTTGGATTTTTTTTTAGATTTCTCTATCGTTTTAGAAATTTCATTCAGTTCAATAATAATTTGGCACTTACTCTGTAACAGTCACTGCTCTAGATACTAAGAAGTCAATGGTGACCAGAGAAGATGCATATCTCTTCATGGAGTTTATATTCTAGCAAAGGGTAGTAATAGTAGCTAACCATCCTATGAGAATAAGCGCCAGACACTGCGCTAAGCATTTTATGTATATATATTTTTTATATATTTATATATATTAACTAATTACCTCAGAACAGTCCTATGAGATATATATTATTGGTATGTCCACATTATAAAGAAAAAATAAGCCACAGAGAGATAAAATAATTGGCCTAAAGTCATATAGCCAGCAAATGAAAAGAACTAGAATTCAACCCAGACATTCTTGATCCAGTGTTCGTGTTTTTCCTCACCCCTGGCTAAATCAGGGCCATGTTTTATAAAGTATTGGACAAGACTGTTGGGAGGTTTTGGTGTGACATGTTATAGTATTAGATAACATGGTCAGAAAGAACTCACTCAGAAGGTGATATATGAAAGAAACAAGTCATGCAGATATCTGGCGGAGGGAGGATTGCAGGTGGAAACAAGTACTAAGCCCTGTTGTGGTGGTTGCCAACAAGAAGTCCCTGTGCCTGCGGACAGCAAAGATTCAATGATAAAGGCAAACAAAAGGCTGGGTCACACAGACCCTTACAGTCGCAGAAAGAATTTCTGTTTTATTGGATCACAGCCACACCCTTCATTTATATTGTACATCTGGACAGTAGAATGGTTCCAATAGAGGCTATATGGCCGGCAAAGCCTAAAGTATGTACTGTTTGACTCTTTACAGAAAGTGTGCCAAGCTTTGTTCTACACCCAGAATGTTTGTTGACTGAATGAATAAAATAATTCAATTTTGATACTTTGTCATATACATAGTGATATCATTATATACAACATAATGTATATTATATAATATTCATTGTATATTTGTTTTATGTACATTAAACATATATATGTAATACATATGTATACATATCAATATATATGTAAACATAAGATGTATTACATGTATTTAAAAGTGTTATATAATATAAAAATAATATATATTTGTATAACTATGTATGATATATAACTATATATTATAGCACTATATAATACATGTATGTGTGTGCATGTCCATAACTTTTATTATTATTATTTTTAGAAACAGGGTCTCTCTCTGTCACCCAGGCTGGAGTGCAGTGGCATGATCATTCCTCATTGCAGCCTTAACTCCTAGGCTGACACGATCCTCCAACCTTAGCCTCCCTGGTAGCTGGGACTACAGGTGCAAGCCACTGTGCCTGACTCACAACTTTTATTTTTTTTCTCAATTAAACCCTAGAAAAAAACTGTGCCTTTTAATTTTTATTCTTTTTCCAAGTTAGCCTTGTGCTAAAGTATTCAATAAATATTCTAGTTGATAGAAATTATTTAAGTTATGTTAATTGTTAATCCATCTATTATAGCCTTTTGCTCCTGAACTGGATGCTTATATAAAATATCTAGAAGATAAGTTTGATAAAGAGTAAAATACGTAAAACAAATATAAATTAATAACTTATTGCAGGAACAGCTATTCACATGCAAGATAAGCATACAGTCTTTTGTGGATTGCAATTAGACAGTCTCAAACAGTTAATGAACTTCTTACAGTGTCTTATTAGCAGCAAACAGTTACATATAGGGAGCAGTCAGCTCAATGTATTATTGAATCAGAACTTTTTGCTTTAGATTTGTATGCTTTTTTTCCCACAGGGTTTTTGGTACACTGTAAAAGCTATGGACATTGATGGATTAAAAAGCAATATAACCAATATTGCTTGAAACTATGTAGTCCCAAACTGCTTTCATTGATGCCACTTAAAATAGTGTAACTCTTATGTTCAATACTTTAAAATTTGCTCCATGGTGCTGATTTAGCCCAGTGGTTAGGAAAAACACAGATACTTGAGCAAGTAGAAAGAAAATATAGGCAGGGGAAGTAAAAATAAATTGAAGGCAGCTAAATCCACATGTGAAGGGCAGTGATGTGTGTTAAGTTGGTAAAAATGGCTTTGATAATGTGTTCTGAAGAGCAAAAATCTATAGTAGAGTTATATTAGAGCTAGCTGTCTCTTCAATTATAATTTGTCACCAGCTGTGTGGAAATTTTAAAGTACCATAAACACTGCCTGACAACACACAAAATTAGAAATCTGCTGTATGTTACACAATGAACCCTATTTGTATTGGTGTCATTTATCCAATGACTTCACAAATCACATAAATGATATAGTTCATAAATGCACAAATCTTTCACAGGTGGACATGAAATACTCAATTTTTGTTTTATCAGATTAAATCTGCTCTAGCTTATTACATGGCACAGTGTTCATCTGATTCATACTCCAAGGTCTCTTAAGAAAAAAGATGAAAGTTTAAATCACAATTTGCAGGGTGAAAGTTGCTAAACCAATTGCTTTTTTGAACTACAAATGATGATCTGCAGACCTCAAGTCTGCCACTACTTTTGCATATGCATACATGTATTTTTGGCTGACTTAGACCCAATGGTCTGGTCCAGTATCTACCATGGTAGCACATTTTTCCCTTTGCTTTTTTTTTTTTTATATACTTTAAGTTTTAGGGTACATGTGCACAACATGCCAGTTTGTTACATATGTATACATGTGCCATGTTGGTGTGCTGCACCCATTAACTCGTCATTTAACATTAGGTATGTCTCCTAATGCTATCCCTCCCCCTCCCCCCACCCCACAACAAGCCCCAGTGTGTGATGTTCCCCTTCCTGTGTCCATGTGTTCTCATCGTTCAATTCCCACCTATGAGTGAGAACATGCAGTGTTTGGTGTTTTGTCCTTGCAATAGTTTGCTGAGAATGATGGTTTCCAGCTTCATCCATGTGCCTACAAAGGACATGAACTCATCATTTTTTATGGCTGCATAGTATTCCATGGTGTATATGTGCCACATTTTCTTAATCCAGTCTATCATTGTTGGACATTTGGGTTGGTTCCAAGTCTTTGCTATTGTGAATAGTGCTGCAATAAATATACATGTGCATGTGTCTTTATAGCAGCATGATTTATAATCCTTTGGGTATATACCCAGTAATGGGATGGCTGGGTCAAATGGTATTTCTAGTTCTGGATCCCTGAGGAATCGCCACACTGACTTCCACAATGGCTGAACTAGTTTACAGTCCTACCAACAGTGTAAAAGTGTTCCTATTTCTCCACATCCTCTCCAGCACCTGTTGTTTCCTGACTTTTTAATGATCGCCATTCTAACTGGTATGAGATGGTATCTCATTGTGGTTTTGATTTGCATTTCTCTGATGGTCAGTGATGATGAGCATTTTTTCATGTGTCTTTTGGCTGCATAAATGTCTTCTTTTGAGAAGTGTCTGTTCATATCCTTCGCCCACTTTTTGATGGGGTTGTTTGTTTTTTTCTTGTAAATTTGTTTGAGTTCATTGTGGATTCTGGATATTAGCCCTTTGTCCAATGAGTAGATTGCAAAAATTTTCTCCCATTCTATAAGCTGCCTGTTCACTCTGATGGTAGTTTCTTTTGCTGTGCAGAAGCTCTTTAGTTTAATTAGATCCCATTTGTCAATTTTGTCTTTTGTTGCCATTGCTTTTGGTGTTTTAGACATGAAGTCCTTGCCCATGCCTATGTCCTGAATGGTGTGGCCTAGGTTTTCTTCTAGGGTTTTTATGGTTTTAGGTCTAACATTTAAGTCTTTAATCCATCTTGAATTAATTTTTGTATAAGGTGTAAGGAAGGGATCCTGTTTCAGCTTTCTACATATGGCTAGCCAGTTTTCCCAGCACCATTTATTAAATAAGGAATCCCTTCCCCATTTCTTGTTTTTGTCAGATTTGTCAAAGATCAGATGGTTGTAGATATGTGGCATTATTTCTGAGGGCTCTGTTCTGTTCCATTGGTCTGTATATCTGTTTTGGTACCAGTACCATTCTGTTTTGGTTACTGTAGCCTTGTAGTATAGTTTGAAGTCAGGTAGCGTGATGCCTCCAGCTTTGTTCTTTTGGCTTAGGATTGACTTGGCAATGCGGGCTCTTTTTTGGTTCCATATGAACTTTAAAGTAATTTTTTCCAATTCTGTGAAGAAAGTCATTGGTAGATTGATGGGGATGGCATTGAATCTATAAATTATCTTGAGCAGTATGGCCATTTTCACAATATTGAGTCTTCCTACCCATGAGCATGGAATGTTCTTCCATTTGTTTGTATCCTCTTTAATTTCCTTGAGCAGTGGTTTGTAGTTCTCCTTGAAGAGGTCCTTCACATCCCTTATAAGTTGGATTCCTAGGTATTCTATTCTCTTTGAAGCAATTGTGAATGGGAGTTCACTCATGATTTGGCTCTCTGTTTGTCTGTTATTTGCGTATAGAAATGCTTGTGATTTTTGCACTTTGATTTTGTATCCTGAGACTTTGCTGAAGCTTATCAGCTTAAGGAGATTTTGGGCTGAGATGATGGGGTTTTCTAGATATACAATCATGTCATCTGCAAACAGGGACAATTTGACTTCCTCATTTCCTAATTGAATACCGTTTATTTCCTTCTTCTGCATGATTGCCGTGGCCAGAACTTCCAACACTAGGTTGAATAGGAGTGGTAAGAGAGGGCATCCGTGTCTTGTGCCAGTTTTCAAAGGGAATGCTTCCAGTTTTTGCCTATTCAGTATGATATTGGCTGTGGGTTTGTAATAGATAGCTCTTATTATTTTGAGATACATCCCATCAATACATAATTTATTGAGAGTTTTTAGCATGAAGGTTGTTGAATTTTGTCAAAGGCCTTTTCTGCATCTATTGAGGTAATCATGTGGTTTTTGTCATTGGTTCTGTTTATATACTGATTATGTTTATATACGGATTATGTTTATATATGGATTATGTTTATATACGGATTATGTTTATGGATTTGGTATGTTGAACCAGCCTTGCATCCCAGGGATGAAGCCCACTTGATCATGGTGGATGAGCTTTTTGATGTGCTGCTGGATTCGGTTTGCCAGTATTTTATTGAGGATTTTTGCATCGATGTTCATCAGGGATATTGGTCTAAAATTCTCTTTTTTTTGTTGTGTCTCTGCCAGGCTTTGGTATCAGGATGATGCTAGTCTCATAAAATGAGTTAGGGAGGATTCCCTCTTTTTCTATTGATTGGAATAGTTTCAGAAGGAATGGTACCAGCTCCTCCTTGTACCTCTGATAGAATTCGGCTGTGAATCCGTCTGTTCCGGGACTGTTTTGATTGGTAGGCTATTAATTATTGCCTCAATTTCAGAGCCTGTTATTGGCCTATTCAGGGATTCAACTTCTTCCTGGTTTAGTGTTGGGAGGGTGTATGTGTTGAGGAATTTATCCATTTCTTCTAGATTTTCTAGTTTATTTGCATAGAGGTGTTTATAGTATTCTCTGATGGTAGTTTGTATTTCTGTGGGATCGGTGGTGATATCCCCTTTATCATTTTTTATTGCGTCTATTTGATTCTTCCCTCTTTTCTTCTTTATTAGTCTTGCTAGCGGTCTATCAATTTTGTTGATCTTTTCAAAAAACCAGCTCCTGCATTCATTGATTTTTTTGAAGGGTTTTGTGTCTCTATTTCCTTCAGTTCTGCTCTGATCTTAGTTATTTCTTGCCTTCTGCTAGCTTTTGAATGTGTTTGCCCTTGCTTCTCTAGTTCTTTTAATTGTGATGTTAGGGTGTCAATTTTAGATCTTTCCTACTTTCTCTTGTGGGCATTTAGTGCTATAAATTTCCCTCTACACACTGCTTTGAATGTGTCCCAGAGATTCTGGTATGTTGCGTCTTTGTTCTCATTGGTTTCAAAGAACATCTTTATGTCTGCCTTCATTTCGTTATGTACCCAATGGTCATTCAGGATCAGGTTGTTCAGTTTCCATGTAATTGAGTGGTTTTGAGTGAGTTTCTTAATACTGAGTTCTAGTTTGATTGCACTGTGGTCTGAGAGACAGTTTGTTGTAATTTCTGTTCTTTTACATTTGCTGAGGAGTGCTTTACTTCCAACTATGTGGTCAATTTTGGAGTAGGTGTGGTGTGGTGCTGAAAAGAGTGTATATTCTGTTGACTTGGGGTGGAGAGTTCTGTAGATGTCAATTAGGTCTGCTTGGTGCAGAGCTGAGTTCAATTCCTGGGTATCCTTGTTAATTTTCTGTCTCGTTGATCTGTCTAATGTTGACAGTGGGGTGTTAAAGTCTCCCATTATTATTGTGTGGGAGTCTAAGTCTCTTTGTAAGTCACTAAGGACTTGCTTTATGAATCTGGGTGCTCCTGTATTGGGTGCATATATATTTAGGATAGTTAGTTCTTCTTGTTGAATTGATCCCTTTACCATTATGTAATGGCCTTGTTTGTCTCTTTTGATCTTTGTTGGTTTAAAGTCTGTTTTAGCAGAGACTAGGATTGCAACCCCTGCCTTTTTTTGTTTTCTATTTGCTTGGTAGATCTTCCTCCATCCCTTTATTTTGAGCCTAATTGTGTCTCTGCACGTGAGATGGGTTTCCTGAATACAGCACACTGATGGGTCTTGACTCTTTATCCAATTTGCCAGTCTGTGTCTTTTAATTGGGGCACTTAGCTCACTTACATTTAAGGTTAATATTGTTATGTGTGAATTTGATCCTGTCATTATGATGTTAGCTGGTTATTTTGCTCGTTAGTTGATGCAGTTTCTTCCTAGCCTCGATGGTCTTTACAATTTGGCATGTTTTTGCAGTGGCTGGTACTGGTTGTTCCTTTCCATGTTTAGTGCTTCCTTCAGGAGCTCTTTTAGGGCAGGCCTGGTGGTGACAAAATCTCCCAGCATTTGCTTGTCTGTAAAGTATTTTATTTCTCCTTCACTTATGAAGCTTAGTTTGGCTGGATATGAAATTCTGGGTTGAAAATTCTTTTCTTTAAGAATGTTGAATATTGGCCCCCACTCTCTTCTGGCTTGTAGAGTTTCTGCTGAGAGATCCGCTGTTAGTCTGATGGGCTTCCCTTTGTGGGTAACCCAACCTTTCTCTCTGGCTGCCCTTAACATTTTTTCCTTCATTTCAACTTTGGTGAATCTGACAATTATGTGTCTTGGAGTTGCTCTTCTTGAGGAGTATCTTTGTGGTGTTCTTTGTATTTCCTGAATCTGAATGTTGGCCTTCCTTGCTAGGTTGGGGAAGTTCTCCTGGATAATATCCTGCAGAGTGTTTTCCAACTTGGTTCCATTCTCCCCATCACTTTCAGGTACACCAATCAGACGTAGATTTGGTCTTTTCACATAGTCCCATATTTCTTGGAGGGTTTGTTTATTTCTTTTTATTCTTTTTTATCTAAACTTCTCTTCTGCTTCATTTCATCCATTTGATCTTCCATCACTGATACCCTTTCTTCCAGTTGATCAAATCGGCTACTGAGGCTTGTGCATTCATCACGTAGTTCTCATGCTGTGTTTTGCACCTCCAT
Organism: Homo sapiens; assembly: GCF_000001405.40. NCBI lineage: Eukaryota > Metazoa > Chordata > Mammalia > Primates > Hominidae > Homo > Homo sapiens. The sequence continues at coordinate 122,944,254 of NC_000006.12, forward strand.
CAGGTCCTTTAAGGACTTCTCTGCATTGGCTATTCTAGTTAGCCATTCATCTAATCTTTTTTCAAGGTTTTTAACTTCTTTGCCGTGGTTTCGAACTTCTTCCTTTAGCTCGGAGTAGTTTGATCATCTGAAGCCTTCTTCTCTCAACTTGTCAAAGTCATTCTCTGTCCAGCTTTGTTCCATTGCTGGTGAGGAGCTGTGTTCCTTTGGAGGAGGAGAGGTGCTCTGATTTTTAGAATTTACAGTTTTTCTGCTCTGTTTTTTCACCATCTTTGTGGTTTTATCTACCTTTGGTCTTTGATGATGATGATGTACAGATGGGGTTTTGGTGTGGATGTCCTTTCTGTTTGTTAGTTTTCCTTCTAACAGTCAGGTCCCTCAGCTGCAGGTCTGTTGGAGTTTGCTGGAGGCCCACTCCAGACCCTGTTTGCCTGGCAATCGGCAGCAGAGGCTGCAGAACAGTGGATATTGGTGAACAGCAAATGTTGCTGCCTGATCGTTCCACTGGAAGTTTTGTCTCAGAGGAGTACCCGGCCGTGTAAGGTGTCAGTCTGCCCCTACTGGGGGGTCCGTCCCAGTGAGGCTACTCAGGGGTCAGGGACCCACTTGAGGAGGCAGTCTGTCCATTCTCAGATCTCAAGCTGCATGCTGGGAAAACCACTACTCTCTTCAAAGCTGTCAGACAGGGACATTTAAGTCTGCAGAGGTTTCTGCTCCCTTTTGTTTGGCTATGCTCTGCCCCCAGAGGTGGAGTTTACAGAGGCAGCAGGCCTCCTTGAGCTGAGGTGGGCTCCACCCAGTTCAAGCTTCCCAGCTGCTTTGTTTACCTACTCAAGCCTCAGCAATGGGGGGCGCCCCTCCCCAAGCCTCGCTGCCACCTTGCAGTTTGATCTCAGACTGCTGTGCTAGCAATGAGTGAGGCTCCATGGGCGTAGGACCCTCCGGGCCAGGTGCAGGATACAATCTCCTGGTGTGCCGTTTGCTAAGACTGTTGGAAAAGCGCAGTATTAGGGTGGGAGTGACCTGATTTTCCAGGTGCTGTCTGTCACTCCTTTCCATGGCAAGGAAAGGGAATTCCCTGACCCCTTGTGCTTCCAGGGTGAGGCGATGCCTCGCCCTGCTTTGGCTCACACTCGGTGGGCTGCACCCACTGTCCTGCACCCACAGTCCAACAATCCCCAGTGAGATGAACCTGGTACCTCGGTTGGAAATGCAGAAATCATTTGTCTTCTGCATCACCCAGGCTGGGAGCTGTATACTGTATCTGTTCCTATTCGGCCATCTTGGCTCCACTCTCAGAAGTCCCCTTTGCTTTTATGTAAATACTACTGATCAAATATAGCTTGTGGAGTTTGGGAGAACATTGTTTCTGGTCTTAGACTTGCAACAAAAACTGTCAGTTCTCGATCATATGTTCCCATACTCCAACTGTTATAACATAATAAACAACAGTTATTTCAAGCATATCCACTTAAAATTTCATAGAAAATTGGGGCTGGAGTAAGGGGGTGAACATAGAAAAGAAATTTGGACTAATCTTATTATTGGGAACAAAAGAGAAAAAAACATTTTTCTGCTAAAGGAATAGTACTCTTTCCTTTTGAGAGCTATGTGAAATTTATTTGCTTTTACCTTAGAAAATGAAAAAGAAGGAGTATGCCCCTTGATAAGTCTAAGGGTGTGTGCATAAAGAAATGCTGAGTCTCTGTATTCAAAGAAGGAAAAGAAACTAATACCTATTTAGAACTGAATGTCTGTGACACTGTGGATAGAGGCTTTATAAACATTATCACATTAAATCATAGCTGAGTCCCTACAGATCAGAGAACTAAGCTTCAGAGATGTTAATGATATTCTCTAGTTCATCCCATATACTTTTGCTAGTAAGTATCAGAATATGTGATTTAAATTTGTTCAATAAGGATTCACATTACCAGAAATCCAAAGCTAATAGTGGGCTTCAGCTTTGATTATTTCAAGAAACAAAACATGTCATCAAGAACTCAGTTTCTTTTGGTCTCTCTATGATGCCATTTACAGTTTTGTCTTCATCATAAGACCAGTTTCTTCATGACCCTACAATACCTTCCAATCGCTTCATGCTTCTTTTTTCACATGGGGGAGATCATTGCTTCTGGAGGCTTTCTCAGAAGAGCAAGGCAGACTTTTCCAGAATGCTATAGGAAAAGCAACACTTTCCTTGAATTAAGTTGGCCTAAGCACAATCTCATTGCTGGCAAAAAGGATGAAATGATCCTTTGAACAGTCAGATCTATCCCTGGAGCCGGTGGTGGAGTCAATTCCCTTGAGAATCAGAGGATGAAAGGGGTGGATGGATATATGAATAAAGCTCAGTTCTGCTAGAGTAAGATGGCAGTATAGGATGTCCTAAAACCTCATTCGCCCCATTGAGACTGACTCAACAATATACATAAACTAATTCCCTTTGTGAGAAATTCAGAAATCAATTAAGAGGCTCCTGCACACCAGATGATCATGACACAAGCTACATTGAAGCTGGTAGGAAAAGTGCATCACCCTTTCAATATAGTCTCCTATCCCCACCCTCAGGACAGCACAGTCCAGTTGGGAGGAAAGTTCCACCTTCCAGATATTTTTTCTGGGGAAGGAAAGAGAAAACTAGAACTAGAACATAGTCTAAAGTGTAGACATTTTGGTGGTCTTCCAGAGGGATGATTTCTATCTTGCCTGAATCTAAGCACGGACAGGAAAGGGCATCAGTTTTGGGGCTACTGAGAATAAAGGCAATGGTTTGGGTTAGCTTGCATTAACTTGCAATAGTCTCTCTCCCAGGCTTATCATGAAATGAGTAAAAGAAAACTGCCAACTCCTGGCTTCTCCCTTGGGAGTGAAAGAGTTGGAACATGTATCCAATATTCCATTTTTTTGATGGACCGCCTTGGGTACTGGTTTCTGTGTCACTTGTCTTGAAGCACTGAGGGGACCATCTGGCATATTTTAAATGCCTTGGGGCCACTGAAAACAGGAGAGTTTGGGTGGCATGCTCCTCCTCCAGATGACCTGTGTTACAGCAGACAGAGAGAGAGAGATACAGCTTGGTTCCCTCTCCCTCAAGGAGGTAAAGGGGGAAGAGAAGAGTGGAGTGTGCATCCAAAGTTCTGGTTTTACAGGAAACTTCCCAGAGGACTGACTTCTGTCTTGCCCTACTAAAAGCACTGATTAGACATGGCATAGTCTAGAAGAATAGAGGCTGCTGAGAACAAAGGAGAAACTGGGTGGCTTGTGGAAACCCCAGAGACTCTGCAGTACTGCAGACACCAGGGGGAGCAAGAGATTATGAGCTCCTGAAAAAATAATCCAGTAAAATCCCCTCATTGACAATTTACATGCACAGGTTCAGAGAGTAAGTATCCACAGAAAAGGTCTGAGAGGCTCCCAGAATCTTCAACCTGGTTGATTGGTAAAGGTCTTTCCCTGTACAGTCAGGTCATAAAGACTGAGAGAGGTGGCTGTATTTCCAAATGTGTGGATCTCAGCACAAAGTTAAAAAGCACATTAAACAACAACAAAAAAAACAAAACAAAAACAGGGAAAACTGGCCCAATCAGGAAACAAAATAAATCTCTGGAAATGGACTCTGAAGATGCAAAGTGTATTATTCTATTTTCACACTGCTGTAAAGAATTACCTGAGACTGGGTAATTTATAAAGAAAAGAGTTTTAATTGACTCACAGTTCCTCATGGCTGGGGAGGCCTCAGAGAATTTACAAGCATGGCAGATGGCACAGGAGAAGCCGGCACTTTCTTCACAAGGTTTCAGGAGTCAGGGCAGGGGATGGAATCACTGCACACTTTTAAACCATCAGATCTTGTGAGAACTCAGTCACTATGATGAGAACAGCATGGGGGAAATCACCCCCATGATCCCATCACCAGGTACCTCCCTCTACACATGGAGATTACAATTCAAGATAAGATTTGGGTGGTGATAACCATATCTCAAAGGGATATAAATTACCTCACAAAGAATTCAAATAACTTTCATAAAGATAATCAACAAGCTCAGGGAAATCATTTATGAACAAAATGAGAATATTAAAAAGAGATAAGAAATATAAAAAAGAATCAAATAAATTTTGGAGCTGAGGAATATAATAACTGAATTTAAAAAATTGGAAAAGTCAGCAAACTCAAGGAGAGATAATTTGAAATTATCTAGTCTGAAAACTATGGGACACTATCAAATTAACCAATACGTGTGTTACGGAAGTTCTAAAAAAAAAAAAGGAAGAGGAGAAAAAGAGTAAGAAAACTTACTTAAAGAAATAATAGCTGAAAAAATCCTAAATATGGGGAAAGAAATAGACTTCCAGTTTTAAGAAGCCCAACAGCCTCCAACTAAGATGAATGCAAAGAATTCCACACCAAGACACATGATAATCAAATTGTCAAAAGTCAAAGACAAAGAACAAGAGAATTTTAAAAGCAGCAAGAGAGCAAAGAATGAGAGAATTTTAAAAGCAGCAAGAGAAAAGCAATTTGTCACATATGAGGAAACTCCCATAAGCCAGTTTGTTAGCAGAAACCACGTAGGACAGAAGGGGGTGGGATGACATATTCAAGGTGCTGAAATTTAAAAATAAATTGCCAACAAAGAATACTATATCTGGCAAAAGTTTCCTTCAAAGATACAGAAAAAATACTTTCCTAGATAAATAAAAGCTGAGGAAGTTCATCATCACTAGACTTGCCTTGCAAGAAATTCTAAACAAAGTCTTTCAAGTTGAAATGAAAGGATGCTAGACAACAACATAAAACATAAAAGTATAAAGCTTTCTGGCAAATATATAGACAAACACAGAATACTATAATACCATAATGATGGTACATAAGTCACTTTTAATTCTAGAATAAAAGTTAAAGGGCAAAAATATAAAATATAAGTACAACTATATAAATAGGTTAATGGACACACAATATTAAAATGTAATTTGTGACATCAATAACATAAAATGTAAAGAGGATAAATAAAAGTAGAGTTTTGTATAAAATTAAAGTTGTTTTTATCAGCTTAAAATAAATTGTTACAATATATGGTATTCCCAAAGAACATGCCTATAAAAGATATACAAAAGAAAATGAGAGAAGAGTCAAAGCATATCACTATAAAACATCCATGAAACACACAATAAAAAGAGTAAAAGAGGAAAAGAGGCACTAAAGAGCTACAAGATAAACAAAAGAAAATTAACAAAATGGCAATAGTGAGTTCTTTATCAGTAATAACTTTAAAAGTAAATGGATTAAAGTGCCCAGTGAAAAGACATAGGGTGGCCGAGTA